>NC_000002.12:232641133-232944163 GCF_000001405.40 Homo sapiens | reverse complement strand
CTCCTGGGTTCAAGCAATTCTCCTGCCTCAGCCTCCCAAGTAGCTGGGATTACAGGTGTGTGACCACCATGCCTGGCTAATTTTTGTACTTTTAGTAGAGACGGGGTTTCACCATGTTGGCCAGGCTGGTCTGGAACTCCTGACCTCAGGTGATCCGCCGGCCTCGGCCTCCCAAAGTGCTGGGATTACAGGTGTGAGCCACCGCGCCCGGCCTGCACTTGTAGTTCTATTACTTAGTGTCAAATTCCCTTCTCTATGAGGTTGGATAGTTTTGTTCTCCAATCAGGAATGTATTTCAGTGTCTGTTTCCTCTGAGTTTTAGTTTGGTAATCACAAGAGATTTCAACCTTGAAAATGTAGAGCATTCCGGGCCGGGCACAGTGGCTCACGCCTGTAATCCCAGCACTTTGGGAGGCTGAGGCGGGCGGATCACGAGGTCAGGAGATTGAGACCAACCTGGCTAACACAGTGAAACCCCGTCTCTACTAAAAATACAAAAAATTAGTCGGGTCTAGTGGCGGGCGCCTGTAGTCCCAGCTACTCGGGAGGCTGAGGCAGGAGAATGGCGTGAACCCGGGAGGCGGAGCTTGCAGTGAGCCGAGATCGCGCCACTGCACTCCAGCCTGGGCGACAGAGTGAGACTCCGTCTCAAAAAAAAAAAAAATGTAGAGCATTCCACCTTTAAGGCAACTATACAGTCGGTGGAGACAGCACAGGCAGTACGGAAACTGAGGCCCTGGGTTTAAGGAAGGGACAGGATATATTCTCAGGAGTTTTCAACGAGAAGAAATTTTCTCTTGTTCTCTTCTGTCATTACTCTGACTCACGCCTGTGGAGACGGCTCTCTTTTTCTCCTGGTAAGAATCTATCACTTCTTAACAGAAAACTCAGCTGGTGACAGGTTAGAGACTCTTTTTTTTTTTAAGAACAAATGCTAATTTCAAATAGAAACTTGTATTTCTGGCAAGACTTTCCTCTGAGACCCCCACAAAAAAAGGAAGGAAGGAGAGACCTATTAAGGGCCATCTATCTTTTTAGCCAAAGCTAAACAGAGAAGCAGGCCTAGACAGCCCACTGACTCCGTGACAAATAAAAGCTACTCCAAGGGCTGAGCAACATTTTAGAAACAGCAGTAATTTAACATGCAATCTTCACTGCATGGAAAAAATGAGACATGGCTTTAAAATTAGAAAAAGCAGCTGCAACTGGTCAGTTCGGGGGAGGGATGAACAGTAAGTGAAAAAAAAAAAAAAAAAAAAGAAATTTCACTTCTCTGCTGGTAAACTGACTCCCCCCCGGAAAATAATGGTACTACTTGAGCTCAAGGTACACTCATCATTTTCTTCTTTTCTTTTCTTTTTTTTTTTTTTTGAGACGGAGTCTCCTGCCTCAGCCTCCCAAGTAGCTGGGATGACAGGCGTGCGCCTCCACGCGCTAATTTTTGTATTTTCAGTAGAGACGGGGTTTCACCATGTTGGCCAGGCTGGTCTCGAACTCCTGGCCTCGTGATCCACCCACCTCGGCCTCCCAAAGTGTTGGGATTACAGGCGTGAGTTGGACAGCTCTCAGAGCATTCCCATTTACAGGCGTGAGCCACCGTGCCCAGTGGTACACTCATCTTTTAAGGGAGTAGGAAAGAGAGATTTACGTTAATAAGTGAAAGGAAAAGGGTCTGGAAGATGTCCCTGTCTCTGTAAATCAGTCGATTTACCGAGAGGAACCCGACAATCCCTAAAGAATGTCCACGTGCTTTCAAGCTTCCCCCGGATCTGCTGATTCAGCAAGTACGTAGAAAGCCTCAAAGGTGTACTAGGTGCTCTGCCCCTCACAGCGACAAGTGGGGCAGGCTCACTCAGGCCAGGTCCTGTCTCCTTGCCCAGTCCAACAGGACAGAGAGTTAACTTCCCAATAAAGTGATCAGGGTTTCTGATAGCCCAGGTGAAGTGCTCCAGGAGACTTAAGAGTGAACAAACACAGCCAGCCACTGGATGGGATGGGGGACTTCCTGGAGGAGGTGGCATTGAGCCAGTAAAGGTGGGATGCAGCCATGCAGGAGGGCAGGGAAGGGCTTGTGGTGTTAGGAAAACCTGCCTTTGAGTGGAGGTGGTGGTTTCTTTGGTGACTCACCTGATGGGACTATGGCTTCCATTTAAAAGGAAGAAGCATTCTGGTTAGGACTTGTATATGTGGATTTATGGAAGGAAAAGGGGAATTTCTGGAAAAGGGACTATTTTTATAACCAGGAAGATTAGAATATCAGGTAAGTGCTTTAATTTTCACAATGCCAAGAAGTAATTTACTGTAAAAGTTGAATTCGTGATTCTTTGCAAACTGAAGAGCTTTTGCAGAGGTAGATTTATGTAGTGAATTGAGGTGTTTTTCCCCCAAATAAATCTGGAGACTACAAAGCAGTCCATCATTTTCAAGTGGACCAGGCTCCCTATGGCTACGTGAACGCTTTAAACCCATGCTCTACATTTATGCGCATTAAGGGATTGATGTTGTTTCTTAAAGTAACTTTCTCCCCCTTATTACATAAGTGACACATTTATGGTAGAAAAAATTTTAAACACGTACGAGTAAAAGTGAAACCGCCTTTGCAAAATTATGACTGAGACAGTGAAAGATCTAACTTAACTGAATCCATCTTCCTTCTAACCTCCAAGCTGTCCTTGTTCATTCCTGGGCGTAGGCTGAACTAACTTTGGGAGAAACTTAGTTTATAGTTTATAGCTTAAACAAAGACGGTAACAGCCCTTTCCCAAAGCAGACCTCCTTCTTGCCTGGGGACTAGACTGCCTTTGCAGCACTAACATTAGCCACAGATTAGAAATTATGGCTTAGAGTTGTGCAGCTGGAAGTTACAAGATTCTGACCCTCCCTAAACTGCTCCTAAGATCAGTGCTTGAGATATTTTGCAGACCCAGCACTTGATGGATCAGCTGGCACCACCCAGATCAATAAACTGGCTCATCTGATCTTGTGGCCCCCACCCAGGACATGACTGAGCTCAAGAAGACAGCTCCGACTTCCTATGATTTCATCTCCGACCAATCAGCACCCTTGGCTCATTGGCTTTTCCCCACCCACCAAATTATCCTTAAAAACTCTGCTCCCTGAATGCTCCAGGAGACTGATTTGAGTAGTAATAAAACTCTGGTCTCCCGCACAGCCAGCCCAGCTCTGCGTGAATTACTCTTTCTCTATTGCAATTCCCCTGTCTTGAGGAATTGGCTCTGTCTAGGCAGCCAGCAAGGTGAACCCCTTGGCCAGTTACGAAAGGAGGAAAATTTCATTAGAATCCAACCAACCAGCAACAAGTACTATGAAATATTTTTGGTGATCAATCTTCTAGTCCTTTAAAAAGTATATACACACGCTTAAAATTCCACATATAAAAGTCTATTTATAAACAAAGTAAGAGCATACTACCATCCAGTTTTGCAATCTGCTTTTTTATTTAAAATACTATGGATGTCTTTCCAGATTATTAAATGTTCTTCTAAAATAATGTTTAATGCTGTAGTATTCCATTTGAGAAATATGTGATCATTTAAATAGTCAATCTATTATTGGACATTAAATATTTCCCTGTTATAAATAACACTAAAAAAATCCTCGCTGCTCATTTTTTTGCACAGACTCTCAATAGTTCACTAGGAAACATTCCTAGAAGTAGAATCTCTTTGCCAAAGAGTGTGGAGCATTTGCAGATTTACGATATGTGTTGTCAGACTGCCCTCTGAAAGGTTGTATCCATTCACACTCCCGCCCCCAGGGGAAAATGACAGCTTCCACCCCTTGGTGAATTCCACGCCTTGGCGACCACTGGCTGTTCATTTCCAAAACTCTTTGATTGCTGTGTTTCTGATATGCTTTTGAAATAGTGTTTTTCTTTATGGTGATATTCACTTATTGTGTGCTAATTTGTACGGTGCTATCACCAGTTTCCTTATGAGACACTCTGAAATAGAAATATTAATCATAGTGAAAAACTATGAATTCTTGGGAAGAAACGAATTCCGTCAACATTACAAAGTCAAGGACCCAGAAACAAGGATTTTAGTGGCACGTCACACCTGTGTCTCAAACATCTCTCCTAGACGGACCCATCCCTACCCAAAACACTGGTCTTCTCGTGAGACCTCAAATTTTTTTTTTTTTTTTAAGATGGAGTCCCACTCTGTCGCTCGGGCTGGAGTGCAGTGACATGATCTCGGCTCACTGCAACCTCCGCCTCCCAGGTTCAAGCGATTCTCCTGCCTCAGCCTCCCGAGTAACTGGGAGTACAGGCGTGCAGCACCACGCCCAGCTAATTTTGTATTTTTAATAGAAATGGGGTTTCACCGTGTTGCCCAGGCTGGTCTTGAACTCCTGACCTCAGGTGATCCACCTGCCTCATTCTCCCAAAGTGCTGGGATTACAGGCATGAGCCACCGTGCCCGGCCGAGACACCAAATTCTTGAATAATTAGTACTGGTAACTCAACAAAGAACATTCTACAGGATGTTAAGGGTGAGGTAGTTGTTTCTGTTTCAATAGGTAATGTAAAGTTTTCATATTACATACTAGCTTTTCATTATGGAAGATACTTTTCTAAAATCCAGTTATTTGTAATTTTCAAGGAACAATTTCTTATTATTAAATACATGCTACTTCTTCAAGTCTACTTTGTTTATGAGTGAATATTTTTCTTTCTTGTTTCATAAAGTTTTGCTCCATTTGGTTAATGGTTAAGGCAATGCATTCTCTGTTACCATAGTGAATGCATTTTAGCACTAAATGTAGACTACTTAAATAATAATAATATCACTTTCTATTTGTTTCATTTATTATAGCTTACAAATTGGTCTCACTAATATGGAACTACATTAGATTTAACTATGTAGTTTATGAGGTGATTTAAGATGAATAACTCTGAGTGCCAGGAAATGGGACTGTTCATTCCTTTACAGGTTGAGTCCTTTTTTTTTTTTTTTTTTTTTTTTGAGACTGAGTCTTGCTGTTGCCCAGGTGGGAGTCCAGTGGCGCAATCTCGGCTCACTGCAACCTCTTCATCCCAGTTTCAAGGGATTCTCCTGCCTCAGCCTCCCAAGTAGCTGGGATTACAGGTGCCCACCACCATACCCAGCTAATTTTTGTATTTTTAGTAGAGATGGAGTTTCACCATGTTGGCCAGGCTGGTCTCGAACTCCTGAACTCTGATCCACCTGCCTCGGCCTCCCAAAGTGCTGGGATTACAGGCATGAGCCACCACACCCGGCCTAGTTTGAGTTCTAATTAAGAATATAAGAACCCTGTGGCCATAACCTGACATCTAAATTATGTGCACCTAGGCAACTCCTGATCTCATTCACTTCAAATTTCACCCTCAGCATATCCAGGAAATTACTGTATTTATTTCCTTTTTTTTTTTTTTTTTCTTAAGACAGGGTCTCACTATGTTGCCCAGGTTGCTCTCGAACTCCTGGGCTCAAGGATCTTTCCAAGTGATCCTACATCTTAGCCTCCCAAGGTGCTGGGATTACAGGCATGAGCCACCACACCCGGCCTATAGTATTTACCCCTTAGGTGCCCCTTGCTTCAGGATGCTTCTATTGATCAAAAGCCCAGGCTCCTCTTGGTCAAAAGCCCACAGCCAAACCCCCAGACCCTATGTATCCTAAGATCCTTGGTTAGGAATAGTCCAGAGAAACCCATATCTCAGGATGTCCCTCATTTTCCATAGTTTCAGATAAACACACAAGCATCGCAGCATCTTATCCACGAGTTATCTGGGGCAGCCTGTTTTAGGCAATTCGTTTCCATGAAGGCTATGCGATAGTCTGCATCTCATAATTGGTGATATGGCTGCAATTTGTCCAAGCCTTTTAAGGACACATGAACCATCAAAATGCTTTGGAAATTCCAATGTTTCACTAGCCAAGCAATATCCTCCAGGCTGCCTCTTATGCCTGGAAAAAGAGCAAAATTCTTGGCCATCTATTTTTGATTCAGAAAATGAATTCAGCGTAGCAATCTCCAGTCTTCAGCAATTAAGCCCTGAGATGATGGATCTGCTTCCCATGACCATTGAAACTCATGCAGTGCTACCATCTCTTCTTAAAGCAGACAAGGGTTTGTAGGTGTCTCCTGATCCCTCTGGCCTTTTCCCTAGTTAACCAAAAGCATGACTGTCCACCAGAGCAACACATCCCAAAAGAACAAAAACAAAACACTCTTCACTTCACTAAAACACCGAATCCAGTTTTGATGGTTTTTGGACTCACACAGACAGATCATAACTAGTTACCTCCCCCAAGCTTTAGGCACCAATCGCAGAAGCCATTACCTGCAAGTTCCCAAAGAGATCAGTTGAAGAAACATCATTGACCCAAGACACACAAGATGGGATACCAAGCAAAAGCTGATGCTCCACTTAATTACTGCAGGAGAAGAAAGACTCACACCAAGGGCATGGCACCACAGAGCCCACTGGCTTCCCTATATTAACTCACGAGCCAGCCCCTTCCCAATGCCTCCTAGAAGTGCTGGTGCTGAGGATGCAGAGATCAATGGCCTCTTCATAGTTGCCCCCAAAAAGCTCAGGTTCACTGGGAGGAGAAACCGTGCAGGCAGTGCTAACAGAAGACAGAGCAAGGCCTGGGAGCTGTCAGGAGTGACTCAGCTTTCATCTGGGCGGCCCCAGCCTGGATCGTCCATTAACTCCATTGAGCAATGAATTACCCACAAGGTACTGAAGAGTCACTGAAGATAACAGATATGTGGGGTCAGACATGTGTGAGGAAAATTAACAGAGCAGCTGCATTTAGGACAGATGGAGGGAGGGACAAAGAGACCAGAGGAAAGGAAGGCTGTTAGAGGAAAGTGGTCACTGTGTTCTAAATCAGATTACAGGCTGGGTGCAGTGGCTCACACCTGTAATCCCAGCACTTTGAGAGACCGAGGCAGGTGGATCACTTGAGGTCAGGAGTTCAAGACCAGCCTGGCCAACATGGTGAAACCCCATCTCTACTAAAAATACAAAAGAGCCAGGCATGGTGGTGCGCACCTGTAATCCCAGCTACTCTGGAGGCTGAGGTAGGAGAATCACTTGAACCTGGGATGCAGACGTTGCAGTGAGCCGAGACTGAGCCATTGCACTCCAGCCTGGGCTATGAGAGTGAAACTCCATCTCAAAAATAAATAAATAAATAAAATAAAATAAATCAGATTAGAGACCTGCAAAGTTAAAGGACAGTCTACAAGACCACTCTCACTTTTGACATGAACGGCAGAGTTTGGGGGTGCCCAAATTCACCCTCAGTTTCAATAAATTGCTAGAAGAACTCACAGAACTTACTGAAAGCTGTTATACTCACCATTACAGTTTATTACGGTGAAAGGATACAGAGTTAAATCAGCCAAGGGAAGAGATGCATGGGGAAAGTCCAGAAAAGTTCTACTCACGAAGCTTCCAGTGGTCTTCTCCCTTGGGAGTCACAGATAGCGCTAACCTTCCCCTCAGTAATGTGTGATAACATGCGTGGCGCACCATCAACCAGAGATGCCCACCTGTGCCTTGGTGTCCAGAGTTCTTATTGAGGCTTGGTCACAAAGATGTGGTTGGCTGCCCAGGTAGCTGACCTCAGTCTCCAGCCCTTCTGGAGGCAAAACTGATACTACATGACCCAGAGACCCCACCCTATCCAGAGTGGGCCAAGGCTCCTGGGTAAGGAAAGAGCCTCTTTTCAGACACCACATTCCAACAGCTTAGAGAGCACCTCCTAAGAGCCTAGGCAAAAGCCAGACCTGTCTTTGGGTAAAGTTAATTCTTTACCACACAGGGATAGACTGATTTTGTTTTTTAACTTATTTCCATAACGTGATACAATTCCACATTTACAAATTATCTTCTTGATGAAAAGTAAGGAAAAATCTCCACCTCCACCTCACCGGTAAAATACTTCCAGCCACACAACAAAACAATTTATTTTTGGAAAGTCTCCTTGTGGCAAAATCTCTTCATCCACAGAGTATGGGTTTCTGGGTATCTCACTGCTGCAGCGACAGAGGTGGTCCCTTCCTGAGCATCTATCCTACCCTTTTCCTCACTTTCCCCCTAGATTTGGAGGTCCATTTAACTCTTGAGGCTGTAGCCTTCTGTGGTTCGACTGCTGGTTCTGCCTCTGTGAATTAAATTTGTTGATTTTCAAAGCAAGTAGAAAATGTGTTCTGAGTGACAAAAATAACCTACTGTGTTTATGGATTTAAAAGATACAGTTAATTAAAAGCTACCACATTTCCTATATATATTTGAGAAATGTCTTCTCACTACCAAAAAGAAAAAAAGAAAATTCAATGCATTTTCCTACTAAATATAACAATACAAATGTTTTTAAACATTTGATAGTCTGGTGACATACCATGTGACCCTGAAAATAGAATAAGTGAATAGCAATGTGCTGTTCCTTATTTTCTACAATATAGTGTTGAATCACTATCATATATTTCCAGAGCTGCCATTAGCTAGCTATGTGGTCTTCAGTTTCTTTTTTTTTGTTTTTGAAATGGAGTCTCACTCTGTCAACCAGGCTGGAGTGTGGTGGTGTGATCTCCGCTCACTGTAACCTCCACCTCCTGGGCTCAAGCAATTCTCCTGCCTCAGCCTCCCTGGTAGCTGGAATTACAGGCATGTGCCACCACACCCGGCTAATTATTGTATTTTTAGTAGAGACAGGGTTTTACCATGTTGGCCAGGCTGATCTTGAACTCCTGACCTCAAGTGATCTGCCTGCCTCAGCCTCCCAAAATGCTGGGATAACAGGCGTGAGCCACCAAGCCTGGCAGGTCTTGAGTTTCTAATTTAACCCTTTGGTCTTGTTCCTTTGGTAAAATAAAAGCATTGAACCAGATAATCTCAGCTTCCATCCACTTCCTTCCAATTCCAGAGATTCTCCCTCAGGATCAAGAAAAATTTTATAAACATAAACAAGAACTCCTGAAGGCTGAATTTAGTATGTAAATAAGAATGCACTTTGCTTCCAATGTTTAGCTTTTATAACCCAAAGGAAAAAATAATCTTTAGATAAAATACCTAAAATAACTAAATACTTATTTTAAAAAATATAACTTTAATTCATTCACCAATTATTCTTATTATTATTTTTTTTTTTTGAGACAGAGTCTCACTCTGTTGCCCAGGCTGGAGTGCAGTAGTGCGATCTTGGCATACTTCAACCTTCACCTCCTGGGCTCAAGTGATCCTCTCTCCTTAGCCTCCTGAGTAGCTGGAACTGCAGGTGCATGCTACCATGCCTGGCTAATTTTGTCATTTTTTCTTTTTTAGAGATGAGGTTTCACCATGTTGCCCAGGCTGGTCTTGAACTCCTGGGCTCAAGCAAACCACCTACCTTGGCCTCCCCAAGTGCTGGGATTACAGATGTGAGCGACTGCACCTGGCCCATTCTCAGAGATTTATAGAGCACCTACTACGTGCTAGTCAGGTATAAATATTTGAAATATTTATCAATACTTTATTTTGTGAATGATTCAGAACAAAATGTCAGTTAAAAGGAGATTTTAATAGCAGCCTGCCTAATAAGCACTAAACGCAATGGAAAATGGAACATGTGGAATTTAGCTGAAGGTTACATGCCTTAGAACTCAGTGACTTTCTAAACTGATTTTATAATTACAAAGATATTTTTAGCTTATTTTTTACTGGAAGACTTTATGCTGATCTTAACATACGTAATTTCACTTTAATATTTTCTTTAAAAAAAAAAAGAATCTTCCTCTTTGGTGCAGCAGAGCATAAAAGGAATAGCTTCCATTTAGTGTTACATCAAATTCAGGGACAGTGAAGCCACGCAAACCAGGCAGTCCTATGTTTGCCCATAGAGTGTTTTTCTTTCTCTTTCTTTTTTTTTTTTTTTTTTTTGAGATGCAGTCTCGCTCTGTCACCCAGGCTGGAGTACAGTGGCGCAATCTCGGCTCACTGCAACCCCTGCCTCCTGGGTTCAAGTGATTCTCCTGCCTCAACCCCCCAAGTAGCTGTGACTACAGGTGCGTGCCATCACGCCCAGCTAATTTTCGTATTTTTACTAGAGACAGGGTTTCACCATATTGGCCAGGATGGTCTCAATCTCCTGACCTTGTGATCCGCCTGCCTCGGCCTCCCAAAGTGCTGGGATTACAGGTGTGAGCCACTGTGCCCCGCCTCATAAAGGGTTTTTGTCTGGCTCCTGATGAAAGATGAGTGAGGCAGCAGGGTGCCCATCCTAAGGAGCCCATGGCTTCCTGGAAGGATGCCTTCGTGACAGAACATCACAGTGCCAGGCAGCAACTGCAGGCTAGACAGCAGAAGGGGCCTGGTGGGGACACCCAATGTGCCTAGACCTGGAAGGGCAAGGGCGTCATTAGGAGAGCACAGTCCTAGGGGAGGGAACAGCACTTGAAAAAGCCCAGAACCTGGAGAACTGTGCAGAGGCCAAAGCCTCAGAGAGCTGGGGAGGCCAGTGCCCACCACCAAGCTCACAAATGCATGGGACAGCTGGTGAGGGACCTGTCACAGCACAAGGGGCTGGGCTTCACCCTCAGAGGGATGGGATTCCAACCAAGATGTTTGAGCAAGGAGGGGACAAAATCAGACCCTTATTGCCAGAGAGGGGCAGAGAGAAGGGTGGCTTGGGGAGAGGAGGGACTTGAAGTAGTCCAGTTACCAGGGAAGGGGACTGCTTGTGGGATCCAGGGAGCTTGGTGAGCCATTGGCACACTGGGTGACAGGAAGTACAGACACGGAGGCCAGCGCCCAAGTTCTACTTGGCTCCTGGTTTGCTGCTGGAGAGGGGAGCTGGGGGAGACGGTGGGTGCACTGTCAGTTATGCTGAATTTTAGTTGTTTAGGGGCTGCTGTGGACTGAATGTTTAATCTCTCCTGCAAAATTCCATCACAAAGTGATGATATTGGAAGGTAGGGCCTTTGAGAAGTTGGGTCTAGAGGGCAGCATCCTCATGAATGGGTTTAGTGCCATTTATTTATTTATTTATTTATTTATTTATTTATTTATTTTTGAGATGGAGTTTCACTCTTGTTCCCCAGGCTGGAGTGCAATGGCACGACCTCAGCTTACTGCAACCTCCGTCTCCTGGGTTCAAGCGATTCTCCTGCCTCAGCCTCCCAAGTAGCTGGGATTACAGGCACCTACCACCATGCTGAGCTAATTTTTTTTTTGTATTTTTAGTAGAGACAGGGTTTCATCATGTTGGCCAGGCTGGTCTCGAACTCCTGACCTCAGGTGATCCACCCGACTCAGCCTTTCAAAGTGCTGGGATTAAAGGTGTGAGCCACCGCACTCGGCCCTTAGTGTCCTTTAAAAGAGATCTCAGAGAGCTCCCAAGCCCTCTTTCTAACGCATGAGGATACAAGGAGTCAGCCGTCCGCAGCCAGGAAGTAAGCCCTTCACAGAACCAGCCCAGGCTGGCACCATGATCTCAGACTTCCAGCCTCCAGACTGGGAGAAATAAATTTCTGTTGTTTATAGGCCCCCAGACTACAGCACTTTGCCTGAACTAAGACAGAAATTGATACTAAGAAGTGAAGGTACTGCTAAAAATGTGGTAGTGGCTTTGGTAATGGGTAGAGGCTAGAAGAGTTTTGAGGCACATGCTAGAAAAAAAGCCTAGATCGCCATGGATGGAATTTGAAAGGGGATTCTGGGCCAGGCCTGGTGACTCGTGCCTGTAATCCCAGCACTTTGGGAGGCCGAGTCGGGTGGATCACGAGGTCAGGAGTTCGAGACCAGCCCGGCCAACATGGTGAAACCCCATCTCTACTAAAAATACAAAAAGTTTAGCCAGGCATGATGGTGCGCACCTTTAATCCCAGCTACTTGGGAGGCTGAGACAGGAGAATCACTTGAACCCAGGAGGTGGAGCTTGCAGTGAACCAAAATCGTGCCACTGCACTCCAGCCTGGGCAATAGAGCAAGATTCTGTCTCAAAAAAAAAAAAAAAAAAAGAAAGGTGATTCTGGAGAGAACTCATAAAGAATAGAGGGGAGCTGTAGAGAACACTTGTATCTTCTTAGCCAATACTAAGTCATCATGAACAGAATGCTGGTAGAAGTATGGATTTTACCATACCAGTTACCATTCTAATGAGGCCTTGGAAAGCAATGAGGAGCATGTCACTGGACACTGGAGAAAGGGCCGTCCTTGTCATAAAGTGGCAAATAACTGGGCTGAATTGTGCTTTGTGGAAGGTAGAAATTGGATATTTAGCTGAGTGGATTTCTGGGCAAAGTGTTGAAGGAGTGGCAGCCAGACGATTTCTGAATAGCCTCTTGAGTCATTCTCCCCTTGTCTGGAAGAATCACATGTGTTTTCAGCCAAATGGTTCTATGTCCAGTCCTGCAGGATCTAAGAAGTCCAACAATCTTCCTTCCTTCATTTTGTCCCACTTTCTCCGTTTCCTCAGGCCCAGCTGGCACTGTTTCTGCTGGTAGAATCTCACCTCTATTCTTGGCTTTTGTTGGGACGGTTAAGTCTGTATTTCACACTCACACTCATCTCCTTATCAAATGGTCTGTCCATCACACCCTTGGTGTTCTCTTCTGAATGTTTTCTCATAGCTTGTAATACGGAAAGGCTGAGGATTCTTTCAAATCCTTGAATTCTGCTTACTTTTTGCTTAACAGCTCCATCTTCAAATTACTCTTCTCTTCTCAAATTTTACTATGTTTGTCAGGAAGAACCAAGCCACTCCTTAGACACTTTGCCCAGAAATCCACTCAACTAAATATCCAATTTCTACCTTCCACAAAACACAACAGCTTCACACCTCTGACAGAGAAGCGTGGTATGAGCCACCAAATAACGGAGAGGCACAGAGTAGACAGTGCCCCACCCAGCTGTGGGGGTGACAGTGCCACACCAGTGGGCACTGCAGGCAGAGCATCAAGGCAGAGAGCATTATTCTCCAGCTTTGGAGAATCTTCCTCATGGAATTTGCCTTGCTAGGCTTTAAACTTACTTGGGACCTGTCACCTCTTTCCTGTTCTCTTCCTTCCTTCCTCTCTCTCTTTTTCTATTTTTCCCTTTTGGAATGGGATTTTTTATCCTCTGCCTGTCTCACCATTGTATTTTGGAAACATAGAATTTTTCTAGTTTCACACATTCACAGCTGGAAAGGAATTTTTGCTTCTGGATAAATCACACCTTGGGTGTCACCCACACCTGATTGAGATGATATTTAGATGAGACTTCGGACTTCAGACTTTAGAGTTGATGCTGGAACAAGTTAAAACTTTTGGGTTGTTAAGATGGAATGAATGTATTTTACATGCAAGAAGCACACGACTTTTGGGGGACCAGGGTGGAATATTATGGACTGAATGTCTGTGTCTCCCGCAACATTCACGTGTTGAAATCCTAACTCCCAGGGTGATGGGTATTAGGTGGTGGGGCCTTTGAGAGGTGGCAAGGCCATGAGGGTGGATCCCTCATGAATGGGATTAGTACCCTATAAAAGAGACCCCAGAGAGGCCAGGCGTGGTGGCTCACACCTATAATCCCAGCACTTTGGGAGGCCAAGGCAGGTGGATCACAAGGTCTGGAGATTAAGACCAGCCTGGCGAAATGGTGAAACCCTGTCTCTATGATATGGTGAAACCCCATCTCTACTAAAAATACAAAAATTAGCCAGGCGTGGTGGCGGGTGCCTGTAGTCCCAGCTGCTTGGGAGCCTGAGGCAGGAGAATCGCTTGAACCCGGGAGGCAGAAGTTGCAGTAAGCCGAGATCGCGCCATTGCACTCCAGCCTGGGCAACAGAGCGAGAGTCCATTTCAAAAAAAAAAAGAGAGAGAGAGAGAGCCCAGAGTACTCTCTCTCTCTCTTTGCATCATATGGGGCTACCATAAGAAGTCAGCAGTCGGTGACACAGAGGAGGGCCTTACCAGCAACAGACCATGGTGTCACTCTGAGCTCAGCCTTCCAGCCTCTGGAACTATGAGAAATGTGTCTGCTGTTTACACTGGGTTCTGATGACACCCTGTATTACTCCGCTCTCACGCGGCTGATAAAGACATACCTGAGACTGGGTAATTTATAAAGAAAAAGAGATTTAATGGACTCACAATTCCACATGGCCTCACAATCATGGCAGAAGGCGAAAGGCACGTCTTAGATGGCAGCAGGCAAGAGAGAGAATGAGATCCAAGCAAAAGGGGTTTCCCCTTTATAAAACCATCAGATCTTGTGAGACTTATTCACTACCAGGAGAACAATATGGGGGAAACCACCCCCATGATTCAATTGCCTCCCACTGGGTCCCTCCCACAACACGTGAGAATTATAGGAGCTACAATTCAAGATGAGATTTGGGTGGGGACACAGCCGAACCACATCACACCCAGTCTATGGTATTTTGTTATAGCAGCCAGGACAGCCTAAGATGTGGGATGGCCAGATGGAGATGGCCAGTGAGCAGAGCAACACACTAAGGGCAGGAGGTGGCTGCCTGGAGATACCTGGGTCCATGGGAGTGAGTCAAGGAAGGGCGGTGCTTGGCTTGGGAAAAGACCAGATGGTTGTCTCGAATATTCTCAGGCCTTAAGGGCATGAAGAGACCAGACCTGCCCGTTCTGGCCCCAAAGGGCATGAAGAGATCAGACCTGCCCGTTCTGGCACCAGGGCTAAGTGGCAGCTTTAGAGACTGGCTTTGAGTCTACCTGAACACCCTTTTCTAGAGTCAAAGCTGGGGAAGTCAGACCACGTGGGGAGGAGAGCTCCCTTCCAGGCAAAAAGCTTAATGCTTCTCAGCTTCCTCCCCAACCCTCCCTTGATCACACCTGCCTTATTCAAGACTGGTTAAGGATCCATTAAAGCCAAACAATTAACGAGTAACTGCACCGCTGCCACCAGGAATGTTTGCATCCCCCCCAACGAAGAATTTGCTAATTTAAACAAATGCCGGGTGGGTTGGAGCGTGCGGGGGACTATGCTCCGCACTCCACCCCTGCCCCTGGGGTTTCCTCAGGGCCGTAAAAAGGACAGGCCCGGCTGCAGGCGCAGGCCGCGGTCACCCAAGGGCCCACCCAGGTGAGCCGGCTGGCCTCCGGAAAAGGACACCGGGCAGCGCGCCAGGGGCCTTCGCGAGGGTAGGCGGGGGGCATCTTGCTAGATATCCTCGCCACACCTGAGCAGACAGCATGATCCCTGAGCAGAGGGCGGCTTGGCTCGGCCCGTAGGCACCTCCAGGCCTCGCTCTTCCGACTGTCCTTTCTGCTCTTTCTGATCCGCGAGCGGACTGACCCAGCTAACGCGAAGGCGCAGAGTCCAGGAGTCGATGTCACCGGGCAGGGCAACCCAGGAGAGGTTTCGGGCACTTGGTTTCTCCTCCTCTGGTGCCCCCGAACCCATCCCAGACCCGCCAGGGTCGTGCGTAGCTGAGCGTGGCTCGTCCTGCGACCAGACTCGCCCGGGAAAGACCTCCGCGCCGGCCCCCTCCCCACCGCGAGGCTCAGGAGCGGGCTTGCAAGGAGCCCCTGAGACCCCAGTCTCCGCCTGGAGCAGAGACAAGACGGAGACCCCCTCCAGCGGGGACACATTCCCCGAGGCCGGGCTCGGAGCTTCAGAGCGGGTCGCCGAGCTGCGACCCTGCGGGAGACCGCAGGGGGTGCCCAGCGTGGGCAAGGCGGAGGTCTGCGGGCACTGGGGAGCCGAGGGTGGCCTCGCCCGCCCCTTCCAGGCTTCCCCCGCCGTGAGGAGTGGGCGGGGCAGGCAAAGGCGCAGCTCCAGGGCCTCCGCAGCTCTGCCCCTCTCCGGGTCGGGGCACGGCGGCGCGGGGGAGGAAGGCGCGAGCCCGCGGCAGGCCCCAGCCCGCAGTCGGCGCTCGCGGGGCCCGGGTCGCGCCCAGCCCGGGCGCCCCCGCCCCGCCGCCGCCCGGCCTCGCCCCCGCCGCGCGCGCCCCTCCCGCCTCCCTCGTTGCCGTGGCAACCCCGGGAGCCTCCAGGCGCGCGCCCGCCCGCGGGAGTGCTCGGCAGCGGTGGCGGCGGCGGCTGCAGCTCCGGTCGAGCCGCGCGCGCTGCGACCCCGCTCCGCAGCCCGCTAGTCGCCCCCGACCCAGCCCAGGGCCCCGGCGTGGCCCCCGACCCGGCCCCCGCACCCGCCCCGCCGCCGACCCTATGGAGCTGCTGGCCGCTGCCTTCAGCGCCGCCTGCGCCGTGGACCACGACAGTTCCACCTCGGAAAGCGACGCGCGCGACTCGGCGGCGGGACACCTGCCCGGCAGGTGAGGACGGGCGCCTGTCCCGGCCCCGGCGCGCCGCCCCCGCGTGCCTCTTTCCCAGCTTGCGCCCGGGGTCCCGGGCACCCCCTGCGCGGCCTATCCCCACTCCTCCTCCGCGGGCCCCCGCCGCCCCTACTCCCACCCCCGGGCCCCGTCGGGCCCGCACCCCATCGGGTGGGTGTTGAGCCCCGGCCCGGGCCCCTGGGACCCCGGTCCCTGCCCGGAGTCTCCTCCAGCGCCCTCGTCCTGGGCGCCCTGGTCGTGCGCGTCCCGCTCGGCATCCCCTTTCCGCGCCGTGTGGCCTGGGGACGGGAGGATCGGAGTCCGAAAGGGGCCGGGGGTCGAGTGACGGCGAGGGGCGCCGAGTGGCTTCCTGGCCGCGGGACCCGTCGGGCTGTCGGAGCGGCGCCGGAGAGTGGGCACGGTGCGCCAAGTTTCCACCGCCTGCCCGGGAGCTCCAAAACCATGGAGGTTTGGGCGGGCTGGTGTGGAAATGCATCACCCGGTCGCGCCCTGGTGCGGTGACAGAAAGGGCTTTTGGGGCCCGCCCGGCCGGGAGGGGCGGCGCTGGCTGCGGCCGCTGCCCCTGGACGGTCCCGGGTAAGGTCCGGCTGGCTAGCAGCCGCCTGTGCGCACGCCCCTCGCTAGCCAGCCGAGGTGAATCCTTGCTTAAAAATAACCAGCCCCTGTCCTCCTCCCTCTCTGGCAGTGAGTCGTCCTCCACCCCGGGAAATGGGGCCACGCCCGAGGAGTGGCCGGCCCTGGCCGACAGCCCCACCACGCTCACCGAGGCCCTGCGGATGATCCACCCCATTCCCGCCGACTCCTGGAGAAACCTCATTGAACAAATAGGTGGGTGTCTCCGCAGTAACCGGGTTTTATTTGGGAAACGCGGGTCCCTGGAGGACTCTGAGGGTCCTCCTGCTCATGGGATGCCGTTGTGTTTCATACGAAGGACTGCGTCTGACATGGGTAAGGAAAGCTTTTGACATGTTTGGCTCTAAATGGTTCCGCAGGCAAAACTGCTGCATTTTAATAGCGCTGCACAAGTGGGCTTTAGCAAACATTTCTGTCCTGCTCTCTGCGGAGAGGTCTATTTGCCCAGCTCTTGTCTGGTGGGAGGGCTCTCTGACCCCTTATCACTTCTGCCAGAAAGAAGGGATGAAGCAGCGCGGCTGAGCTGTGCAGCGGGGAGGACTCCACTATCCCCCATCAAGGAAGACCTGGAAGCCAAACCGGCTGTTGGGAGCAGAGTTGGGCTAGAGGAGGAGGCGTGTGAAGG
Organism: Homo sapiens; assembly: GCF_000001405.40. Classification (NCBI taxonomy): domain Eukaryota; kingdom Metazoa; phylum Chordata; class Mammalia; order Primates; family Hominidae; genus Homo; species Homo sapiens. The sequence continues at coordinate 232,926,613 of NC_000002.12, read as the reverse complement.
GGGGTTCTGGGAAAAGCCTGGTGCGATTCAAGAAGAGGAGGCGGTGGCCAACTTTGCACAGGGAAAGGAAAGGCGAAGTAGGGAGGAAGCAAGAGCCCCAGAGGCCCTTGGCTTAGGAAGGGAAGCCTCTCCAGGAATATGGCCTGGAAGGGAAGCCGAGGCTCAGCCTGTGTGGTCCAACTGCTACACAGCTGCACCTGAAGCACTGTGAATAGGGAAAATGGATTCAAATAGTGACCCAAGAACTTCAGTACTTGCATTAAAAAAAAAAAAAATCGCTAGTGACATCAAGCTAGTTCTCATGTCGTCAGGAGAGGCACCCGTGAATGAATGATATAGGTTCCCTTACTCTGAAAATGGTTCCAGAAGTCTTTTCGTTCTTCATTGTTGTCAGAGCAGCCGACAGTCTATCTGTTAAATAAAAATTCTAGGTTTGGAAAATTTCTTCCCTAGATATATAATTATTGTCCTCCAGTCCCAAATGCTTGGACAGACAGGACGTGTCTCCAGTGGGGAAGTGGAGCTTCCATCGCCACCGGAGACCCCGTGCTTGGGAGACCTTTCCCGGGCAGCCCACTCTTCCCTGGCAGGGATCTTTCTAAACTGAGCCCGGAGAGGAGCTGAGCCCTTGTGAAGCTGAGGGGGTGGAGCGCACACTGCATGCTGTTAAGCCGCGCTGACTCCGGAATTTTGTTCCCAGTGGGCCCCCTCCACGTGTCAGGCTGGGTGGTGGTGGTGGTGGTGGCTTTTCCCTTTGTTTGCTGAGGGAATGGAGAGGGGCTGATCTGAAACTGATGCCACATAGAAAATCCTTATTTTAAAACAAAGGCCCCTGACAACCGCTTTCTTCCAGCTCTGCCACGCTGCCACATCTGACTTAGCATATGCTGGAGACTTTGACCTCCACCCTCTTGAAAGGGCTCCTCTTTGGCTAAGATCAGTGTCACTACCAGGAAAGACATCCAGGTTGGGGAGGAGATCGTGCCTCCCTTCTGCACTGTGGGTGTGTGGAGCTGTCTTTCTTGGAGACGGCTGAACCTGCTGGGCTGGTGGCAGAAGTCCGAAGCCGGCTGGCAGGGTCCCGAGCTCTAGTGCCTGGTCGTTTGGGGCGTCACTGTGCTCATCTGGGAAGCAGCAGGGCATCTGATGTTCTGAGTCTTTCCTCCTGCTACCCCCTGCAGGTGTCTGCTGGTGTCCTGGTGAATGTCTTTTCCTGGCTCCTGGGCCTGACCCATAGTAGCTCAACAGAGTGTTGACTGACAGCCCAGGGCTGCCCCCGCCCTCTTCTCACCTGTCATAGACTTGAGGTCTGTGCTAAGCGGATCCCTGCAGCAGCCCAGCTGCCTTCAGCTCTGTGAGTTCAGCAATTCTTTGCCAAGTGTTAGGAAAGGATGGCAGCTTCCTAAGATGATTAATGGGGAAGGAAAGCAGGATGAAGGCTCCAAGTGGAGCCTGCCAGTTCCACTTGGAGGTAATTGCAAGTGCAAGCCTTTACAGGTAAAGTTTATTTCCATTTAAAGTTGTGCCGACTAAATGTACAATATATAAAATAGGAAAGCCTGATCTATTGACAGTACATTGACTACAGAAATTTAATATGTTAATATAGTTCGTCAGGTAAAGAAAACTTATTCGTTTTGTAATCTGAATTTAAGGCAAATAAAAATGAAAGGTTATGAGAAATGGTTACACACTGTATCAGGTAACTGTGTAACACAGTAACTCCAGAAACACTGGTGTCTAAATTTGTATTCTAAATACCCCAGAAAAAAGTATGAAGTTTTAAGAAGACTCTAAGGTTACTTGTATTGATAGTCTTTGGCTGCAGGTAACAGAATATCTAACAAAAAGTGCTCTTAAGCAACAAAAGTGTCTCATCTCAGTTAATGAGTCCAAAGGTAGGAAGTTCCAGAGTTGGTTCATTCAGCCAAACAGTCACCTGGCTGCTTTGCCTCCTCCAGGTGGGCCTTGTGTTACAAGATGGCTGCCATAGCTCCAGGCATCACATCCTCAGGGAGCCATGTGTGAAACAGGAAGGGCAGTTTGTCTTCAAGTGTCTGTTGGGGAGGGACAGCTTTTTGACAAGCCTTTAGAAGATGTGCCCTTACTCTCCTTGGCCAGTATCTTAATCTGTTCCAGTTGCTGTAACAAGATACCATATACTAGATGGCTTATAAACAACAGAAGTTTATTTCTTACAGTTCTGGAGGTTGGGAAGTCCAAGATCACGGTGCCAACAGATTCAGCGTCTGCTGAGGGCTGGCTATCTCTGCTTCAAAGATGGTGCATCCTTTGGTGCATCCTCACAGGACGGAAGGGGCCAGGCGGCTGCCTTCCACAGCTTTTTAAAAATGTATTTATTTATTTATTTATTTTGGGGATGGAGCCTCACTCTGTCACCCAGACTGGAGTGCAGTGGCGCAATCTCGGCTCACTGCAGCCTCCTCCTCCCGGGTTCAAGTGATTCTCCTACCTCAGCTTCCTGAGTAGCTGGGATTACAGGTGCCTGCCAACACACCCAGCTAATTTTTGTATTTTTAGTAGAGATGGGGTTTCACCATGTTGGCCAGGCTGGTCTCAAACTCCTGATCTCAGGTGATCCACCCACCTTAGCCTCCCAAAGTGCTGGGATTACAGGCATGAGCCACTGTGCCCGGCCCTTTCCACCTCTTTTATAAGGGAAGGCATGAATCCCTCTCACGGAGGCAGTGCCCTCATGTCTTAGTCACTTTTCAAAGGCCCCACCTCTTAAAACTCTCACATTGGGTATTAGGTTCCAACATACGAATCTGGGGGGACACCAGCACTCACACCACTGCAGCCAGGCTATGCCTTGTGCCTGTGTCTAACCCACTACTAGCAAGGGGCAAGGAACTGTCATGGTAGGTTTTTGCTTTTTCACCCAAGCTGGTGTGAAATGGCACAATCTTGGCTCATTGCAACCTCCACCCCCTGGGTTCAAGTGATTCTCCTGCCTCATCCTCCCGAGTAGCTGGGATTACAGGCACCTGCTACCACACCTGGCTAATTTTGTATTTTTAGTAGAGACAGGATTTCCCCATGTTGCCCAGGCTGGTCTCGAACTCCTGACCTCAAGTGATCTGCCTGCCTCGGCCTCCCAAAGTGCTGGGATTACAGGCGTGAGCCACTGCACTGGGCCTTGTGGTAGGTTTTGATCAGTCAACCTTCACTCACTTCTCTGAGCATAGAATGGGTCAGCACTCAAACAGAAGCCCTCCTCTGCCAACCGGGGAGAGGGGCATGAGGGGGTGCAGGAGAGGCAGTCAATAGCGTCTGCCATGGGGTGACTTCAGAACTATTCTTTTCAACCCAGCTACCCACAATGCTGATATTTTTGTCTCTTTTCAGCATATGTATCACAGTGAGATGTTCAAGATAGTATTCACCCATGATTTGCCGACTATAGCACACATAAGACATATTTTTGAGCCTTCAAAAATATGCCAAGTGAGACACTTTTGTGAAGCTTGGAAACTGCTTTTTTGTTGTTGTTGTTGTTGTTTGTTTTTTGTTTTTTTTTCTGAGATGGAGTTTCGCTGTTTTCGCCCAGGCTAGAGTGAAGTGGCGCGATCTCAGCTCACTGCAACCTCCGCCCCCCAGGTTCAAGCTATTCTCCTGCCTCAGCCTCCCGAGTAGCTGGGATTATAGGCACCCGCCACCACACCCGGCTAATTTTTGTATTTTTAGTAGAGACGGAGTTTGGCCATGTTGGCCAGGCTGGTCTCGAACTCCTGACCTCAAGTGATCCACCTGCCTCAGCCTCCCAAAGTGCTGGGATTACAGGCATGAACCACCACACCCAGCCTTGGAAACTGCATTTTTAAAAGGTGTTCAACAAGTAGTTGAGTACCTATTATGTAGGAGACGCTGCACTATGCATTGAAAAGTGAATCCAAGTCAACCTGTGAAACTTGGTTTCTTTAAACCTCTGTAACCGCAGTGCAGTGTCAGAATCATAGGATGGTGATAGCTTGACGTCGCAATAGTCGGCCTACCTTATACTCGTTATTGAACTGATGGAGGTGGTGACGTCGGACCTGTCTTTATAGATCTTCAGTCAGGGTTGCATTTAGCTTAGAGTTGGATTTTCTTTTTTATTCCTTTGTCGAATCAACTCCATGTTGTATCCGGCTGGGTTGCATCGTTGGAAAAGCACGGGCTCTAAGCTTGCTGAAGTGGATGCTCTGGTTACCTTGGCAGAAAGGCTTTGTAATTTGGAGTTATAGAGCATGGAAACCAAGTCATTTAATCCATAGGGCGGCCTTACTAGCTTCCTGTTCATGAATATAATTTCTCCAGCCTCATTCAGGATTTTGAAGGTGGTCTGTTTTTCTTTTCTTCCTTTTTCTACAGTTTAGATATGTTTAACAATTAGATAAAGAAGGAATAATAGCTAACAGTTGTACTGCGTTGTAAGAGCAAGTGCTTGTCAAGTGGTATATTTATCCTTATTGCAACTTTCTGGGAATCATCTTTGTCTCATAGTTAGACATATCGAGGGGCCTCGGCCACTATCCCAAGTGCCAGACCAGGACATCCTGCTGCTCATGAGGCCTCCACCTGGGTGCCTGGGTACATCTCGATCCACCCCACCCCAACGCCACCCTCAGCCGGACCCTCATCTCCTCCAGTGGGGCCTCTGGTCTCTGCCGTCCCACTGGTCACCTGAATGTTATTCTATCTTGTAACTGTCCCCGAATCAGGCACTTGGCTTCATCCCCTTCCCAGTCCTTCAGTGCAAGCCTCCGTCCTGGCTCTCCCAAGGAGCTGCTGCAGCCCGTTTCTCCCAGTCTATGCTTGTCAAATGCAGACAGGACCAGGCACAGGGGTTCACGTCTGTAATCCCAGCACTGGGGAGGCTGAAGGGAGAGGTATTCAAGACCAGGAATTGAGGCTTGAGGCCAGGAATTCAAGACCAGCCTGGGTAAAATAGCAAGTCCTCATCTCTACAAAAAAAAAAAAAAAGAGGAAAAACTAGCCGGCCATGGTGACACACACCTGTAGTCCTAGCCACTCAGGAAGCTGAGGCAGGGGAATCACTGGAGCCCAGGAGATGGAGGCTGCAGTGAGCTATGATTGCACCACTGCCCTCCAGCCTGGGTAACAGAGTGAGGCCCAATCTCAAAATAAATTTTAAAACAATAAAATGTAGAACAGAGTGTGTTTGCTCTGTCTAGCCCTTGCGCTTGGGCTAGACTCCTGCCTCTGTGGCACCATAGACAAGACCCTGGGGTCTGACCCCTTTCCTCCCAGCCTGCAGCAGGCAGGATTACCCCTCACCATCCCACCCAGCCACGGCAACCCCCCAACCCCAACATGGCTGCCTGTGCAGAGAGGAAGTCCCTGTGTCCCAAGGCCAGGACATCAGAAATGGGGTTATCCCTTTGGAGGTGCTACATTTGCGCTGATTCAGCTGCGCCCCCAAATCGCCTAAGAGACTGGAAAGCATTCATTGCAAGTACAGTTGGTCAGTGAAGTCTGCAACTGTGAAAGCAAAAAAGGGAATGTTTCCCTTTTTAAATCATAAGATTGATGAAATGCTGATTTTTCCTTCAAAATGAGAATTTATAGCTACTCCCACTGCACAAATGAATATTCCTGAGTTTGAATATTGAAACGTTGAGGGCTATGGAAATTACCCTGCTGGGATAATGAGACACAGTTGGGACATTCCCATCAACTTGGTGGTGGGTGCATCAGGTTCTAGGTTCTTGTTTGCCAAGTGTGTGTGGGGAAAGCATATATTGGATTTTGAGTCCATTCGGGCATTTCTTTATGTTTTGGGGAAAAACATAAGCATGCTGGTCTTTCCCAAGAAATGAGGACGATGGCAGTGTATCCCGTGGCCTGGAGCCTGCCGCTGAGATGGGTGCAGGGCTGGCTTGCACTGTGTATTCCTGGACACAGCAGCCACCCTTGATAAGAACACGAAGCCTTGACTTAGGGATTTCTAATGATTGTCATCTGAGATCTTTTCCTTTTCTTTTTTACAACTCTTTGATTTCAGGGCTCCTGTATCAGGAATACCGAGATAAATCGACTCTCCAAGAAATCGAAACCAGGAGGCAACAGGATGCAGAAATAGAAGACAATACCAATGGGTCCCCGGCCAGTGAGGACACCCCGGAGGAGGAAGAAGAAGAGGAGGAGGAGGAGGAGCCGGCCAGCCCACCAGAGAGGAAGACTCTGCCCCAGATCTGCCTGCTCAGTAACCCCCACTCAAGGTTCAACCTCTGGCAGGATCTTCCCGAGATCCGGAGCAGCGGGGTGCTTGAGATCCTACAGCCCGAGGAGATTAAGCTGCAGGAGGTAACAGGCGCCGAGGGGCGGGGGCTCCCCCACAGCACACCGGGGTGGCCCTCACTGCTGGGGGTGAGGCTTCCTCTGGGGGGTGAGGTTCCCTGGCTGGTTCACCAGAGGAATCGCTGGCAGGGTTGTCCATCTAGAACATGCAGAAAAATAAACATGGTTTCACAGGCAGCAAGAGACACCCAGCTACCTTCTAGGACAGCTCACCCCCAACATTGAGCGTCTGAAGCATTGCTGTCTGATGAGATAGTAGGATCGCAGTTTTTCCACCCTTCATTATCATCATTGTGTATTTCCGTCACGCGTGAATGCCACGGCACGAGGCACTGCTGAGCTCACTGTGACTATGCCATAGCTCCAGTTATCTGTGGTTGGCGGAGGTCTGCCATATCTCTTTGCATTCACGATCTTATCCCACCACTTTCTTTTGGGGCTGTCTGAACTTCGGATGAATGGGGTCTCTGAAGGAAGTCCCTCAGCTTGCCCATCTGCTCCTGAAATGCTGCAGAAATCTGGGATTCGTGTCTCTGGCCCCTTCATTTGATGGTTCAGGTGGACTTCGGTGACTATCAATTAGGCTGAGGCAAAATCGTTGAGTTGCTTGATGGTTTGTTGCTAGCAGGGAGAAATAATCAGTTAAAACCAGTAACAAATGAATAAGAAATTTAAGTGTTTGTTTTAGTGGAACAAAGATTATTTGAGTATTAAGGGAAAATTTGTGGTATAGAGAAACAAGCATATGGTCAGGAGTAAACAGGAAGAATGGTGGAGAGAAATTGTGAATATGCAAGTTTGTGTTAATTGTGAAATTTAAAAAGTAGGTACAGAAGGGAAAAAAAAAAGAGATTTGGTTTTTAATAAGCACTTTGTCCACCCAGTTCCATCATTTGTGTCCTCTTCCGCTCCGTCTCACTCCCACCGCACTCACCTGCATTCCTCGCGCTTGTCCAAGCCCATCCTTGTCCTTGTTTCTTGTGGCAGCTGTGGTTCCAAAAGTCCTGCCTTTCCCTACCCCCCGATATTCCTGTGCTAGATTCTATGGAAACATTTGCTCTTGTTTATTTAAAACATGAAACAGTAGCCTATATATACTATTAATGACCCAAACTGTGACTTGTTCCTGACCAGCATCATATACCTGAGACTTGGGTTTTGCGATGAATGGAGTTGCTACTAGGGAAGGCTTCATAAAAGTGGATTTTTGAAGGGCCACCTAGGCTTCACCTGGGTGTTGTGCCCAGTAGAGTATGGAAAATGTTTAGACTTTGACATCCTTCCTAACTTGTGAGCAGTGATTTGTAAATGGCTACATTGATTTATTTTTTAATAAAACTTCTGATGTGAAACTTAGAAATAAGACTGGGTGCGGTGGCTCACGCCTGTAATCCCAGCACTTTGGGAGGCAGAGGCTGGTGGATCACGAGCTCAGGAGTTCGAGACCAGCCTGGCCAAGATGGTGAAACCCAGTCTCTACTAAAAATACAAAAGTTAGCTGGGCACTGTGGCAGGCGCCTGTAATCCCAGCTACTTGGGAGGCTGAGGTAGGAGAATCGCTTGAACTCGGGAGGTTGCAGTGAGCCAAGAGCACGCCACTGCACTCCAGCCTGGGTGACAAATCAAGACTCCGTCTAAAAAAAAAAAAAAAAAAAAAAAAACTTAGAAATAAATCCTAGTAGAACCTAAACACATGTTAGAAACCTTTTACAACATAAGCAAAGCTAAAAGGAGAGAAAGGGCCCTTGTCATAAATGGAGAGCAAACAGTGAAGAAGCATGAAAAACAAACAGCACCAAATTAGTGGCAAATTTAACAGCAAACAAATCCGTTACAATAATGCAAACGGCTTACACTCCTCCATTAAAAGACAGAAATTCTTCAATTGAGGCTCGGTGTGGTGGCTCACACCTGTAATCCCAGCACTTTGGGAGGCCGGGGTGGGCAGATCACCTGAGGTCAAGAGTTCAAGACCACCCTGGCCAACATGGCAAAACCACATCTCTACAAAAATACAAAAATTAGCCAGGTAAGCCAGGCACAGTGGCTCATGCCTGTAATCTCAGCACTTTGGGAGGCCGAGGTGGGTGGATCACTTAAGGTCAGGAGTTCGAGACCAGCCTGGCAAATGTGGTGAAACCCCGTATTTACTAAAAATACAAAATTAGCTGGGTGTGGTGGCGCCCACCTGTAGTCCCAGCTACTCTACTCAGGAGGCTGAGGCAGGAAAATCCCTTGAACCCAGGAGGCAGAGGTTGCAGTGAGCCAAGATCGCGCAACTGCACCCCAGCCTGGGCCACAGAGTGAGGCTCTGTCTCAAATAAATAAATAAATAAGTAAAATAATTAATTAGCCGGGTATAGTGTCGGGTGCCTGTAGTCCCAGCTATTCAGGAGGCTGAGGCAGGAGAATCATTTGAACCCAGGAGGTGGAGGTTGCAGTGCGCCGAGATGGTGCCACTGCCCTCCGGCCTGGGTGACAGAGCAAGACTCTGTCTCAAAAAATAAAAATAAAAACAGAAATTATCCAATTGATTAGAAATCTAAACCCATTATATTATCAGACAGAGTAGAATTCAGGGCAAGAAAAATTACCCAAGTGAACAGAGTCATCTTGTTTTGTCATCTTATTCATCTACTAAAAATACAAAAAATTAGCCAGGCGTGGTGGCGGGTCCCTGTAATCCCAGCTACTCGGGAGGCTGAGACAGGAGAATCACTTGAACCCGGGAGGCAGAGGTTTCAGTAAGCCAAGATCTCACCGTTGCACTCCAGCCCAGGCGACAGTGCAAGACTCCATCTCAGAAAAAAAAAAAAAGAAAAGTTTTACAATTAAATACGTAACTCCTCTATGCACTTTCATTGTTTAAAAAAATACAAACAATGCAAATGTGTCCAGCCCATTTCTTGGATCATAGGTTTTCACTGGAGGACCAGCTTTATCTATTTTATCTCTCCTGATTAGACACAGCCATAATACACCATCTAATTTTGGAGTTTAGACACCTATGCAGACTAAGGGCAAAATCCTTATAGATTTTTACAGTGTTTTCCACTTCTTTTAGTTTTAGCACATTCAGTAGAAGCTTGGTTTTGGTGATGGTTTTTAGCAACTTGTCTTCCCTGGACTCTTCAGAGCTTTCAGCTCAGTTTTCATAAAAACAACTCCCTTTCCACTGAGAATTCACTGGTTTTTATCATTAAATGATACAACTGCATCACAGGTACCACTGGCTTGAATAAGTTCGAGGAATGCAAGTGACAGTGGGTGCATCCTCACCAGATGGGGAGAGAGGCGGGCAGGTGGCCTCTGCCCTGAGCGCCTGGTGGATCCTTGCACAGCCTGGCGGGTAGCAGAGAGTATGGGGTATTCAGCCAGTGGGTTGAGTGGAGGTTGCTCAGGAGAGTTTGTGTGTGCGAACATCTCTGTGCGCGTCTGAGACCAGCTGTAGCCTGGAAGTGGAACTGCTGGTCCCGAATGAAGTGCATTTTAAATGGTGATGGACTCTGCCCAATTGCCATTCAAAAAGGCAGTACAAGTGTCACATTGCTACCAGCAGTGCAAGAGCGGCCATTTGCACTCACCCTCCCTAGCCCTGCTGTCAAACTTCTAACCTGTTGGGTGAAACATTGTATCTTGTCTTACCCTGCCCGTTCTTGATGACTTGTAAATTTGAGCATCTTTTCACATGTTTATTGCCTGTTTCCATTGCTTTATCTATCAATGCCTGTTCTTATCTTTTCCCCCTTTTCTGTTGGGTTCTTTACATTTATCTTCTTGATTTGTAGCAGCTTTTTGTACCTTCTGGATATTAATTCTTTTTTTTAATATTTTCAAATGTTTTCTCCTGCACGATAATATAAGGGACGCAATTTGTGCACAGCCACTGGTGCCCAACTGCCTAGGTTTCTCAGCTCCGCTACTTCTTAGCTGTGTGACCTTAGGCAAATTACTTAACTTCTCTGTGCCTTATCTGTAAGATGGAAATCCTAGTACCTACCTCTCAGGCTTGTGCAGATTGAATAAATAACACAGATAAGGAGCTGAAGACAGTGCGTGGCAAAAAGCTGACATTATCAAGGGCTTATGTGCCCTCTCACTTGGTCCATGGCATCTTCTTTTTGGATAAAAATCCTTTTTCCATTTTGATAGCAAATCTTTCAGTACTTTCATTTATTTAAACCTAATCTTCGGATGTTGTGTCTTATGATTAGAAAGGCTGTTCCCAAGAGGTACACTTTACAGTGAAAAGGTAATGGCTGGGAACTGTTATGAACTAGACAAAAAGATAGAGCAGAAGGCAGGGCACAGAGGCTCTTGCCTGTAATCCTAGCATTTTGGGAGGCCAAGGCAGGTAGATCACCTGAGGTCGGGAGTTCGAGACCAGCCTGGTCAACATGGTGAAACCCCATCTCTACTAAAAATACAAAAATTAGCTGGGCGTGGTGGTGTGCGCCTATAGTCCCAGCTACTTGGGAGGCTGAGGCAGGAGAATCGCTTGAACCTGGGAGGCAGAGGTTGCAGTGAACCAAGATCACGCCACTGCACTCCAGCCTGGCAACAGTGAGACTCCACCTCAGAAAAAATAAATAAATAAATAGAGCAGAATCTGTCAGAAACAAGAGGAGACGTTGCCATGCGCACTCCACTATCCTACAGGAGTGGGACCCAGCAGGAAGATGGGGAATCAGAAAAAAATAATTAGGTTGGATGAAAAGATTTGTACTGAACTTTATACTCTCTAGAGCTGCCCTGCCCGCTCTGACAGCCACCAGCCACACGTGGCTGCTGAACACGACATGTAATGAATCCAGTTGAGATGCAGTGTGTGTGTAAAATGCACACCAAATTCCAAAGAATAGAAAGAATTGAAAGAGATAAATACAAAATTAAATGAACTTCTGAGATGCCAGCTTGAGACATTAGGGGAAAACACACAACAAACACTCCTAAGGAGAACAGAGAGGACAGAGATCCAAGAAGATACTATGCAAAAGTCTTGATAAGATGAATGATTAGAAAAAACAGATGAATGATTTTCTAGGAAAATATAAGCTACTACCAATGGAATCAAAAGTAAAAATTTTAAATACACAAAAATATACCAGTAACCCCAAAAAATCACCTACAGGAAAGATGTGGCACCCAGAGGACTCCTGTTCAAATCCCAGGAGAGCCAGGAGGGTCTGGGGTTACTTAGGCTGGCCTGCAGCAGAGCCGTCTGGTGGAATTCCCTGCCTTGATGAAAATGTTCTTTTTTTTTTTTTTTTTTGGAGATGGAGTCTTGCTCTGTTGCCCAGGCTGGAGAGCAGTGGCACAATCTCGGCTTGCTGCAGCCTCTGCCTCCCAGGCTCAAGCGATTCTTCGGCCTCAGCCTCCCGAGTAGCTGGGATTACAGGCGTGCACCACCACGCCCAGGTAATTTTTGTATTTTTAGTAGAGACAGGGTTTCACCATGTTGGTCAGGCTGGTCTTGAACTCCTGACCTCGTGATCCACCCACCTCAGCCTCCCAAAGTGCTGGGATTACAGGCGTGAGCCACTGCACCTGGCCAGAAATGTTATTTTGTATTTTATTATTATATTTTTTGAGACAGTCTCACTCTGTCACCCAGGCTGGAGTGCAGTGGCACAATCTTGGTTCGCTGTAACCTTAGCCTCCTGGGTTCAAGCAATTCTCGTGCCTCAGCCTCCCAAGTGGCTGAGACTACAGGTGTACACCACTACACAAGGCTAATTTTTCTATTTTTGGTAGAGATAGGGTTTCACCATGATGGCCAGGCTGGTCTCAAGCTCCTGAGCTCAAGTGATCTCCCTGCCTCAGCCTCCCAAAGTGCTGAGACAGGTGTGAGGCACCATGCCTGGCAATGATGGAATGTTCTACATCATGTCTCCAATAGTCACTAGCTCCGTGTGGCTACCGAGCATTTGAAACTGGTCAGTGCAACTAAGAAACTGAATGTTTAATTCCACCTGGTTTAAACAAACATCAGTTTAGCCACATGTTGCTACTGTGTTGATCAGCGTAAGTCTAGAGCAGAGATCATCAAACTTTCTGTTAAAGGGCCAGATAATAAATGTGTTAGGCTTTGTAGACCATACTGTCTGTCAGAACTACCCAGCTCTGTCGTTGTGGTGTGACAGCAGCTATAGACACTGTGTAAAGGAATGAGTGTGGCTGTGTTCCAGTAAAACTTTATTTACAAATACAAGTGGCCAGCCCATGGGCTGTAGTTTGCTGACCCCTAGTCTAAAGCATGGAAAAGAGAGAAATACACAAATTATCTGAACACAGTATAATATTGATAACCAAATCTGAAAATTAGGGTACAAACACAAAATTATTTTATTTTATTTTACTTTTATTTTTTGAGATGGAGTCTCACTCTGTTGCCCAGGCTGGAGTGCAGTGGCAGGATCTCGGCTCACTGCAACCTCTGCCTCCCAGGTTCAAGTGATTCTCCTGCCTCAGCCTCCCGAGTAACTGGGATTACAGGCACGTGCCACCACGCCCAGCTAATTTTTTGTGTTTTTAGTGGAGACATGGTTTCACTGTGTTAGCCAGGATGATCTCAATCTCCTGATCTCGTGATCACCTGCCTCAGGCCTCCCAAAGTGCTGGGATTACAGGTGTGAGTCACCGCGCCCGGCTACAAAATTATTTTAATCCACAATAATAATAGAAGAGTCTGTATATATAAATATAGTCAATATACAGTCAAGGACACTGTTCTGTCAGTAATCAGTAGAACTGGGAGACATAACATCTGTAAGGTTATGGAAGAATCGGCCACCATCAACCCAAAGGAACTAATAAACATTCCTAGAACACTCTACCCAACAGTAGCAGATTACACATTGTTTTCAAGTGCAAAAAGAGCTGTCACCAAGGTAAAGCATAACTCTCCTTAACACACTGAAAAGAATTGAAGTCATAGAAAGTATGTTCTCTGACCCTAATGGAATTACACTAGAAATCGGTAACAAAGATAACAGAAAATCTCCAAACACTTGGAAATTAACACACTTCTCAATAATCCCTGGGTCAAGGAGGAAGTTGCAAGGAGAGTTATAAATATTTTGAAGTGACTGAAAATGAATCCGCAGCATACCAAGTGGGATGCAGCAAAAGCAGTGTTTCGAAGGAGATTTATAGCATTATGTTTATTTAAGAAAGCAGATAGCTTTCAAAACAATAGCCTAAGCTTTCATATTAAGAAACTGGGCTAGGAAAAGAGCAAAACCAAAGCAAGTGGAAGGAAAGAAGTAATACATGTGAGAGCAAGAATCAACAACATGGGAAATTTTTTAAAATATAGAGAAAATCAGTGAAACCAAAATTGAATTCTTTGAAAAGATTAATAAAATTAATAAATCTCTATCAAGATTGACAAAAAAAGAGAAGATATAAATGACCAATATCAGAAACAAAAAAGGAGACATGATGAATCCTAGAGACATTTAAAGGGTAATAAGGAAATATTATGAACAATTCTACACACATACATTTGACAACTTAAATGAAATAGACCAGTGCCCCAAACTGAAAGCTACCAAAACTCACCCCAAATGAAATAAATAACCTGAATAGTCTTGTGACTGTTAAAGAAATTAATCTCTTACATAAAATCTTTCAAAATATGCCATCTGTAGGCCCATAAGTTTACAATGGTGAATTGTACCAACCATTTAAAGTAGAAAATAGTATCAATTTTCCCCATTCTTTTCCAAAATATAGAAGAAGGAATGCTTCCCAACTTTTTATAAGGCCAGCATCACCTGATAGAAAAATCAGAGAAAGACAGTATAAGAATAGTAAACTACAGACCAATATTCCTCATGAATGTATATTTTTAAATTCTCAGTAAGAAATATTAGCAATTCAAATCCAGCAATGTATAAAAAGAGCAATATGGCATGACTGAGTGGAGTTCATCCTGGGAATGCAAGGTTAGTTAAATATTTGAAAATCAGTCAATGTAACCCACCATATTAACAGTCTAAACAAGAAAAAAAAACTGCATGGTTACTACAACAATTGATGCACGAAAAGCATTTGACAAAATTCAGTATTCAGTCATCATTAAAATTTTCAGCAAAGGAGGAATACAAGGGAAACTCCTGGACCTGATAAGGCACATCTACCAAAAACCTATAGCAAACATCATACTTAATGGTGAAGGACTGAATGCTTTTCCCCTAAGATTAGGAACAAGGGAAGGCTGTCTGTTCCTTCACTGCTCCCATTCCTATTCAACATCATTGTGAAAATCCTAGCCAGTGCAATAAGGCAAGAAAAAGAAATAAAAGGCATATAGATTAGAAAGGAATAAGTAAAACTGCCCCATTCACAGATGACATGTTTACTTGAAACATCCCAAAGAATCTACCAAAAAAACCTCTTAGAACTAATAGTGATTTTTAGCAAGGTTGCCAGATACAAGGCCAACACACAAATATCAGTCATATCACTATATTCTAGCAATGAACAATTAGAAACAAATTAAAATTATACCATTTACAATAGCTGCCCTGAAAATGAAATAGTTAGGTATAAATCTAACAAAACATGGACAGGATCTCTGTGCTGAAAACCACAAATCAGTGAGGAGAGAAATCAAATAAAATGTAAATAAATCAAGAGACAAACTGTTTATGGATTGAAAGATTCAATATAGTAAAGATGTTAATTCTCTTCCCATATTTATCTATACATTCCATGCGACTCCAGTCAAAATCCCAGCATTTTCTGTGGTCATAGACAAAATTATCCTAAAATTTATCAGAAAAGGCAAGATAACTAGAATAGCCCTGAACAGTTTTCAAAAATAATAAAGCTGGAGGAGTCATACTATCTGATTTTAAGACAACTAAAAAGTTTACAGTAATCAAGGCAGTGGGGGTATTCATGAAATTACAGACACATAGATCAGTGGAACAGAAAAGAAAATTCAGAAATAAACCCACAACAAGTATGGTTGATTGATATTTGGCAAAACAACAAAAGCAAATTAATGGAAAAAGGACAGTCTTTTCAACAAATATTGAACATTGATGCTGGAACCATTGGATATATATATGCAAAAACATTAACCTCAACCTAAACCTCATGCCTCATAACAAAAATTAACTCAAAATGGATCATGGATCTAAATGTAAAATGAAAAACTTTAAAACTTTTAGAGGAAAACATAGGAGAAAACCTTCATTACCTGAGGTTAGCAAAGAGTTCTCAGATACAACACCAAAACCAATCATGCATAAACAAAAAAATGGATCAGTTGGTCTTGATCAGAGTTTAAAACTTCTGCTCTGCAAAAGACACAGTTAAGAGAATGAAAAGAGAAGCTACAGATGGGGAGGAAATATTTGCAAATTACTTAACTGATAAAGGACTTGCATCCGGAATACACAATAGAACTCAAAACTCAACAGTAAAAAAACAACAGTCCAATTTAAAAATGGTCAAAAGACTTAAATAGATACTTCACCAAAGCAGATATACAGAAGGCAAGAAAGTAATACACACTTGCTTAAAAAAGCTTTAAAATCATGGCAGTCCCAAGTGCTGGTGTGCACACACAGCAAACATTGCTAAAACTCTCCTACATGGCTGGTGAGGTCACAAAATGGTGCACCACTCTGAGAGCTAGTGGTTTCTTACCAAGTTAAACGTGCACTTATGGTACTACCCAGCAGCCCCGCCCCGTAGCAGTGTCTCATCAGTGGCGCTGTTGACTTTGGGGCTGGACAATTCTTTGTTGCAGGGGCTGCCTTGTGCATCACAGGATGTCTAGCACAGGGGTCCCCAACCCCCACCCCCATTACCCCCCCCACCCCCCACCTCGCCATGCAGCAGGAGGTGAGTGGCGGGTAAGCAACCAAAGCTTGATCTATATTTACAGCTGTATTTCTCATAGGAGTGAGAACCCTACTGTGAACTGCACATGCGAGGGATCTAGGTTGTGCGCTCCTTGTGAGACTCTAATTGCACCTTATGAAAATCTAATACCTGATGATCTGAGGTAGAACAGTTTCATCCACCCCCCTCCCACCCCTGGTCTGTGGAAGAATTGTCTTTCACAAAACCAGTCCCTAATGCTAAAAAAACTGGAGACCATTGGTCTAGCAGCATCGTTGGCCACTACCCACTAGATGCAACCCTCCCCCCAATCATGACAAGCAAAATTGTCTCTAAACCCAGCTGAATGTCCCCTGGAGACCAAAATTGCTCCTGGTTGGGAATCACCAAAGACTGGAAACAAGCCAAAGGTCCTTCAACAGATAATAGAAAATAAACCAGTACATCCATATGGTGGTGTGTACCATGCAATAAAAAGGAAGAAACTATTGATATGCGACAGCATCGATGTTTCTCAAAGGCATCTTGTTGAGTGAAAGAAAAAAGAAGGGTTACATACTGTGTCGTTCCATTTCTATGACATTCTGAAAGAGACCACACTAGTGGCAGAAAACAGATCTCATTGGCAAAGAGTGGTTTCCAGGGGTGAAGGATGCGGGGAGCATGGCAAGATGGGATGGTTGCCCAAGGGTTAGGTGTGGGGGGAGCGTGGGGAGACGGGATGGCTGAGGGGGTTGTGGGCAGTGTTGGAACTGTTGAGCATCCTGATTATATTGTGGGTTACACGAACCTGCAGATACGTTAGAATTCATAGAACTGTACACTCCCCAAAAGTCCACTTTTTACTGCATGATAATTTTATTATGCAGTAAAACATCAAAATGATTGAATATCTTCCATTTTATTGTGTTTGACCTAACAAAATAAGTGTTACCCCCTCCAAAAAATATTAAAACGCAGATCTGTCTCACCGTGAATTAAGGTAAAAAAAAATTACATAAAACATAAGCACATCAAATCTGGAGATAGATTAAATGAATCATATACATTAAGCAAGGATGAATTAATGCAAAGATAGTTTAATATTTAGATGTTTGGGGCCAAAATTTCATACTGCTAGGCCAGAGGAGAAAAATACACGGATCTTCAAAGAGGATGGAAAAGAAAGGAGTACACTATTACCATCTAGATAAAACTCAAAGGGATACTTTTTTGAGATTTATAAAGAAAATTTCAAATTTATAACAAAATCATACATAATAAAAAACTGTTGGTGGCAATAAAGGCAAGACACAGTGCCTGCTAACACGATTCAGTGTTGCCCTGGAAGCTCTATCCAGGGTAATAAGATGAGGAAAGGAGTAGGAGAGAAAGCCAGAAAGAAGGAATGTCTTTATCTACCGTTATCTACCAGTTACGGTTTCCTACTTAAAAAACCCGAGAGAATCAAATAAAAACACTGGACGTGATAAGGCAGTTCCCGGAGGTGGCTGGTTGTAAGATAAACATGCAAAAATTAGTTGTTTTCATGTATGTCAGCAAAACCCAGATTTCAGTCAATTAGAAAGCTGTCAATAAGAAAAACATGAGCACCCCAAAGAAAACTGGGCAAAGCAATTCACATTTTAAAAGTACAAATGGGTCAGATGAGAATACGTCCTGGCAATGAAAAAAAAAACAAAAAACCAAAAAAACAGCAACAAAAGCAAAAAAAGTACAAATGATGCAGAGTATGGTGGCTCATGCCTATAATCCCAGCACTTTGGGAGGCTGAGGTAGGAGGAGTGGTTTTAGCCCAGGAGTTGAAGACCAGCCTGGGCAACATCGCAAGACCCTATCTCCGCAAAAATAAATAAATGAATAAAATTTTAATACAAATGGCCAATGACTACATGAAAAAAGAAAAAAAATCAAACTCACTAAAATCATAAACGTATAAACAAGCAGCATTGAGGTACCATCTTCTGCTTCTCAAAA
This sequence comes from Homo sapiens, assembly GCF_000001405.40. NCBI lineage: Eukaryota > Metazoa > Chordata > Mammalia > Primates > Hominidae > Homo > Homo sapiens. Next base: position 232,908,451 of record NC_000002.12, on the reverse strand, counting down.
TGACAAGAGACTTTTAAATATATATATTTAAAACCTAGTGTTGAGGGACTCTAAATGAGCACTTTCAAACACAGCTGATAAGAAGAGTATATTTGTATCAAAACCCCAGTAATAATATATTTGTATACTTTCTAGTGCTTCTATTTCTAGAAATTTATCTTGCAAAATAATCAGACATGTACACAAATATTTATTTATTAGCATGTTCATCCCAGCAAAAAGTTAGGGGAAGAATAGGGAGAAGAAACTTATATGCCCAATGGCAGGGAAATTGTTTAGTAAGACAATATACAGCTGTTTAAAGACGCAAACATTTTATTTGTTTTATTTTTTATTTTTTTTGTGACAGAGTCTCACTCTGTCTCCCAGGCTGGAGTGCAGTGGTACGATCTCGGCTCACTGAAGCCTCCACCTCCTGGGTTCGAGCAATTCTCCTGCCTCAGCCTCCTGAGTAGCTGGGATTACAAGCACCCACCACAACACCTGGCTAATTTTTTATATTTTTGGTAGAGATGGAATTTTACCATGTTGGCCAAGCTGGTGTCGAACTCTTGACCTCAGGTGTTGTCCCTGCCTCGGCCTCCCAAAGTGCGGGGATTACAGGTGTGAGCCACCGTGCCCGGCCCAAAGATGCAAACATTTAAAAACATGTTTTTAAAAAATGAGTAACGTGAATGTTCAAGATATATAAAGTTTTTAAAAAAGCAAAATAGAACATTTCATCTATACTGAGAAGGCATAGAAAATAAAGATTTTTTTTTTACTTTCTTTTATGCATGTTTGCAAATTCCAGTGAATCAGATGTAGATTTTTAAAAATAAATGAGGCTGACCTAACTGATGTGCAATCCAGTTACATTTCGTAGTTGAATAATGTGAGCACGCAGGCTTCAGTGTGTCACTCTGATTTTTTATCGTCTTTTTATGTTAAAGACCTTCATGTGCTTCCCTTTTGTTAATATCTGGTAACCGACACAAAACCGGGATCTTCAGATTGCATGTTCCAAATCAGTGACTTCTGTATCAGATCTTTTTTTCAGTCTATTTATCAAAGCAAGACAGGCAACTTGGACTGCCAGTACAATCTGTTGTCAGGAACTCTCTTTTTCTTTAGCTACAAAAGCAGCAGGTCGTGCTGAATTACTGTTCACACAAGGAAAACACCCTATAATGATGGCCTTTTGGTAGGCTTAATCAGTCACAGGGGAGCCAGGATTTCAGAACAAAATGCTATAGTATGTTTTCCTCCTTTTTTTTTTTTTTTCTTTTTTTTCTTTTCTTTTTTTTTTTTTTAATTGATCATTCTTGGGTGTTTCTCGCAGAGGGGGATTTGGCAGGGTCATAGGACAATAGTGGAGGGAAGGTCAGCAGACAAACAAGTGAACAAAGGTCTCCGGTTTTCCTAGGCAGAGTGTTTGTGTCCCTGGGTACTTGAGATTAGGGAGTGGTGATGACTCTTAACGAGCATGCTGCCTTCAAGCATCTGTTTAACAAAGCACATCTTGCACCGCCCTTAATCCATTTAACCCTGAGTGGACACAGCACATGTTTCAGAGAGCACTGGGTTGGGGGTAAGGTCATAGATCAACAGGATCCCAAGGCAGAAGAATTTTTCTTAGTACAGAACAAAATGAAAAGTCTCCCATGTCTACTACTTTCTACACAGACACCGCAACCATCCGATTTCTCAATCTTTTCCCCACCTTGCCCCCTTTTCTATTCCACAAAACCGCCATTGTCATCATGGCCCGTTCTCAATGAGCTGTTGGGTACACCTCCCAGATGGGGTGGTGGCCGGGCAGAGGGGCTCCTCACTTCCCAGTAGGGGTGGCCGGGCAGAGGGGCTCCTCACTTCCCAGTAGGGGTGGCCGGAGGGAGGTGCCCCTCACCTCCCGGACGGGGCGGCTGACCGGGCGGGGGGCTGACCCCCCCACCTCCCTCCCACACGGGGTGGTGGCCGGGCAGAGGGGCTCCTCACTTCCCAGTAGGGGTGGCCGGAGGGAGGTGCCCCTCACCTCCCAGACGGGGTGGCTGACCGGGCGGGGGGCTGACCCCCCCACCTCCCTCCCGGACGGGGCGGCTGGCCGGGCGGGGGGCTGACCCCCCCCACCTCCCTCCCACACGGGGTGGTGGCCGGGCAGAGGGGCTCCTCACTTCCCAGTAGGGGCTGCCGGGCAGAGGCGCCCCTCACCTCCCGGATGGGGCGGCTGGCCGGGCGGGGGGCTGACCCCCCCCCACCTCCTTCCCGGACGGGGCGGCTGGCCAGGCGGGGGGCTGACCCCCCCACCTCCCTCCCGGACGGGGCGGGTGGCCGGGCGGGGGGCTGAGACCCCCACCTCCCTCCCAGACGGGACGGCTGACCAGGCGGGGGGCTGACCCCCTCACCTCCCTCCCGGACGGGGCGGCTGGCCGGGCGGGGGGCTGACCCCCCCACCTCCCTCCCGGACGGGGCGGCTGGCCGGGCAGAGGGGCTCCTCACTTCCCAGTAGGGGCGGCCAGGCAGAGGTGCCCCTCACCTCCCGGACGGGGCGGCTGGCCGGGCGGGGGGCTGACCCCCCCACCTCCCTCCCGGACGGGGCGGCTGCCGGACGGAGACGCTCCTCACTTCCCAGACGGGGTGGCAGCCGGGCGGAGGGGCTCCTCACTTCTCAGACGGGGCGGCTGCCAGGCGGAGGGTCTCCTCACATCCCAGACAGGGCGGTGGGGCAGAGGCGCTCCCCACATCTCAGACGATGGGCGGCCGGGCGGAGATGCTCTTCACTTCCTAGATGGGATGGCGGCCGGGAAGAGGCGCTCCTCACTTCCCAGGTGGGATGGCGGCCGGGCAGAGACGCTCCTCACTTTCCAGACTGGGCAGCCAGGCAGAGGGGCTCCTCACGTCCCAGACGATGGGCGGCCAGGCAGAGACGCTCCTCACTTCCCAGACGGGGTGGCGGACCGGCAGAGGCTGCAATCTCCGCACTTTGGGGGGCCAAGACAGGCGGCTGGGAGGTGGAGGTTGTAGCGAGCCGAGATCACGCCACTGCACTCCAGCCTGGGCACCATTGAGCACTGAGTTAACGAGACTCCGTCTGCAATCCTGGCACCTCGGGAGGCCGAGGCTGGCGGATCACTCGCGGTTAGGAGCTGGAGACCAGCCCGGCCAACACAGCGAAACCCCGTTTCCACCAAAAAAATACGAAAACCAGTCAGGCGTGGCGGCGCGCGCCTGCAATCGCAGGCACTCGGCAGGCTGAGGCAGGACAATCAGGCAGGGAGGTTGCAGTGAGCCGAGATGGCAGCAGGACAGTCCAGCTTTGGCTCGGCATGAGAGGGAGACCGTGGAAAGGGGAGAGGAGAGGTGAGAGGTGAGAGGAGAGAGAGGGGAGAGGGGAGAGGGGAGAGGAGAGAGGAGAGAGCTGTTTTCCTCCTTTTAAAGTAAAAATTATCTAGCTGAAATGGGAAAGAGTTCCTGCATAGGACTTTCTCAGCTTATTAATAGTTTGTTGTTTTTGTTTGTTTTTTTATTTAGAGACAAGGTCTCACTCTGTGGCCCAGGCGGGAGTGCAGTGGTGCGATCACAGCTCACTGAAGCCTTGAACTCCTGGGCTCAAGCTGTCCTGCCTCAGCCTCTCAAGTAGCTGCAACTACAGGTGTGCACCACCACTCCAGGCTAATCTTTAAAAATTTTTTGAAGAGATGGGGTCTTGCTGTTTCGCCTGGGCTATTCTCCAACTCCTGGGCTCAAGCAATCCTCCTGCCTCAGCCTCCCAAAGTGCTGGGATTATAGGTGTGAGCCACCATGCTAGGCCTCAGTTTTTGTTTTTTAATTTGTCCTGAAGCACTTGGTCCCACCCTTCTGGGATAGTGTTTTAGTTACTGTTTGAGAACCCAACAATTGGAGGAAATAATTAGGCATAGATTCAAATTAAAAGGTTGGGAAGGGGCTGGGTGTGGTGGCTCACGCCTGTACTCCCAGCACTTTGGGAGACCAAAGCAGGTGGATCACCTGAGGTCAGGAGTTCGAGACCAGCCTGGCCAACATGCTGAAACCTTGTCTCTACTAAAAATACAAAAATTAGCCTGCCATGGTGGCACATGCCTGTAGTTCCAGCTACTCGGGAGGCTGAGGCAGGAGAATCACTTGAACCCAGGAGGCAGAGCTAGAGAAAGATGGACTTGCCACGGTCCCTGGTCTTGGTGGGCTGGGCGTGGAGCTGGAATGATGTGAGGCTCTCCAGGGGAGCAGGGACACACACTCATATATGCACAGCCTGCCCAGGCTGTGGGGTGTGGCTCGGTCCCCCCATGCCCAGACAGGACTAATGGCTTTGTCCTGCTGGGGAGCGAGAAGCAAGGGGCCCTGTGGTCACCTGATGCAGCCTAACCACAGGGCGGCGAATTGTCTTTTCTTTCGGTAGATGCTGGGTCTTGCTGTGTTGCCTGGACTGTAATTTTTACAGCTGTAAGTTGCGATGCAGCTCAGTCTGCATCTGTACAGCCTCTGACATACAGAGTTGTATTTTTGTTGTTTTCCAGCCTGTTTCACAACTTAAGCGTGTTTACTTTCCCCACTCCCAAAAGAAAATTGTGCATTTTAGAAAGAAATTACTTAGGATTTTAATATGATGGACCTCTATCCAAAAAATTACATTGTGATCATTCTTTAATTTACCAACTGTTACTGAATTATATATTTTTCTGTTTAGATTAAACCCTCAACAATTCAGCAGATGAGTCCTACAGTGGGAGACGGCAGGGAGTTTTTCTTGATGCTTTGAGGTGGACGTGGCCATTACCTAAAACGTCAGCTAGGCGTTAGAAAGCAAATACCAATACCTGTTTTAACAAAGTAGCAAAGTAGGCAGGTAGCATTTTTTTAAATTTATCTTTTGGTTAAAAAATGTATGCACCTGACAGGAAGTTCAAAAGGTGCAAAAGGACTCTCAGTGAAAGTCTTTCTCCCACTCCTGTCCTGGGCCACCCAGTTCCCTCGTCAGACACATATTCAGGTGTGTGTGTGTGTGTGTGTGTGTGCCCTCATGTCACACAAATGTAAACTAGTATTAAAATACTGACCATATCTTTCCATCTCCATCCAAATAGAGCACCCTCATTTTTGCAGTTTTCTGGGCTCCACTGTTTAGATGTTCCATAATGTATTTAACCTGTCCCTGTTGATGGATATTTGCAGTTGGAAATACCGGGTACTGAGAGTGTTCATTGCAGCATTATTTATACTCATGGAAGATTGAACATCTACACAGTGGAATGCTAAGGGAATTGCTAAGTGGGATTGTTGGGTGAAAGGTTAAATGTTCTTTAAATTTTGAGAGGGTATCGCCTAATTGCCTTCACACACTAGCCACATATGAGTGTGCTGGTCCCCTGCCACTAATGTGGTGCCTTACCCAGCTATTTTCTCTTTACCCAGTGTGCTAGATTAAACATTTTTTGTTTTGTTTTGTTTTTGTTTTGTTTTAAGACAGTCTCACTCTGTCACTTATGCTGGAGTGCAGTGGCGCGATCTCAGCTCACTGCAACCTCCACCTCCCAGGTTCAAGTGATTCTTCCACCTGAGCCTCCCAAGTAGCTGGGATTACAGACACCGGCCACCATGCCTGGCTAATCTTTTGTATTTTTAGTAGAGACGGGGTTTCACCATGTTGGCCATCGAACTCCTGGCCTCAGGTGATCCACCCGCCTGGGCCTCCCAAAGTATTGGGATTACAGGTGTGAGCCACCGCACCCGGCCTCGTTGTGGTTTTAACATAACATTTCTCTTGCCATGAGGCAGGCTGAACATGTTCTCAAGCATGTGTCTTTTTAAATTTACACACACTTATTTTAGCATGTAAACATTTTTGCGAATGATTTTATTAACAGGTCATCTTGAGAAAACGTAGTAATTGGCATTTGTGATGTGTGTGAGTGCCGAGGCTTGGGTTTGGGCCCCCAGCGCCTGCATCCCATGGCTGCGTTGAATATGTGACTCCCCTCGTCCCTTAGCAACCCAAGGGGTTAGCTGTCACTCCCCCATCAGACAGCCAAGCCCCCACTCCCCACGCTGCTCACGGGACCTGCTCAGTCCGGCCTCGAATTCACTAAAGACTGCGCTGCAGCGGGCTGGGCTCGGGCTCTGGCTCTGGAGTCCGACTTCATCATCATTGTCTGCAGAAGGAGGATAGCCTTTGAGGGGTTTCTTCTTAACTGGAAGCCTTTTAAAGTCACTTCCGTGCATCCTGATGCCTGCAGTGTAAATGACTGCACCAGCAGCAGGCACCGAGGCAACTTTGTGACCTTGCTGTTGAGTCATCCTGGGGAACAGAGGATGTGAATCACCCCAGGGCGGCTGCAGCAAGAGGACTCTGTGGGGCAGGAGCAGAGAGTGGAGAGCTTGGGAGCGCCCTGCGCCCCTGGCTCTGGCTCTGGCCCCAGCTGCTAGAGGAGAGAGAGGAGTGGGCCATGGTGATCCCCGTACCACACACACCCCAGCCACTGCCCTGCCGAGGACAGACTGAGGCCGGGTCTTCAGCGGCCCAGGTGGCCCTGATAGCTCCCAGCAGCATACTGGAGACACGGAGCCTGGATGGTAGGGCCTGTGCTGAGGTGTCACGGCGACGTCCCCACAGCCTCTAAGGGAGTCCCGGAAGGACGCCTTAGACCCTTGGCATTCTGCCTGGCCTTCTCTTCATCCCCTCCCTCCCTCCAGGCAAAAGCCAGTGAACTAAGTTGGGCTCCAGGCCAGTGCCCTGATGCCCAGGACTGGGGGTGACCTGTGTGGGGAGGGCCTGGCACACGGGTGGATGGGAAGGGACCTCGCAGAACCCTTGTGGGGAAGGGGCTACGTTTTGTTTCCTGGCCGTGAGGAAGGTGGAGGGCAGCCAGTGAGCCCGCCCTTCAGTCCACGGTCTGCTGGCCTTTGGCTCCGACCCCCGCAGATGTCACCCTGGTGACGCAGCTGCAACAACGCATCGAAGGTCACAGCATCAGAGACAGCAGTGATTTGTTAACACAGGGGTCGGGAGAAGCCAAAAAAACAACCCAAATCAGGCTGGAATGCACGGCCCAGAGGTCCACGGCGAACCCTGGATCATAAGGAGACCGTGTAGGTAAAGAGCGGGGAGGAGAAATCGCGCAGCCTCGAGCTTTGCTGAGGGTGGGGAACGCAGGGTTGATCCGAGTGCGGAGGCAGGAGTGGGACTCCGAGGACAGACACTGTAGTCCCGGCCGGCCAGGCAGCATGGCCCATGTTTGACCGTGAACTGCAGGACAAGCTGAACTGCCTTAAGTAACAGGGAATTGGGGCCCGCGGGCTGCGTAAAAGCCCGTCGCTCTTTGGGTGTTAGAGCTGGTAAAGCTTCCGCCTTTCTCCATCAGGAGCAGGTTGGCTTCCTGCAGACTTTTCTTGGTGTCCTGGTTCCTCTTTTGTGACCTCTTGCTGATGGGTCTCTTTTGTTTTTCAAATGTGTGACTTGAACAGGGTGGTGTAGGCGGCCCTAACTCCGGGACCTGGCTGATCTGAGGCCGCCGGACGTCACCACCCCAGAGCAGCCCCGTGGCCCGCGCTGCCTGAGAGGGGGCCTGCTCACCTGGCTTCAGGTCCTGGTCCTGGCCCCACGGGCAGCGTGGCTCCCAGTGCCTCTGTGGGTGATTGTGTGAGAGCATGTGTGTGTGTGAGTGAATGTGTGCATGAGTGTGAGAGCGTGTGTGTGTGAGTGAATGTGAGTGAACGTGTATATGAGTGACTGAGAGCGTGTGTGTGAATGTGAGTGAACGTGTATATGAGTGACTGAGAGCGTGTGTGTGTGAGTGAATGTGAGTGAACGTGTATATGAGTGACTGTGAGAGCGTGTGTGTATGTGAGTGAACGTGTATATGAGTGACTGTGAGAGCGTGTGTGTGAGTGAATGTGAGTGAACGTGTATATGAGTGACTGTGAGAGCATGTGTCTAAGTGAATGTGAGTGAACGTGTATATGAGTGACTGTGAGAGCGTGTGTGTGAGTGAATGTGAGTGAACGTGTATATGAGTGACTGTGAGAGCATGTAAGTGAATGTGAGTGAACGTGTATATGAGTGACTGTGAGAGCGTGTGTGTGTAAGTGAATGTGAGTGAACGTGTATGAGTGACTGTGAGAGCGTGTGTGAGTGAATGTGAGTGAACGTGTATATGAGTGACTGAGAGCGTGTGTGTGTGAATGTGAGTGAACGTGTATATGAGTGACTGAGAGCGTGTGTGTGTGAATGTGAGTGAACGTGTATATGAGTGACTGTGAGAGCGTGTGTGTGAATGTGAGTGAACGTGTATATGAGTGACTGTGAGCGTGTGTGTGTGAGAATGTGAGTGAACGTGTATATGAGTGACTGAGAGCATGTGTCTAAGTGAATGTGAGTGAACGTGTATATGAGTGACTGTGAGAGCGTGTGTGTGTGAGTGAATGTGAGTGAACGTGTATATGAGTGACTGTGAGAGCGTGTGTGAGTGAATGAGTGAATGTGTATATGAGTGACTGTGAGAGCATGTGTGTAAGTGAATGTGAGTGAACGTGTATATGAGTGACTGTGAGAGCATGTGTGTGAATGTGAGTGAACGTGTATATGAGTGACTGTGAGAGCGTGTGTGTGTGAGTGAATGTGAGTGAACGTGTATATGAGTGACTGAGAGCGTGTGTGTGAGTGAATGTGAGTGAACGTGTATATGAGTGACTGTGAGAGCACGTGTGTAAGTGAATGTGAGTGAACGTGTATATGAGTGACTGAGAGCGTGTGTGAGTGAATGTGTGTATGAGTGACTGTGAGAGCATGTGTGAGTGAATGTGAGTGAACGTGTATATGAGTGACTGTGAGAGCATGTGTGTGTGAGTGAATGTGAGTGAACGTGTATATGAGTGACTGTGAGAGCATGTGTGTAAGTGAATGTGAGTGAACATGTATATGAGTGACTGTGAGAGCATGTGTGTGAAAACCAAAGGAGACCCCTGACCCATCAGCAAGAGATCACAAAAGAGGAGCCTGAAGAAAGCCCAGGCTGGACCGGAGTTGAATCTTCACAAGGAATCCAGGCCAGGAATGGGCTTAGGAAAGCCAGGAAGTGTGACGTGAATACTGGCAGATAGCAACAGAGCTGAGAGCGCCATTCCCAGACCAAGCAGAGATTCAGACAGCCGGGTCCAGGCTACATGCGCATTCCCTGAGGAGGAGCTTCTGTAGTGACACGTACGTTCACACGCCCCCCTCATATGCACACATTCACACACACAGTCACATACTCTCATTCACACACATTCACACTCACCTTCATACACATTCACCCACTGTCACACACTCTCATACTCTTTCACACACATGCACACATTCACACCCACCTTCATACATACTCATTTACACATTCACACACAATGCATTTACACACACATCCACACATCCACACCCACCCTCATATTCACTCACACATGTTAACACACATACACCCATTCACACTCACATTCACACACACACATGCATTCACACACACATTCACTTACATGCTCTCACAGCCACACCCATATACACATTCACCCACAATTTCCCACACATGCACTCTCATTCCTTAATGCTCACACCCTGACTCGCGTATGTCTATGCACACATACACTCATTCCCACTCGCCCTCACAGGCTCACACTTCCTTCCACTACCCTGGGACGAAAGTGCCATGGGAAGCCAGTCTTGCTGTGTTCACAGCCGAGTGCCCAGTGCCTAGACCAGTGCCTGGTGCTCAGCAGATGCTCAGTGAGCATTTGTGGAACGAAGGAACGAACGAGTGAATGAATGAAGAGCGAGCAGAGCCTGGATCCCTCGTCAGCTCTATGCTGCCATGTAGAGGCTTAAATGAGAGCAAAAGTAATATCGATAAGGAAAAGATAGCCATATCGACATGACAAACAATTTGACATACAAAATGAAGACAAACATCCTGGAAGCTAAAATTCACAGGTGACGTTGCCTGTAAATGGATGAGGAGGGGTGAGAGTTCTGGGGAATGAGCCTCAGCCATACCGATTAGCAGGGATTCAGGCCAAGGCCCACAGCTGAAAGGCCCTACCTGCCATTTCCCCTGGCCCTGAAGATCAGGACAGAGATGCTGTCGGCCAGAAGATCCGGGTGATCCAGAGCCAGGGTGTCATCCCAGGTGTCTCTAGCAGGCATCCTTCAGGGCCATGTGGTTTAATGGCATGCTTTTCTGTGATGTGGCGCTGTGGGCATGGGGGTTTTCCCCTTGGTATCATTCGTATCAGTTTTGTGAGTTATGTTTGCTTGGAACTTGTGAGCTGTAACTGCTTCACATTTTCTTAGGAAACTTAAATTTAGCAGCAGGAAAATGAATTCATAACAGCATCTGTAGCTGAGAAGCTTCTGGGAAACTGGCTGCCCGTCATAGCCTCACTTTTGTGTCGGTGGACACTGGCCGACTCGGGGTCTGCTGCCAGTCAGCGCTGGGCTGCAGGTCTGCTGCTGTGAGGCCCGCTGCTGTGTGCTTGCTGTGGCTGCTTTTTAGGTAGATGAGGCAGATGCGACGTGGGGATGGCCACGGAGAGGCCACAGGCTCATTTCAGCGTCTCGTCTCTGACCGTCGCTGTCTCAAGTGAGGTGCTGCTGTGTGCTTGCTGTGGCTGCTTTTTAGGTAGATGAGGCAGATGCGACGTGGGGATGGCCACGGAGAGGCCACAGGCTCATTTCAGCGTCTCATCTCTGACTGTCACTGTCTCAAGTGAGGTGCAGACACTGGGGGCCGGGTGGGCCCTGGCTACTGATGGTGGTTCGGGGTCTGCAGTTGGCCGCTGGCCCTGGAGTGACATCAATGTGAACTCTCTGTGGGGTGTTCCCAGCTTCCAGATTCGTCCCTTATTTTAGAGTGCTCTGCCAGGTGGGTGGGTGGGCAGAGCTTTGCAGGGAAGCAGCAGTGAGAGCTCCTGCAGGCGGGCATCAAATGCCCAGCAAACCCCTGCGCTACCTGGGAGGTGGCAGCATCTCCACTCCTCCAGCATCCAGCCATGTGACTTTCTGGATGCAACTTCACTTCTCTGTGTCTGTTTCCTTTTGGTAAAATGGGAGCTTCTGTCTGTCCTTTCTGGGGGACCTGGGAGGATTAAGTGAAACAGCCTGCAAAACCCCACCACTCCAGGGCCCACTGTGTTCTGGGAACAAATGCCTCTAACCCTGGAGCTCCTGCTTTCATGCCAAAGCCCTGGGCCCTGGGTCAGGGCTCTGATGAGTGGAGAAACCGGAGGGCGGCCCTAAAAGGAGTGAGGCAGGGGATGGGCAGGACCCTGGGGAAGGGGCCAGACCCCCACCTCCACCCCCTACCCCATCCCTACCCTCACCCCTTCCCCCACCCCATCCCAACCCTCACCCCTCACCCCACCCCTACTCCCACCCTTACCCCTAACCTCACCCCCACTCCTACCCCCACACTCGCCCCTACCCTCACCCGCACCCCTACCTCACCCTTAACCCCACCACTACCCCCATCCTCACCTGTACCCTCACCCTCACCCCTACCCTCACCTCATCCCTACCTTTACCCTTACCCCCACCCTCACACCTACCCACACCCTCACCCCTATACCCACCGTCACCCTCACCCCCACCCTCAACCCTACCCTCACCCTTACCCCTACCCTCACCCCTACCTTCACCCTCACCCCTACCTTCACCCACGCCCCTAACCTCACCCTCACCCCTACCTTCACCCTCACCCCTACTTTTGCACTCACCCCTACCCCCACCCCTACCCCCACCCCCATCCCTACCCCCACCCCCACCCCTACCCCCACCCCAACCCCTACCCTCACCCCCACTCCTACCCTCAACCCCAACCTTACCCTCACACCCCTACCCTCACCCTCACCCCTACCTTCACCCTCACCCCTACCCCACCCTCACCCCTACCCTCACCCCCACCCTCACCCTTACCCCAGGCTCCTCACTGCTCTGTTTCCACCCCTCCTCTGTGGCCATAACAAATTACCAGAAACTGGGTGGCAGAGGATCACAGGATTGATTCTCCCACAGCCTGGGCAGGCTGTGCTCCCTCTGACAGCTCTGCAGAGGATCCTTCTGGCCAACTCCAACTGCTGGTGGCTGTATCAGTCCCATCTCTGTCTGTGCCTTCTCTGTGTGTCTGTGTCACATTATTAAATCTCCCTTGGCCTCTTTTATAAAGACACCCATTATTGGTTTGGGGCCAACCTTAACCCAGGATGATCTCATCTTGAGCTCCTTGACTCAATTATGTCTGCACAGACCCTTTTCCCAAATAAGGTCCCATTCACAGGTGCTGGGGTTAGGACATGGATGTAGCTTCTGTGGGGGCCACAGTTCAACCCACTCTGCTGTCCCTCCTGGGAAGCGACTGTGGGACCTGAACCCGCCCTAAGTATCAGAGGGTGACGGGGAAGAGGAAGGTGGGTCATTGGGTTGATTTGTAAACAAGGGAGGAAGGTGAGCCGGGATCTGCCACCTGCCCTTACAGAATGACCCATGAGATGCAGAACTGCTGTTAGATCCTAGTCAGCTATTCAGAGGCTCAGCAATCAGGTGATAATCATGACATCGAATAAAGGCACCTCCAGAAAATTGATCAGGTTATGGATTTCTTTCTCTCTTCCAAAATGAAAATCACCTTATTGGTTCCATTATAAAATCAGACCATGATATATGTTCATTGTTAAATTATCAGGCGATTCAAAAGGTAAAAAGGTAAACATCCCCCCAGATTCCACCCGTGACACTCGTGCTTGACACTGGCCGGTTTCCCCTGACGCTTTTCTGCTGGGCGTGGAGGAACAGGATTCCTCCCACCTGCTGACTTTCGCACCCACTAGCACACCCAGAGCATGGGCCAAGCCACCCTTGGCAGCTGTGCGGGCTCAGGTGTGTGGCTGACCTTTTTTTTTTTTTTTTAAGACAGAGTCTCACTCTGTCACCCAGGCTGGAGTGCAGTGGCGTGATCTGGGCTCACTGCAACCTCTGCCTCCCAGGTTCAAGTGATTCTCATGCCTCAGCCTCCCAAGCAGCTAGGATTACAGGCATGTGCTACCACACCCAGCTAAGTTTTGTATTTTTAGTAGAGACAGGGTTTTACCATGTTGGCCAGGGTGGTCTTGAACTCCTGACCTCAAGTGATCTGCCCGCCTCGGCCTCCTAAAGTGCTGGGATTACAAGAGTGAGTCACCACGCCCAGCCTGACCTCTCTCGTTTTTGTCTTGTTTCATATTTTGGATCTTAGGCTATCTCCAGTTGTCAGTATGGTAAGTGTTCTCTCACAGGGAGTAGCCTCCGTGCCCTGTCACCTTAGGGGTAGTGTGCTCCCTAGGAAGAGTGGCCTCACTACCATTCCCGGCCGCAGGTGTTACCAGCTGCCCCTGCAGCAGCCATCCCAGGCCCCAGGAGCAGGCGATTTTTCCCTTTCAACTCCCTGCTGAGCCTCCCTCTGCTCCTCTGTCTCAGCCAAGGCTAGCGCCTTCGTGGAAGGCCAACTTCAGGCGGTAACCATGGGGTCTCCCTGCTACAGGCCATGTTCGAGCTGGTCACTTCCGAGGCGTCCTACTACAAGAGTCTGAACCTGCTCGTGTCCCACTTCATGGAGAACGAGCGGATAAGGAAGATCCTGCACCCGTCCGAGGCGCACATCCTCTTCTCCAACGTCCTGGACGTGCTGGCTGTCAGTGAGCGGTGAGGACGGGGGGGACAGCCACCTCCCTCAGGGCCCTTCTTCATCCCCAGGGCACATGCTTGAGACACTGATGACAAGTGCTCGATACTGGCTTCTCTACTTCCAGATGTTTGGAATGTTCCATAATAAAATATAAATAAATGAAGAACTAAATCCAAACCTCACCACCCCTTCTGGCAGGGTGGCCAGTCACGTCCCCCGGCGTCCCTTCCCATGAGCACCTGTGCCCCACACAAAGCTCTGCGCTGAGCATCCTGCTGGCCCCAGGTTGGAGTGACGCTGAGTCCAGCTCTCTCATGCATCAAACCGGTGGTTGGACAGGTTTAAACCAGGCAGGTCCACGGGAGTCTTGTGACAGGGACAGAAGGTGTCCATGTAAGCTGCTCCTTACCCTAGCAGAAAGCCCCAGTGGCGCATGCAGGGCCTCAGGCCCTGTGCAGGGTGCAGCCCTGGATTCCCACATCCTCACCTCCTGAGTGCGTTTTCCACAGCTCTGGGAGCTGTGCTTCCAGCAGGGACTGTGTGAAGCCTGGGCCGAGCTGCAGCGGAGGAAGAGTAGACAGACATCTGCCCATTGAATCCTTTGAAAAGGAAAGGAACCAAATCATGTGGCCAGGATGAAAGAGCACTTACCATCCCCAGGGCAGGCCATGGAGTTTTGCAGCCAGAAGCCACATGGGGCTCAGCTGGGACAGTGCCTGGTGATCAGATGGGAAACCAAGGTGGGGCCCGGCGCAGCCCCGCTCTGAGCAGTGGGGATCCGCTCAGCATCACATGTGGCACCCTGGGAGCTGCTCACTCTCTGTGGGCCTCCAAGTGGGTCTCTCCTCCACACTGACACTCTCACTTCTGTTTGCAGCCCCCTCACCCCTTCGTGGCAGCGCCTTCTGGTGGGTTTGGGAGGTGATGGCTGACTGGGGCCAGAGTGGCCTGTGAGACCCCTGGGCTTCTGCTGCGGCACTTCTTTTTTATTTTTTTTGAGACAGAGTTTCACTCTTTTTGCCCAGGCTGTAGTGCAATGGTGCGATCTCAACTCATGGCAACCTCCGCCTCCTGGGTTCGAGCGATTCTCCTGCCTCAACCTCCCGAGTAGCTGGGATTACAGGCGTCCACCACCACACTCGGCTAATTTTTTGTATTTTTAGTAGAGACAGGGTTTCACCATGTTGGCCAGGCTGGTCTCGAACTCCTGACCTCAGGTGATCCGCCCGCCTCGGCCTCCCAAAGTGCTGGGATTACAGGCGTGAGCCACTGCGCCTGGCCCTGCCACGGCACTTCTGTCTTATGTATTTGTATTTTACTGTGGAAAATTCCAAACATGCAGAGGTAGATGTCCATGTGCGCTGCTCACCAGCGTCAGCAGTGGTCAGCCCAGGGGCCAGTCCCTACCCCCCAGGGGACCCTTCTGAAGCAGATCCCCATGGTCATCTATTTTATCCTCAAACACATCAGCACATACCTGAAAGATAAGGTCTCTTGGTGCTCCCAGCACCATCAGCCCCGTGAAAACACAGTCATTCTTCAAGATGACCAAATACACCACCAGTGCTCGGTGCCCCTGCCGATGGATCTTGTCGGCCTGTACGCTCACCGTGCACACTGCTATGTCCAATGTCCAAGTCAGGCTCGCATGCTGCCCTTGGTGAGACAATTCCCCACCCTACCCCCCGGGCACCCTCCGCCTCAAGCCGCTGCCTCTCGTAGGTTCCTCCTGGAGCTGGAGCACCGGATGGAGGAGAACATCGTCATCTCTGACGTGTGTGACATTGTGTACCGTTATGCGGCCGACCACTTCTCTGTCTACATCACCTACGTCAGCAATCAGACCTACCAGGAGCGGACCTATAAGCAGCTGCTGTGAGTGTATCCGGCAAGGGGCTCAGGGGCAGGGGGAGGTGCCCGGGGCAGCCATACCAGTGCTGGCCCAGGCTCCTTACACGGTGACACTTCATGGTCCTTTACCTCTGCGTTCCCAAGGTCCACATGAGCCACCGGAGTTGGCCAGGGATACTGGTGACAGTGTCCCAACCCAGCACGTTCTAGGGTGTATTGGTGTCACTAGAGAAACATTAGCCCAGCCAGACCCCAAGAGAATCAGCGTAGCATCCACTGGACCTGGATCCAATGGCTGAGCAGAGCACTGTGCAGTTAGAAAAGAGAGCTTGAGGTCAAGTGAGGTCATGTGGACAATTCAAAGCCCAGGACATCAGAGACGGGGCTTGAACTAGCGACAAGGGCAGGGACAGGATGGGAAGGAGCCTCGGTGGGGCTCCTCCAGCAGCGCCGGGGCATTGATTGCTAATCTGCCCATTTTGTAAACTTTCTCTGAGGTTTAGTTGACAAGGTAATTTTCCAGCCAGCGTGCCTCTTCTGAATTCTGCGCACTGAGGTTCGCACTTCAGTGCCTGGGGTTAGCCAGGGAGGCCGTCTTGGCTCCGCACAGAAGCACCCAGGGAGTTTTCCAGTTGTGGCGTCTGCACATTGCGCCTCACTGGCTTTTCCACCAAGACATGGAGTTCATGGTGCACGTTTCAAGCCTGAGTCTTTGGGCATTTGGATGTTTTAACAGTTGGTGAAGGAAAATTGGAATTGGAGGGAATGAGGATGCAATTTTTGAGGATAAACATTGAGAAGGCAAGCATGTGGCAGATTAGGAATCATTCACAGCACCCAAGAGCCTGCCGCTGTGGCCCCCGCCAGGCCGTGTGAGCACAGAGGCTGAGTGACAGGCTGAGCACCTGTCCCTGCCGTCCCTGCTGTCCCTGCTGTCCCTGCCGTCCCTGCCATCCCTGCTGACATGCATGGGGCCGAGCTCACCTCCAGCTCTCCCAGCCCTCATCAGCGCTGTGGCCCAGCCCACCGCTGAGCCCACCTGTCAGAAATAGTGCAGGCTGTCCTGGTGGTGTCTCTAGCCTGCTGCCCGTTCCTGTCACTACGTGGGTTTACCTTGCCACAGTTTCCCGCTGGGTGAAATCATCTAATTGTGCATCTGATTCACAGACTTGGCCACACAAGGAATCCTTATCCTCCCACACACAGCAGCATATTGTGCCAAGTCTTCAAGGCCAGGCATGTGAAGCCACTATTGTTATTTGACTTTTACGTGAACAGTCTATTTTCCTTTTGAAAAAAAACAAAGAAAGAAATCAACATGTTTTCTGAGCCCGTGGGTCGTCTGGATCCTGGGAGGCTGTGGATGGGGAGGAGGAGTCTCCAGTTCATGCCTCCTGCAGCTCAGAGACCTACTCCACCTGTCTGTGTCCCCAGCCAGGAGAAGGCAGCTTTCCGGGAGCTGATCGCGCAGCTAGAGCTCGACCCCAAGTGCAGGGGGCTGCCCTTCTCCTCCTTCCTCATCCTGCCTTTCCAGAGGATCACACGCCTCAAGCTGTTGGTCCAGGTACAGCCTCCTCCACCTGACCCACAGACGGGGCTTCCCAGGCTTTGCTGTGGTCATTCCCGGGCCCTGTCAGCTTTCTAGGAGGTCTACTGGTTCAACAGATACTAAGCTCCTCCCATGTGTGCCAAGCACGTTCCTGGGCAGTGAGGATGCAGCGCCTGCTCCCAGGGAGCCCATCGCAGAGGGGAGAGACCGAACCATGCACAGCCAGGAAGTGGGCATGGCCCTGGGGACAGCCAAATGGGCCGACACGACAGGGGTGGCTGGCTGGCCACTGCCAGTTGCAGCGATGGGGGCGGGTCAGGAAAGACACGTGACGTGTAAGCTGAGACCTGGCTGACAGGGAGGAGCTGGTGGGGGCAGGTAGAGGAAAGAACATTCCACGCAGAGGGAACCGCTTGTGCAAAGGCCCCAAGACTGCAAGGTTCATGGACAGAAAGGCCAGCAGCGATCTCGGGAACATGACGGGGACGGGAGTGGGTGTGGAGATGGGGACAGAGGCAGTTCCAGGGAAGACATTGGGTCCTGTCCTCAGTGTGATGGGAGTCACCTGATCGGACCCACTTTTAGGAGCTGGCCCTGGCTGCTCCAGAGGGTGACGGAAACGGGGAAGGGGTTACACTGGCCTGTGGGGCTGGGTCGGGGAGTGGGGGCCCGGCAGGGATGTCAGGGAATTGAAATCAGTGACTTGCTGAGAGAAGGACTGAGAGTGATTCCTCGGCTTTTACCTTGAGCAGTTTGGGGGTGTGCAGCCGTTGCTGAGATGGGGACGTCTTGGGGCGGGGAGGGCTCAGGATTCAGGGCAGGATGAACTGAGTTTGAGATGACTTTGGACAGTTCAGTGTCAGAGGTCAGAGTTAAAGGGAGAAGTTGGGCAGGACTCGCTGGCATCAAGGTGGTAATTAACCGAAGAGGCCGCCAAGGAAGGAGAGAAAGGTGCCTGAGACCAAACTCAGGGACGCAGCCAGGCCTGGGAAGGAGCAGCGGTGAGGGAGGTGGAAACCCACAGAGCTGGAGGCATGGGAGACTCAGGGGGATGGGGCTTCCAGAAAAGGGAGGCTCCAGCCAGGCCCAGAGGCAGGCCCAAGACCCCCTCCACCTGACAGGCCCAGTGAGGCAGGACAGAGACCCCCTCCACCTGACAGGCCCAGTGAGGCAGGACAGAGACCCCCTCCACCTGACAGACCCAGAATCAGGACTGAGACTCCCTCCGCCTGACAACCCCAGTGAGACAGGACAGAGACCCCCTTTGCCTGACAACCCAGTGAGGCAGGACCGAGACCCCCTCCACCTGACAGGCCCAGTGAGGCAGGACAGAGACCCCCTCTGCCTGACAGATGCTGGGGCCCTGTCTACTGATGCCCTGGGCAGAGGGAGCCATTGGCAGCTGGGCTGGTGAAGTGGACGGTATAGAGTGCAGCTGTGGCCCTGAGGAGCATGAGCTGAGGGGGACCTGGGAGCCACAGGTAGCAGAGGTCAGAGGTCAGACAGGTGAGAGGCCAAAGACCTAGGGGCAGCTACTCCAGAAAGAGCAGAATTACAGAGAGGAGGCCTGACCCAGGAGGAAAGGGTTTGGGAGCATGAGGCCAAGGAAGCAGTTGTCAGGAGAAGCCCCTGGCCCAGGGCTAATGGAGATACGAACGTGAGGGCAAAGCCGGGATGGCGACCCCAAACCGGAAGACACCTGTGATGAACGCAGTTCCGTGGGAAATATTTTTTTAACTTGGAAAAAGTGAAACAGAAGACAGTAACATTTCCTAATTATGCAGTGAAAAATATTTTAGGACATTTTATAGGGAAAGTGCATATATGAATATATTAAAACCTTAGCTTCTATAAGATGAAAACCAACAGTAAGATTAAAAGCAATGGAAATGCAGTGATTAGGAAATGGTGGAATGGGGACAGCTGGGGTGGGCACTCAGGGAAGGGCTCAGAGAAAGGGGTGGCGGGTCAGGGACCATTCCAGAGAGAACGGCAAGTCTCCACATCAGGCAGCATGCTGGGGACACACCGAGTGGAGGCTGGCGTGGGAGAGCACGTGCCAGGCTAAGGAACCCATACTGCCCTCCATCTGAGGCCACCAATGCCACCTGGTCAGATGCAGCTTTTATGCCTGTGAGAAAAGATGGCGTCTAAACCGTGCTGTTCAGCAGGGATTTGGAAGTAGGGGGACAGTTAATGACAGGCATGGTGGCCACATACAGGATGGAAAAAGCAGGAAGGTGGCTGTGGGTCTCGAAGGTCTCTGGCTTGGCTGCCAGGCAGAGGCGGGCAGGTGACCACAGGAGAGGCCTGGGCTGCTGTCAGGGGAGACATCTGTGCTGCCGTGGCACCCAGCAGCCGGGAGGACAGGTGGTTGGTGCCCAGATGCACCCAGCCTACTTACAGGACAAAAGCCAGTCAGAAAACGTGGGCATGGTGGGGACCGCTAAGAGGAAACCATGTGGAGTTTATAGAGCAATGTCAAAATCGTAATTTACAGGTGAAAGCAGTATGGGCATAATTTTTTGTTAACTGAAGAAAATTGAACAGTTGGAGAAGAGACTCTTTCTTACACTTTCATGGAGAAGACCAAAGTTAACAAAGTTTCGGGGCCAAATGACAGTCCCAGGGAGGAGAGGGAAGCCCTTGGTCCCCCTACCCCTGTCCCGTAAGCATTTAGCTCCCCTTGGGGACAGAGCTGACCCTAAGCGTGACAGTCCTCACTGCTGGGTGCCACACCTGCGGGCTCTCTTGCTCTCCATTTGTCAGATGGAGGCTGTGTGTATGTGTGTGCGTGCATGCGTGTGTGTGTGCAGGTATGCATGTATGTGCATGCATGTATGTGTGCGCACACATGCTTGTATGCATGTTTGTACACGTGTGTACATGTGTGTGCACTGTGCTTGCAAGTGTGCATGCATCGTGTTGTGCATGTGTGAGCATGTATGCACGTGTGTGCATGCATGTGTGCACGTGTGCTTGTATGCATGTTTCTACACGGTGTGCATGTGTGCACACTGCTTGCAGGTGTGCATCATGTGCATGGTGTGCATGTGTGTGCGAGCATGTATGCACGTGTGTGCACACGCAGGTCTGTATGCATGTGTGCATGCATGTATGCGTGTGCGTGCGTGCGTGTGTGTGTGTGTGCATGCTGCAGCATGGGGCTGGACTGGTGCAGTAGGGAGGTAGTCACGGTCAAGGTGGGAAATGGGAGGAAAGACCAGAAAAGATTAAAGTTAACGCAGCCTTTCTCTGTGCATAGAACATCCTGAAGAGGGTAGAAGAGAGGTCTGAGCGGGAGTGCACTGCTTTGGATGCTCACAAGGAGCTGGAAATGGTGAGTCTCACCTCCTCTTGTGCTGTATCCCAATGCACTGTTTTCCTCATCCAGGCACACCTTTCCGGCCCTGCTCCCCACATGTCCGTGTGTCTTTTTAGAATATGCAAATTTATTTTAAAATTCACTTTTGCAATCAAAAGAGTCACTGGGGCTTAAAAAAATACACCAGGCATGGCTTGGGTAGAGAGCCTTCTTTACCCTGCTTCCTGGCTCCAGCCTTACGTACTCACCGCCTGTCTTGTTACTGTGCCTGGCATGGATGTGGGGACAGCAGCGTGGCTCTCAGGACATTCTTCACCAGTGTGGAGCTCTGCGATCATGCACAGGCCCTGATTCCTCTCATCAGCTCCCTGGGATTGTTCTTTGCAGGCATCTGGGGCCCACACAGACCCCAGGCTTGTCTTTGCCTGTTTTTCCATGTCAGAAACAGTCTCTCCTCCCTCCTGTGAGGCTCACCGAGGCTGGTTCCCACTTTCCCTGTGCCCTGATGAAGCCCTTTGCTCCGAACCCAGCCCTCCACGCCACTCTCCCAGTCCCCGGAGCTCAGTCACCCCTGTGCATCTCTGTGAGGGGATTCACTGGCCCTGCCCAAGAGCCCTGGGCCTTTGCTGCCCAAGAGTGCAAGGACCATCTCTCCAGACCATCTCCTGACCCTCAGAGAGAGACGGCTCCTCCTAGAGGTTTGCAGCAGAGCAGGGGTTTTGCGGGAAGGGCCAGCGAGTATGTTTCAGTCCTCAGGAGCTCTTACCATGCGCTCTGCCACGTTTGGCTCCTGGCATCAGCTGGAGCTGAGAGCCAGCTTTTGACAGCTGTGCTAGGGCACCTCCATTGAGCCAGTGACGCCGTCATGGTGGAGAGCAAGGCGGGGGATGTCCATATTCCACTTCTTTGTCACCCCATGGCAGAAGCTTAGTAAAAAGAATATCACTCTCAGTGGGCATCTGATGGTCATTCTCAGCCACATTGAGACATGAGGACTTCCTACCCTATTGCAGTCGGTTCCCACCTCGGGCCACTCCTCCTGTCCCTTTCCCAGACCAGTTGGCCACCAAAATTCCTCTGGCAGTTACACGCTGTGCCTAGTGAGGAAAGGCTGGAGCCTCAAGCAGGGTAGCCAGGGGGCATCCGCGACCTGTGAGCCAGGCAGCATCTCTAGGGGCCCATGCCCACCTCTGGAAGCAGAGCTTCCCTTTTACCTGATTGGATGTGAGTTCATTCCAGCCACCACCAGACAGCAGCCACACGGGGCCACCATGGCCCGTGAGGGGCCCACGTGCCCCAGAAGGCTCTCCCTGAGGTCAGCCCTGGGCCAGGGGTATGTTTTCTGTTTTTAAAGTTCTTTTCTGCTTTCATCTTCATTTTTCTTATAATGAAAGGTATTCTCTGTTTCTAATAGCTTTTTTTTTTAAAAATGAAGGTTTATTTTTTCTCTGATTTATGAAAGTAATTATACTCAATACCAGGAAACTCAGAAAATGCTTGTAAGTAAAAAGAAAATAAACTTCACTAGCCACCTCGCCCTCCCTGCCGACAGGCTGCAGCTCGCCCTAAACAGACGCCTGTGCACACACACCTGTGCACAGCACACTCGCAGGGCACACACTGCACACACGGCACACGCACAGCACATACACGCCCATACATATCACACACAATACACACCGCACACACATGGCCCCTCATCACACAGTACACACTGCACACACACACAGCACATACCACACACAGTACACACAGCACGCACACACACATACACGGCCCCTACATATCACACAATACACACTGCACACACACACAGCACATACTTATCACACACAGTATGCATAGCACACACAGCACACATGGCACATACATATCACACACAGTACACACCGCACATGCATACACAGCACACACTGCATATACACAGCACACACATGCACACATGGCACACACAGCACACACACCACTGTATTCTTTACAAAAAGGGCTTGTGGTTTAGAAACAGCTTTGCCCCGCATTCGAGTGCAGGTGGAGTCCCTGCCTCTTTCCTGGATTTCTGTTCTTGCGTATCTGCATAGATCATAACTATTTTAATCGAATCCACTGATGGCTGTTGAGGCTGGCGAGCGTGTTTCTCACTCCAGACAACATGGCAGGGAGGCCCTCGCGCACACTTCCCTGGACATGGTGCTCATTTATGTGCCCTGAGAGCCTGCGGCGAGCCTGGCCCTGTGCCGGGCCCCATGTGTCACTGCAGAATTGTCTTCCTTCAGAACGAGTCCTCGGGAGCCCCAGGAAGCGTGGGATTTTTAGGTCCCTTGGTGCCTGGGTGGCCACCCAGGGGGCTGTGGGGAGAACAGCCCGGAGCCCTGCCGGTCCGTCCAGCCTACAGAGGAGGAGGGATGCCTCACGCATGTGTTTTCTGGAGTTTGCTTCCTAGCAAGGGCAAGGCACCAACTTTCTCCACCCAAACTAACAGGTTTTCCCACTTGCCTTTGCCCCACAAGGTGCTAGAAAGAGGAGCTCCAGTCCGACTGAGACTGGCCAGCCAGCCTCAGCTGTGGGCACAGTGTCTGGTCACGGTGGTCACTCAGCCCTGTCTGTGGCCTGACCGAGCTGGAGGAAGGGGCCGGGACAGCCGGCTTTGGTGGCCTGATGTGCCCTCCTTCTTGTCCCAGGTGGTGAAGGCATGCAACGAGGGCGTCAGGAAAATGAGCCGCACGGAACAGATGATCAGCATTCAGAAGAAGATGGAGTTCAAGATCAAGGTGAACCGGTGGGATTGGTGTGAGCCTGTGCCCATGCACAGGCCCCTGGCCCCGCCCCAGAGGCACAGATCACCGCGCCTGGCTGGCCTTGCTTAGGTCCTTGGTCACTGGCCACACTTAGGATCCCCTCTGCCCCCTGACCTCCCCAGCTGAAGCCACCCCGCCTGCCACCAGGCGTCAGACACCACCACGGTGGTCCGGATCTGTCTCCTGGGAGACGGGAGTGCGGGGCTAGTGTGCGGCCCAGACCCACGCAGGGTGTGGACCCTGCTCTCACCTGCCCGCTGCGTGGCCTTGAGCAGTCAGTTTACATGGAGGATGTGGGGGGTGCTGCTCCAGGGATTCTCAAACCAGGAGGATTTGGAAGTTACCAGCTTCCCCCAAACTTCACAGAAAACTTCAGGCATTCGTGAACCCTCAGGTCCCCTGGGCCCGACTTTCTGGGAACTTGGCCACATCAGCACGCTGTGCCCACAGACGGTCCCTGAGGCCAGGCTTGGTTTGGGAGCTGAGCCCCACTAGAGGAGGCAGAGGCGGTCTTCTGGGCGTCCCATGTAGCTCCACACGGTGCTGACCGATGGCTGCCAGGCGCCTGCCCCTGAGTTGCATCGTCTGCCAGGCGGCCGTTCAGCTGCAGGCCTGGCCTCCTTGCCCCGCGGGTCCCATTCTTTCCTCTCTACTGTGAACTCAGCCCCTTCTCTGATTCTGCATCCCACAGGCAGAGCTTGGTGGGGGCAATGATGACAGACACTAGCTGCCACACTCACAGGCACACACACGGTATCCACACAGCAGTGCACACATGTAAACAGCAGTGTACATGCACACAAGCACGTGCACATAACTTTAAGCTCACATGTGGGTACACAACACAGTCCATACACATAGAAGTCCACATGCACAGCACACACACGCATAGCACACTCATGCCCACAGGGGTGCATGTTCACACACACACACACAGCCCTGCCATCTCTCTGCATCCGTCCAGAACTCGGCCTTTCCCCCCAACTTGTGCCTCATGTGTCGGGGCCCTGGGCAGGTGTCAGGGAATGTGACAGACGCAGCCCTGGGGGCATGTCCTGGGGAGGGACATTGTGGGCACAGCCTGCCTGATGCCCTTTCCCCGCTGCAGTCGGTGCCCATCATCTCCCACTCCCGCTGGCTGCTGAAGCAGGGTGAGCTGCAGCAGATGTCAGGCCCCAAGACCTCCCGGACCCTGAGGACCAAGAAGCTCTTCCACGAAATTTACCTCTTCCTGTTCAACGACCTGCTGGTGATCTGCCGGCAGATTCCAGGGTGAGTCGGGGCCCAGGGCATCAGGCGCTCCGGTGGGTAGAGGAGTGTGTTGGGCATTGGGTTTGATTGTGGCCTGGGGGTTGGGGGTGTCGGGACAGAGCTTGGGCTCTTCGGTCAGGTTTAAAGGTCTGTTCTGCTGTGGCCCAGCTTTGGGCCTTTAGCCAAGGTTATTTCACGTTCCTAAGCCTCAGTTTCCCTTCCTGTAAAGTGGGGGTTTTACTCGTAGGGCTGTGAAGGGCCCAGCCCAGTGTCTGATACATAGCGAGTGCTCAGCAGGGAGGCCACGGTAGGGTCGTCAGGGTTGGCAGGACCGTGGTGCTGTTCACTGTCCGCACCTGGGATGGGTCACCCTTTTGGGGTGCGGGAGACAGGCGTTCAGGTGGAAGCTTCAGAAGGAGGTGAAGATCAGCCAGCGCTGTGGAGCCAGGCTTGTTGGCCTGCCAAGTGGGGCTCTCCTGGGACCCCCACAGGCCTCCTCGGGGCTGACACGCCTGCCCTTCTCCCTGATCTCCAGAGACAAGTACCAGGTATTTGACTCAGCTCCGCGGGGACTGCTGCGTGTGGAGGAGCTGGAGGACCAGGGCCAGACGCTGGCCAACGTGTTCATCCTGCGGCTGCTGGAGAACGCAGATGACCGGGAGGCCACCTACATGCTAAAGGCGTCCTCTCAGTGAGTGCCTCGCCGCCACACGCCCAGTGCTACCCGTGGCACCTTTCTGTGTGGCCTCGATGCCTATGGGCCTGTCCCCAGGTGGAACAAGGCACCACACACGCTCTGTGTGGAGCCGACCTGCCCATCCTTCCCGTCCAGACCCTGCGCCAATACTTTCTATGGAGCCGCTGGGGGTGGCTGCAGGTTCCTGGATGCGTGTACGCGTGTACGTGTGTGCGTGTGTGCGTGTGTGTGTGTGTGTGTGTGTGTGTGTGTTCCCTTGGGGCTTCAGACTCTGGGCGAGTCCCTCTTTTTGGATGAGCCCTTTGAGAACCCTTGAGTCAGGCTGAGTAGGGAACCACCATCCTCCTGCTCCCTGCTGCCACTTGCTGTGTGGCATTGAGCTCATCTCTTCACCTCTCTGAGCAGCTGGGACCCCTGCCCTGCAGCCCTAGGCCCCCCACGAGGGACAAGCAAGCTAAATGTGGGGAGAGATGCTTTGCAGGCCTTGAGCCTGGAACTGTGGAGGTTGCAGTGAGCTGAGATTGCAGTGCACTCGTGGAGTGGAACTCCCTCGTGGCCTGCGGAGCTGAGGCTCTGCCCTCCTCCCGTCGTGGCCCCGAAGCTGCCCCTTACCCACAACTCACCAGATATCCTCCCCTGCCCAGACCTGGGGCTGCAGCTGACGTGGACCAGGGCAGGACCTGTCGGGATGAGAAACTGTGGCTTTGGTGGCGTGGCTGTGGCCACGGAATGTGCTCTTACGCGTTACTTGGTGGGACTTGTTACCCTGTGGGCTCACCCTCACTGCCTGACTTCTGAAAGCATCACAGGGGAACATCATAGAGGGGCTCCCCCATGCCCCTCCGTGGGTTCCTGTATGTGTCAGACCCTGGACCAGCCCGTTTCTGTGGCTCCCCCGAGCTGTCCCTGGGGTGGGCTTGAGCGGTGCTCAGGATGGTGGACGCAGATCCGAGGGGCAGCTAGCTGGGAAGCCTCGTGCCACACGTTGGGGGGCTGCCGTTGATCTGCAGTTGGGGCACTGTCCTCTTCCCTGTGCCAGGAGTGAGATGAAGCGTTGGATGACCTCACTGGCCCCCAACAGGAGGACCAAGTTTGTTTCGTTCACATCCCGGCTGCTGGGTAAGTCACCGGTGGGTAAGGGGGCGCCATTTGTCCTTGGGCTGGCCCTGCCGGATGCCGCAGGTGCACGGTGTGCCCTGCCTGGAGGGAAGCCCTCCCTGAGCTGGTGGTCTCAGAGGCCTGCACGGGCCTCCAGGGGCTGCTTCCTACTGGAAACTTAGTACCGGCCAATAACCTGGCATGGCCACACTGTGTGAATGCTGGATGGGCCTTAAGTGACAGGTACCACAAAGTCACCAGGAAGAATTTGGACCAAACTTCACTGCTGTTTTAGGTTTGCCAGTTGTCCGAAAAGCTTAACTAGAAAAAAGCCAGGTGCAGTGGCTCATGCCTGTAATCTCAGAATTTTGGGAGGCCGAGGCGGGTGGATCACCTGAGGTCAGGAGCTCGAGACAAGCCTGGCCAACATAGCAAAACCCCGTCTCTACTAAAAATACGGAATAGCCAGGTGTGGTGCGTGCCTGTAATCCTAACTACTTGGAAGCTGAGGCATGAGAATTCCTTGAACCTGGCATGTGGAGGTTGCAGTGAGCTGAGATTGCACTGCACTCCAGCCTGGTGACAGAGGGAGACTCTGTCTCAAAAAGAAAACACAAGTTCAGCTGCCTTATGGAGAAGCTGCTAACCCTGACCATGTGAACCCTGTCCTGACCACCCCAAACCACACCCAGGGCCATATCCCAGGTACAAAAAGTTCCTTCTGAAGTTTAAACTAAGGCCCCCTCACAGCCTTTATGCATGTATTTCTTCCCAGAACTCCTGGCTATGTTAATAACGTTTTCTATGGAAACAAATCCTCCTCTTCCTCAGACGAGCCCTTCTCCAGTTGCTGTGGGAGTTTTCCTATTCTAGGCAGGGCTCAGCTGCGGGCTTGGTGGGAGTGTGCAGGTGGGTAGTGCGGTGGTGGGGATGTGCCCGTGCCTCTTGTCCCTCAGACTGCCCCCAGGTCCAGTGCGTGCACCCATACGTGGCTCAGCAGCCAGACGAGCTGACGCTGGAGCTCGCCGACATCCTCAACATCCTGGACAAGACTGACGACGGTGAGGCCCAGGGACCTCCCCTCGGGGCCCCCAGGGGAACTTGCCCCACAAGGGATGACGGGGAGGGGGAGAAGCAGATGCCACCACTGTCTGACAGGCTGGTGTCCTGCCATGTCTCTTGCTCCCTGAGACATTCTGCTTGGACACTGCCCATGCTGGCTTCACTGGCCTCTCTTCAGTGTAAAGGAGGAATTGTTTCCAGTGCCTCCCTGTCCTCCCCTAGAGCCGGGAGACCCCACCTTTCCTCCTTCGCAGTGGGCCCAGCCCAAGCGGGTGGCTTCGTGTCCCCCTCCCCTGGCCCTGGCCTCAGCACCCCCATCACAGTGGGAGGGAGGACAACCAGGAACATCCTAAGCCTGACCTGACCCAGACCTGTACTTGCAGCTTCAGGTAAAGCCTGTGACTGCCAGGCTCGGTGCCCCATGTGGGCCAAGAAGCCGCCCCCAGCTCCTGGCCACCCCTGCTGCTGTCATCAGTACCAAGCGAAGTTCCTCCCAGCCCCTGTAGAATTGAACACTGACCCCCTTTCCCTTTTCAAATCACATCTGTGTGTCTACAGTAATTGCTCCTGATCCAAATCCCCAAAGTATACAACTGCATCTTCCCTGCTTCCTCTCCTCCTGCCGGGTCCTGGTAGAAGGCCTCAGGCTGTGACCTCCAGGGGAGGCCTTCTCCAGGGAGTCCCTCTTGTGGGCTGTTCCCAAAGGCCCAGGGGCTCTCCTGCCCTCTTCCCATGGAATATAACTAGCCTGCTCCCCTCCCAAATGAGACCTGCAGAGGGCATGCCCCAGGCCTCTTAGCTCCCAGGTTGGGATATGCTACAGATCGGCCACAAACTCTGAGCAAAGACCTGGTGATCTCTAGGGGAGGGGAGAGGTGGAGAAACAGCGCAGGGAGAAGCCAGTTGACGCTGAGACTACTCGTGCTGCCAGTTCCTGATGCACCCTCTCCACTGACCACACCAGCCCTCAGGAGGCCAGGCCTGGGAGGATCGGCCCCGCAAGAGGCTAATGACACAGTCCAGGCCAGCTAACCACATGCTCGGCTGCCACCCCCACCAGCCCCTTGAATGACACAGTCCACGCCAGCTAACCACGTGCTCGGCTGCCACCCCCACCAGCCCCTTGAATGCCTCCAGCTTTTTGGAGTGGCCCTTGGGGTCTCCTGGGCTCGTGTAGGGCAGCATAGAATTGCTGAGGGTCCCAGAGTGGGTTCCAAAGTCAACGTGGAACTGCGTGGCACGGAGCAGGCCTTGTTCCGTGCAGGTGCTCATGCACCTCCCAGCTTATGGGGGTGACTCCAGTCTGAGCATCTCGGCAGAGGTGTGCAGAGCCGCTGCCTTTTGGGAAAGGCCAGCTGGACCCCTAGTGTCCCGCCACAGATGGGGGCCCTGGCCAGGAGGGAGCCTCTGTGCAGCCTGTGCCCTGCAGGAGCACTGACCTTCTCTCCCTCCCCTCCCTGCACAGGGTGGATCTTTGGCGAGCGTCTGCACGACCAGGAGAGAGGCTGGTTCCCCAGCTCCATGACTGAGGAGATCTTGAATCCCAAGATCCGGTCCCAGAACCTCAAGGAATGTTTCCGTGTCCACAAGATGGATGACCCTCAGCGCAGCCAGAACAAGGACCGCAGGAAGCTGGGCAGCCGGAATCGGCAATGACCCCCACCCAGGGGGCCAGCGGGAGCAGGGCCTGCATGAGACCCCGACAGAAGGTGGGGGGGGGGGGGCTCTGGGAAGCACAGGCCAGCACCTCCCCAGGTGGCAGGATCTGGCTTGGGGTGCCCGGCCCTCATCCCTGCCCACGCAGTGAGTGCTCATGTGTCTTGGCCCCTTGCTCGCAAACTGGATAAAGGGTGCCCAAGCCTCTCCTGATGCATTTGTAAACAAGAAGGTTTCAGCAGTATTACACCACCTCCCTCATGCCTCCGAGGGGGTGGAAGGGGGTGGGCACACTCCAGGGCCCCCCATGCCCCTGGCCCCCAGGGACTGGAAGAGGCTCCCAACCCAGAGTGTCCCTGTGGGAGGCAGGCAGAAGGTGACAATTGACACGATTTCCTGCACGCGTCCTCCTCTACCTTGGAAGCAGTTAGAATCTACCAGGCACAGATGAGGCCGCCCTTGCCTGACGGAGCTTGATGAGCAGCCCTTGGTCTCCGGTTCCAGGACTGAGAGCCCAGCTGCCTCTGCCCACCCTTCCCCAGGCCTCTGCCAGCCTCTGGCTGCACGGTCAGGCCCTGCCCCATGGCAGGCCTGCCAGAGCTTGGCTGGGGACCCCTCCCGCCTCTGGCTCCCTGATGGGCTGGATGTAACTTGTGTCTTCTAGCCCCTTAAGGAGCCCAGGTGTTTTAAGGAATGAATTGGTCACTGCATCTTGTATCGATTATGGTTCTGAGAAAAGCAAATATCACTTTTGGCTGCATTAAAAGAAGCATCATATATAAAATAAAGAAGATGAAGGTCTACTCTTTATTGCCCTTGTACACAAAGGAAGGGGGTGTTTGGTTCCAGGTAGTGAGAGAGGAGCACCCCTTCAAGGCTGGTCGAGGAGGCATGTCCCAAAGGAAGAGTTCAAGGCGGTTTCCAGAGAGGAAGGAACAGCCAGGGCCTTGCCTCAACATGGGAACGGATTTGGGCCTCCACTTGTAGGACTCCAGAAACAGAAAGGGCTGTTTGACGGAGCTGGGGACGCCCCTCTGCTGCAGTGGAAATGAGGACACAGCTTTGGAAGACCGTAGAGGCCCCGAAGTGTCCATGGTGGGGGGGGCCCTACAGGGGATCTCACCACAGGCATGGGGCTGGGACTTCCTGCACTGCCCAGAAACAGGCCCTGGGCCCTTCACACCTTCAGTTACCCAGAGCGCACCCCCTCCCCTCGCCCCAGCTCCACCTCAGTGTGCTGAGGGGTCCTGTGTGCCCAGGACCACGATCTCTGCCAGGACACAGTTTCCCTGCTCGCCAGAACAGGCCTCTGGTTTAGATCCAGTGGGACTTTGTAGCGTCTTCCCACAGGCCACAGCAGGGTGCTCGGACCTCAGACCCTCTGAGAATCACAGAGATGCACAGGCATGTGACACTGGTTCCACCGGAGAGGGAGGCCCCCTGGTCCCAGTGAGGGGCTGTGATGCACCCGTTGGTGGGGGAGTGCTTGCAGAGTGGGGAAAGGGAAAGAGGGGGCCATCTCTCGTCCCTGGAGGGGAGGGTTGGGAAGGAGTTGGGTGGCCATTGGTCCCCGTGCCTTTTGAGGATGGGAAACAGCATGTTGGGTTGGATCGTCCGCTCTGATGAAGGCTTTGGTTACTCAAGGTTATGTGAGATGAAGTCAGTTAACCAATTAGGAAAATAGGTCAGTTTCATAGCACTCCTTTATAAGCAGAATCATTGAACTCACAGTGTATTTTGGGGAGACTGGTTGAGTGGGAAGCTGTTAACAGACTTGGATGAGGCCTTGACCCTATCCCCCAGTGTGTGAGAGGTGCGCGGGCACCACCTGGGCTCCAGTGTCCAGGAGGAGAAAGTCACGGCAGGAAACAGTGCCATGGGGAGCTCAGGGACACCAAAGGGGCCAAAACAGCTGCTAGAGAAAATGAATTTTTAAAAAAGAGAAGCAGCTTGCCCTCCAGCAACATTCCCACTCAGGAATCTTCAGATACATTAAGCTGTCCCCAAGGGGTCTGCTGGCCTCCAAACTGTCCAACCCTTCCCTCCAAAGGCCCTGGGGACTGGGGTAGGGACCAAGTTCCCACTTCCTGCTGTGCTGAGCAGGTTAAATGATCAAAGGATCAAAGTTTACATCTCTAAATGCTTCCGAGGTGGGGACCCTGGACCAGGCTCCTCACCCTCACTCCGCCCCGACTCTCTGAGGGTGAAGTGAGGTGAGTAGAGCTGGGAAAGCCGTTTTCTCTCCCTGAACAAACCAACCGTGGGCGTGGGGGCTGCCGGCCCCCAGCCAGGCCTGGGGGTGAGAGTAGGAAGCAGGGGCGGGCCGTGTCCGGCGTCGACTCTCGACTCATCCTGCTCCTGAGGCTCCCTGGGCAGAGGGGGGCTTGGGGCTGCTGGTCTGAGCCCGCGGATGGGGCCCTGGCTGCAGGACTCAGAGTCAAGACGTCCCCCAAAACCACGCGGCCTCTGGCTGGGAGAGCCGACGGCCCCTGCCCTCCCCAACCCCGGCCTCAAGGAGCGGCGGGCCCCGGGGTCTCTGTCGGCCTCTCCTGCCCTAGCGCTTACCTCCTCACGGAACGCTCTGAACCCCAGCGGAGCGGGATGGGAGGCAGGCCCCGGGGAGCGCGGCGAGGGCCTCGGCCCGCGCCCAGGCAGAGGAGGCGGCGCCGGGAGAAGGGGCCGCCCGTGGCGTGGCCCTGACCGTGACGGTGCCCCCGGACGGGCTAAGACCGCTGGCCGCACACCCGCTCCGATGCCCTGGCGGCCCCGGCGCACGCGCACCGGGCACGCACATGCGGCGCGCTCCTGAGGCACTCCAGCCGTGGTGCACGGGGACGCCGAGCCGCGCGGCCCTGCGCGCGCTCAGGTGCACGCCACACGCAGGCGGGCTCGGACATGCTGTGCGCTCACGCACGCCCCGGCGCCCCTGCGGGGAATTCGGGCGCGCCTCCGGACCCGCGCGCGTGCACGGCACCCACCCTCGGCCCCGCGCGCACCCCCGCCCTGAGCGCTCGCCTGCGCGCGCTCACGCTCTGGCACACCTGCATGCGCGGACACGCACGCGCGGACATACAGGCGCGTGAGGAGTGCAGCCGAGTCGCGCCGCGGCCGGGCGCGGCCCCTTTATTCGCTTCAGGAGGCAGAAAACTTTCTCAGCGCGACGACCACGAGCGCCAGCACCACGCAGGTGGCCAGCAGGGCGGCGATCACGATGGCCGCGATAGCGCCGGGCCCCAGCGACCCTGCGGAGGACGGAGGACCATGTCACCTGCTAGCCCCCGCCTGGCCGGCCCTTCTCCCCGCGCCCCCCGCCCCCCGCCCCTCCTAATTTCTCCCTCTCCCCTCCCTCCCCCGCCCCGCCCGTACCGCCGCCCTGGTCCAGCCGCTCCTGCGCGGTGCTGTCCTCGGGTCCTGGCGCGACGGTGGGGGCTGGGGGACCGGTGTCCACGGGCTCCCGGCCGGGGCTGGTGCTCTCCACGGGGCCTTCTCCCGACGGCAGCTCGGCCGGCTCGTTCCACAGCGTGGGCACGGGCTCCTGTGGAACATCGTCTGCAAAGCCAAGGAGAGGTGCTGGGGCCCCAGGTGACGGGGCCGACAGGGACGTCACCCCCCACCTCTAGGTTAAGCAAGTTGCCGGTAGCGCTGTGTGAGGGGTCTGGGCTCAGCGCTGCACTAGCCCTCACATTTCCCAGGCTAAGAAGCTGAAGCCAGTGCGTTGCTGCCTCCCATTGGGCAGGGCCGGTGGGTGGGCAGGAGGAGTGTCTGTTCAGTGTAAGGGAGGTGCCCCCCACAAAGCCCTTCTCTGCTT
Organism: Homo sapiens; assembly: GCF_000001405.40. NCBI lineage: Eukaryota > Metazoa > Chordata > Mammalia > Primates > Hominidae > Homo > Homo sapiens. Next base: position 232,875,680 of record NC_000002.12, on the reverse strand, counting down.
ATAGGGTTGGGAGTTGGCAGGATTTGGGGTACCCAGGGACCAGAGAGCAGAAAGGAGACATTCTCAGTCCCACAGAAAGCACAGGCTGAGACGCCTGCATGATAACCCCCGCCCTGTATCCTCACCAGCCAGCCCACCCCAGTTGTCCTCCCCTGACCACCACTCCAACCCTGGGCCATCCATCCCCGGCAACCAGACAGGATGCCCCAGAAACGCTGGAAAGCTCAACATGGGGATGGTAGGTCGGCTCTTGGCCTCTCCAGCCCAGCCAGACCATCTGACATCACAGTGTTAGCAGGGCAGGCCTGCCCATGTCCTAATCTCTCTCTCTCTCTTTTTGAAACAGAGTCTTGCTCTGTGCCCAGGCTGGAGTGAAGTGGTACAATCTCGGCTCACTGCAGCCTCCGCCTCCCGGGTTCAAGCAAGCGATTCTCCTGCCTCAGCCTGCGGAGTAGCTGGGACTACAGGCACCTGCCACTACACCCAGCTAATTTTTGTATTTTTAGTTGAGACGGGGTTTGCCATGTTGGCCAGGCTGATTTTGAACTCCTGACCTCAGGTGATACACCCGTGTCGGCCTCCCAAAGTGCTGCGATTACAGGTGTGAGCCACTGCGGCCGGCCCCATGCTCTAATCTCAACTGGGATAGAGACTGTGATCCAGGGACACTCGACCCTCAAGCCGGTTCCCTGGATGAGCTTGGGGATGTCCCAACACCTCATCTCTTTGACTCCAGCTACTCTGTGGTGTGGGAACTGCTTTTATCCCCATTTCAGAGACAAGAAAGCCAAGGCTTGGGGATAAGGTGCCGTGGTGGTGAGCACAGGTGGGCTGAAGGCCTTGGACAGTTGCAGGAGCGGTTGTGCTGCCCAGAAACAGTGCAGGGAGGCTGCCGTTCTGTGAACAGACCCTGCCGGCCAGCCGGCGACCCTAGGGCACCTTTTGTCCCTGCGGGTTCCATCCCTGAGCGCTGGGGCAAGAGTCAAGCCAGACACTTGCCCTCCTCATAGGTTCACCAGCACCCAGAGAGGCGGATGCTCGAGAAGACACAGAGGTCCTTCCAGGGTTTTCTGGCCAGTTGTGTCCATCTAGGGCAAACCACGCAGAAACATCAGCCAACCCAGACTCAGGGTCAGTCTTAAAGTAAATGGGCCTTCCCAAATGTCAAAGTTAGGAAAAACAAAGAAAGGCCGAAAGGTTCCAGATCAGAGACTAAGGAGACAGCTCAATGTTCCTGGACGGGGAGGGACAGGCCTGTGATCGGAGACTCAGGTCCGTTGGTGAAGTTTGAACAGGGTGTGGCTTAGGACTGCCTCAGTGCTCACTTCCTGGTTTTGATAGCTGACTCTGGTGTGTTAAGAGAATGTCCTTGTTCTTAGGAAGAATTTAGGGGCAAAGGAACATGACTTCTGCAACTTACTCTCAAATGATTTCAGCATTCAGATAGAGGATTCAGCAATGTAGCAAAATGTTGGCAGTTGGCAAGACTAGGTGGATGGACTCCTGGAGTTCATTGGAGTATTTGTGCAACTTTTCTGTAAACTTCACATCTTTCCACAATAAAATGTTAGCAGGTCCCTGGCTTCTGGGCCTCTCTCAAGCCTGGAGAGGTCAGTTGCAAGGCTCAGCTCTGAGACAGCTTGCTGACCTTTCACCTGACCTGCCACATTCCCCAGGGCTGGCCCAAGGCAGAACCCCTTTCCAGAAAAGACCTCTGGCAGGAGGCCCCATGGGTGGAAGGCCCATTGGCCCCCAACTGGGGGAGGCTTCCCTCCCGAGGGGCCCAAGGCTGCACTGTAGCACTGATGTCTCTCTAGCCTCCCGCAAACCTTGAAGACCACCCTGAGAGGAGGGGAAGTGACCCAGCCAGGCCTCCCATGTCGCAGCCAGAAAGGCAGGGGTCTGCAGCCTTGCAGTCCCCATGGAAGGCCCCAGGCCCCTGGCGTGCTGCCTCAGGCTTCTGGGGGCTGGGCAGGTAAAAGGCCTGAGTGCGCCCACCGCCTGGCAGGCACCAGGGTCTAGGCTCACTGACTGCCTGAACATGTCCAAAGAAATGGACAAATGACACACCCAAGACAGACTGGCAGGTAGGCACCTCCCTGCATCTGGAGGCCGCGGCAGGGCTTCTGGGTACCAGGCCCAGCTGAGCCGGGTGGCATCTGCGGGAATCAGCCGAGGAGTGGCAGGCCTCCAGCCCCTGAGAAGGCAGGGCTCAGTACCCAGGCCAGCCCAGCAGGGGTGAGCTGCCACCCTTGACGGTACCCTCTGAGCAGGGCAGTGGGGAGCCCCACTCAGGCCCTGTCCCCATCTGTCCCCCGTGACCCAGCCTGTCTCTGCTGCGCCCACCACCAGACATACCTGCCCTGGCCTCCTCCCACTGTACACAGCCCCCTCCTGTCCAGCCAGGCCATGAAGCTTTCTAATCAGGAGGGCTGGGGCCTATCCTTGCTCCATGCCCCAATCCACCTTCCTGACCTGTAAGACGGGGGTTCAGACTATGCTGTCAAGCATCTTGCACAAGGAGGTAACTGTGTGAACACCAGCATCTTCAGCTGCTGCGTCTGGCCTGGGGTGCGCCTTTGGACACAAGCCCAGTTGCTATGGGTCTGCAGCCGCTGGCTGCCACAGGAATCCCTCACAGGCTGGCCCAGTACCCATCTGCACCCAAGCGGCCAGGGCCCCAGGAGCCACCAGCTCCCTGCCAACCTAGGCTGGTGCCCAAGTGGCAGACACATAGGCTCGGAATGACAGCCTGCACTCAGCCACCGATCCACCAGGAAAAGGGGTGCCGCTGCCAGGGAGGGGCCGAGGCACTTCTTATCCTCATCTATGTTTCTAGAATTTACTCCAGTAAGAAGGGAAAGCAAAGCTGAGAGGCAATTCCCATCTTCCCCCAAATCCATCCTTCTGGGAAGCTGGGAGCAGAGCAGTTTCCCAGCAGGAGTCCTGTCTGGGGAGGGGGGAGATGGGGCAGGAGCGAAGGTGTGGAGGACGGAACTCACGGCGTGCCAGGCGGACAGTGAATAGGCCAGGGTGACAGAAAGTGAGGTTGGCAAAGAGGTGGGGGCACGGAGGACCCCAAGAAAGTTCCATGGCGGTAATGAGGCCCAGACTCCACTGACCAGAATTAGCCATGTGGTGTGGCTACGCGCTCTGACCCAGGGAAGCAGGGGCTGGTGGCACTGCCACAAGCCTGGGCACCACGGGCTCTCTCCCAGCCCCACTGGCCCCAGCCGCCCTGCCTTTTGGTAAATAAGTGTGTTCTGACCACAGGGCCCTGAGGCCAGGCGCCTCTGCTCACAGACAGCCTTTGTGTGGGCCATGAAGGGCCTTTTCATCCCTGCCCTGGCCTCCTGCCCGCTCAGCCCGGCCTGCTCCCACCTCAGTAGCTGAGGCCACAGGCCCCCAACAGGGAGGGCCTGTGCCTCAGATGGGGCCTGGGCCTCAGCCCACAAGGCCGCTCCTTCCCTTCCTGTCTGCTACAGGACCCCAGCCCACAGAGCCCAGGGCCGTGTACACACCTGTCCAGAGCTCCCAGCCCAGGGGTGGGGTCAAACGCTCTCGCAAGAACAACAGCCAGAACCCCAGAGACTCCGGGGTTGGGAAGGCCTGGTCTGGCCCCTGCGGGGGGCCTGCCTACTCTTGGTAGGACACATGGAGGGAAGTGGGGCAGTGAGGCCAGGTGAGGTCCTGGCTGTCCCCAAGGCATCCTGTGGTGGCAGAGGAAGCCCACCCGCCTACAATGATTAGGGACAGTCTGGCCTGGGAACTCTGGCCGGCAGCCTGGGCCAGGAGGGTCAGCCACACAGGAGTAGGAACCTGGGCAGGAGCCACAGGCAGCCCAGGCCCAGCAGGCAGGAGCCAGGGCCTCCCCTTCGGCCCACACGGACCACCAGGCTGGAGAAGCAGCTTCTTCCCAGTGAGGGGGCTGCAAAGATCACAGCCCCAGGATCCAAGCCATGGAAGATGCCACCTTCCCCTTTAAGTCCCTTCCCCCCATCCTGGGAACACCGCATGGCTCGCCTAGGCTGGCGCCTCTTCCACCACAAGGGAGGCTGGCGCCCTCCCAGCTTGCGGGAGGAAGTAGAGTTCTGTTGAGACCACCCTGTGCCAGGGAGGGGCTCGGACCACAGAATCCACATTCGCGCTAACTGGATGTGGGGCCCATCCCAAAAGCTCCGCACGTCTGAACTCACGAGGCCTCACAGACCCCTGCAAGTGAGGCAGAGCGTGGCTGTGTCACCATCCTACAGATGACGAGAAGGCACAGAGAGGTTAAGAAACCGCCCGGTCAAGACTGAGCACACCCTGGCCTCAAGCTTCTTCCTGGGCGTCCAGGGAGAAGCCAATAGTCTCCGGTGCTCCTCGCTGTCACCCAGACCTCCCAGGGTGTGGCCGAGGGGGCCTCCCCAGGCCTGTCGTCCCCCAGAAGCTCTCCCCAGGCCATGCTCTCATGACTGCGGTCCACCTTTCTCACAGATCCACGGGCGCCCTCCAGAAGACCCAGGCTGCAGGGTCCCTGAACCCCGCTACTGTGACACAGAAGCCAGCTGCCCTTTGGTCCAACTCCCGGCCAAAAGGAGCAAAGACCACCTGTAACCCGTCTGCGCCCTTTGTCTCTCAGGCTCTGAAGCCAGCCTGGGCCAGTCTTCCCCTCTCCACAGGGCCCTTGGGAGCCTGCCAGAGGCCTCCCTCTCGTGGGACCCCAGACTCCGCCACTCTGATCTCAGTCCAGAGGTCCACACCGTTTTGCAGAGGGATCTTGGGCCTTGTATTCTCTCCCTCTCTGGAGCCTTTTCCCAGATGGGGACAGTACCTGGGTCCTCATTCTCTAAGGACGTCGCAGAAACCAGCAGGGAAGCTTTTCAAAGTAATCAGCAAGGCTCTGCACTCCTCTGGCCCCTCAGCTGCTTGTCCTGTGCCTGGTGCCCCAGCTGCCTCCCAGACCTGGGAGACTTCAGATTTTAAAGTGCTAGAGCAATACCCATGTCCCCCTCAACAGCAAAACATCCCTGGGCCTGCCCCCCAAGTTGTCCTCCTTCTCCAGAGGCCATTATCCCTCCTGCTAACAATTTCCTGAGACGTCCATCCCACACAGCTGCTGCCAGCCGGCCTCACAAGAGCTCTTCGCAGAATCACCCCAAATAGTCATCCCATCTCCTGTGAGAGGGCTTCCTCCCCAGTGAACGTTGAAGAATCTGGCCCCAAGGTAGTTATCGGCCCTGGGAGGCTAGTGGTGGCTGAGACAAGGGCCTTCACCTCTTACCTGTGAGCACCGCAGGGGCCAGAACCCCGGAGACCAGCAGCAGCGCCATGCGCAGGGCCAGACAGGATGCCATCCTGGCCGGGAGTGAGGGCAGCGGCGGGCGGGACGCACGGAGGACTGCGCTGGTTAACTTCAGGGCAGTGAGAAAGAGGCATCAAAGGGCTGGGAAGGGTTTTCATCAATGCAAACTCTGTCCTCCTGGGACATCGTGCCCGCACCTCCCCACCCCCCCGCTCCCCCCACCAACACACACACACAAGAGCTCACAGAACAGACCTGCTTTCCTGAACCTGGGAGCAGCCCCGCTCTTGGAGAGGGAAAGAGGAAATTGCCTGTGCTCTCTCTCTTTCTCCACCCCGCAACACACACACACCTCCCACATTTACTCCTGGACCACTGAAAATGAAAGGTTTTCAAGCTTTCTTGTGCAAAAGAATCACCCAGGGAACTTGAAACATGCTGCTGCCTCTGGCCACTGTGTTTCAGTGGGGCTTGGGTAGCCCAGGGAATCTGCATGTTAGTGCCTGTGGCCTGGGCTTGGGGAAATTTGGCCTGAAGCAGGCAGCACTGAGTGCAGGACGGACTCTGCTCACCTCTGGGTTCTCCATGCCTGGCCCGGAGTAGGTGCTCAGTGCTTGTTGAAGAAGGACTTTTAAAGCAGTTTTGATCCAAACCCTCAGGCAGCTCTAGTCTTTCCTAAAACGCTCCTGTTTCCTCTTTCGCTCTCTGCCTCCCTAGACCCCTGTGCACTTATGACATCCATTTCCAGGCTGGGCCTGGCTCAGAACTTAGCCCCACTGCCCACTGCTTCTCAACAGCCCCGCAGGGTATCTCACGAGCGGCTACAACTTACAGTGTCCAAAGCAAACCTTGACTCTACTGCCCCTTCCCTCACTCAGTCAGTGGAATCCCAGTTCCCCGCTCCCAGATGTTCTAGCCACACAATGAAGTCATCAAAGGTGTCTCTTTCCCTCACTTCCCACGTCTGAGCCCTCAGAGTTCTGTCAGCGCCCCCTACTTCACACCTTGATGGTTTCCCACCGCGCTAAGGGCTTGCCTCGGCCCTGCTCAGCTTCCCACCCACGAGCTCTATGTTTCAGTCCACTGGCCGTGACTAGGCTCCCCCAACAAACCCCCAGATCCTGCCTCAGGCCTTTGCATGTTCCCCTCTCCTCCCAGAAGGCAGTCCTGTGGTGATTATGTGGCCACCCCTTCCATTCAAGCCTCAGCTTGATAAGTCAGCCCCTCAATCCCCCCATCACTTCAAATTTCTTTTTAGCATGCGTATTTATATGAAATTACCTTGTACCTACCCTAACAACTTCTCCTTGCCTCCATATCCATAACTAGAATCAGGTATCAGCATTCCTAGGGAGAGCAAGCACAAAGTCTGACTTAGGAGGAAATAAGCACAAACTAAAAACTACTGTTAATTTATGCTAGCAATAAATTAGTATCAAGTTAGTAAGATACGAATTTTGCTAATTTATATTAATAGAAACATGGTGTGGGAATGAATTCTAAGGTGTCAGACTAAATAGGCAAGATGTGAGTATGACATTAGATCCGGCCACATTCTAGACAGGGGTGTGCTTAGTGAAGTCTGAATTTAATGTTTCAACCTAAGCATCTAGGAGCAGCTCTGTTTGGCTGGCTGACCAAAACCTAGGCTCAGTAAAAGCCTGGATGCTATGAGATTGAGAAGCCTAACTTAATGAAGAAGGGGATACCAATGGCTTAGTAAGAAAGGAATGTTGGGGTGGATTTATCTTTGGCGACCACACTAAGTTCTCAGTAGGTCCCATAGTACACACTATTCACCAAGACACTGCGAGATGCATTAGTGAAGACCGGCAACTTTAAAAAGATAGGTTGTGGCTGTTTTTTGTAGGCCAGAGTTGATGATGGGATCACTGATTTCAGAGGAAATAATGTGATTCTAAAGTAGCAGAGGCCAAGCGGCAGCAGAGGCCGGGTGGACGCCAACCCTGCCATGGATGGTGAAGATGAAATGACCTGGCCAGGTGCGGTGGCTCCCGCCTGTAATCCCAGCACTTTGGGAGGCTGGGGCAGGCGGATCACTTGAGGTCAGGAGTTCAAGACCAGCCTGACCAACATGGCGAAAACCCATCTCCAATAAAAATATGAAAATTAGCCAGGCATGGTGGTGCACACCTGTAGTCCCAGCTACTTGGAAGGCTGAGGCACAAGAATTGCTTGAGCTTGGGAGGTGGAGGATGCATCTCAAAAAAAAAAAAAAAAAAGATGAAATGACCCATCAGAATGTTTTGATCCCTAGGAATAAAACAGCCAGCCAGTCTACTAATGTATTACTTGATATACAAAAATGAACAGGTGAGCAGAAATCTGTATTTACTATAATGGAGCATCAAGGTTCTCACTTGGTTCCCAGAACCAAAATCTCTTGATAGAGAGGGAGGCAATTTATCTTTAAGGAAGGACCCTGCAAGATGGCCACAAGTACAGACAATGAATCTTCTTCCAAATCTTCCTCAAAGGTTTAGGCAGTCGTGGACCAGAATAGCTGGGCACTGGCGGAAAGGAGATGCATTTGTATTTCAGGGATCACTAGACTTTGGCTTTTTGCTGACACTCATCTTTGGATATTCAAAATGTCACTGTGTTTACCAAAGTGAAAGTGTATGGAAGTCAAGTGACATATGGATGATAGGGAGGGAGGCAGGCTGCCCAGGGGCAGCAGTGGGCTGAGAACCCACCCTGGGGAGGCAGGACGAGGCAGGCGTGAGCCAAGGCTGCAAGCTGCTGCTGCGTGCTCCACTATTCCATCAGACTTTACTTATAAAACTCAAATTTCAAAGATAAAATTAAGAATTTCAAGACAATGAATTGTATTTCAAATGATTATTATAACCATGCTAAAGGTAGAAAAAAATACTTAGACCAGACAAAAAGTCTAAAATTACAGATAGCTGCAATGAATAATACTATACATATGTATTTTTATAATGTTGGAGTGTCTTTAAGCAAGTATAGAACTCTACTTGGAAAACTTGTCTCTAGTTAGAGCTAACACATATAGAACTCTAGTTTAGAAAGCTTGTCTCTCTTGGTATGGGTTAGCAATTCTGTAACCACTTTGGTATATCCTAGGATTTAGCAAATAAGGAAATACTGAGGATTATGGAAGTGCACAGTAGTACTAGTCATTCGACAGACAGGTGATTCCCCAACAAAAACACCAAGGAAGTGTGAAGCTATTTTTTAGAAATAAACCCAATTTATGGCTCATTTTCACAAGTTTTAGTACCTAGGTTAAATTTTCCAAAGGGTGTTCAGGCTTGGCTGGGCACTGTGGCTCACGCCTGTAATCCCAACACTTTGGGAGGCCGAGATGGGAGGATCACTTGAGGTAACGAGTTCGAGACCAGCCTGGTCAACATGATGAAACCCCATCTCTACTGAATGTGAGAGACATGGTGAAACCCTGTCTCTACTAAACATACAAACATTTTTATAATGTCTTTATAATAGTCTCTACTAAAAATATAAAAATTATCCAGGCATAGGGGTGGGTGCCTATAATCCCAGTTACTCAGGAGGCTGAGGCAGGAGAATTGTTTGAACCTGGGAGGCAGAGGTTGCAGTGAGCTGAGATCGCACCACTGCACTCCAGCCTGGGTGGCAGAACAAGACTCCACATCAAAACAAAAACAAAACTCACTTTTTTTTTCAAAGGGTGTTCAGACCTTTGTGCATGTGTGTCCCAAACTTGAACCTAATAGGCGTGCAAACAGAAAATTAATCTCATAAGCTGTGGTGAAAAATACCATAGAATTTCCTCTAATTTAACTTACTAAAAACTTAGATTCTTGGTAAATACTAAAAATTTTCTCAAAACCTATCAGTTATTCAGCAAGTAGTTATTGAGTGCAGGTCCACAAAACATGCCAAGCAATACACAGCTACACAGCTACCAAAAGAAGGGTGTAGTCCTTGGCCAAAGTGAATATATCCTACGAAACGAATTTAACAATGGAAACTGCTGGGAGCTATCTGCGTTTGGGTTTCCCTAAGGCAGACCTTAAGACAAAGACCTGGGCACAGAGAACTTATATAGGTGGGGCCAGTAAGACAACAGGGATAAAGCCAATAAAGTTTGTGTTAATGAGCAAAAGCAAAAACACTGAAGGTAAGGGAGTGTGAGGTTTCTCCCTGCTTAAGGGAATTGCAAATATGAAAAGGAGAGATTAGAATGAATCCTATGGCATTTGTACTGGAATTGCAGATCTCAGCATGAATACACAGATAGGTGTAGATACACAAGCGTTTCTGTACCTATACACATACATAAACACCCTTACTGTGGACAGTCTAGAAGCAGTGATACCACACTAGCAATGAGCCCATCCAGTGGCCAGGTTTTGGTTTTTAGATACCATTCCCCACTAAAAGGAGACAGTGCTCTTTGGAGAAATGACTAATTCCACATATGATAAAGGAAAAGTAGATGATGGGCCTAGAATTTCTGGTGCCAAAGTGAAAAAGTGCTCAAAGAATGATGGGAATATGGCAAAAGGACAGAGAAGCCAGTTCTAAATGGACAATTTGTGCATGAAAAATACCAACAGATTGTGGCTAATATATAGAGGGTATGCATGTGTGCGTGTATGAGAAGCTCTTCCTGGCCGGGCACGGTGGCTCATGCCTGTAATCCCAGCACTTTGGGAGGCTGAGGTGGGTGGATCACTTGAAGTCAGGGGTTCAAGACCAGCCTGGCCAACATGGCAAAACACTATCTTTGAATCGCCTGAACCTGAGAGCAGAGGCTGCAGTGAGCTGAAATTTCCTCCAGCCTGGACAACAGAGCAAGACTCTGTCTCAAAAAAAAAAAAAAAAAAAGTATTCCTTATAGTAGAAGGTTGACTAATCAATGTAAAAGTAATGCTTGCAAGCACCTTGGTAAATGTTCAATTAAGAATCATCAATGGATAAAAGTTTGATGAAGAAATGTAGTTTCAACAGTGTCTCCCATAAAGACAAACATCGTTACTTTACAGTAGAGACATCTGGCAGACACCACCTAAACTAAGTAAACATCACCAGTATGGCTCAAATGGACTTCATATGTCTCCTGATGTGATGAACTAAGGACATAACATCACTCTGTAGTATTCCTGTCAAAATTGCATAATCACAAGCAAATCATGAGAAAATATCAGACAAATCCAAATGGAGGACATTCTAAAAAACAATTGCCCTCCACTCTAAAAAAAATGTTAAGGTGCAAAAGATTAAGACAGACTGAGGACCTGTTCCAGATTAAAGGAGACTCAAAAACATGACAACTAAACACAAAAAGTGATCATGAATGACATCCGGTGCCTTTTTGCTTTTATTAAAAATATTAGTGGCCTGGGTGCAGTGGCTCATGCCTATAATCCCAACACTTTGGGAGGCCAAGGTGTGAGAACTGCTTGAGGCCAGGAATTCGAGACCAACCTGGGCAACATGGTGAGACTCTGTCCCTACCAAAAATAGTAATAATTAGTTGGGTATGGTGGCATGTGCCCATAGTCCCAACTACTCAAGAGGCTGAGGCGAGGATGGCTGGAGCCCAGGAGTTCAAGGCTGCAATAAGCTATGATCAGGCCACTGCACTCCAGCTTGGGTGACAGATTGAGACCTTGTTTAAAAAAAAAATAATTAGTGGAACCATTGATGAAATATGAATGAAGCTTGGCTATTAACAGTATTGTATTGTTAATTTCCTAATTTTGATAACTGTATTGTGGTATATGGGAGCATGTCCTCATTTTGAGGAAACACACCAGGGTTCAGGAAAAAGGGACATGATGTATGCAACTTAGTCACAAATGGTTTACATTAAAAAAAAACTTATCATGAGATTATAGTTATTGAGAGAAAATAAAGCAGGTATGGTCCAATGTTAACTAAAGAACTTGGGTGAAGGTTATGTGCAAGTCCTTTGTACTGTTCTTGCAACTTAAAGTCAAATTATTTCAAAATAAAAGTAACCCTCCCCACCAAAAATCACAAATTTTCAACTAATTATATATCTAGGCAATTGTCATCAAGGAATGTTAAAACTGCTACATGTAAGAGCAAGAGGACTTTTATAATGGATGAATCAACCTGATAGCAACAGAACTGATGAATTGTGACATCAGTGAAACTGGAACAACCAGACAATACAGTGTGACTGTGATACAGCGGGAAGGACACCATGCCACCAGCAAAGGATTCCTGTGAGGGGTGGGGAAGGGAGAACCTGGTTTTAGTCAAGCCTGTAGATCTAATTCACAGAAAACATGGCGAGGTGGGGGGGGGATGAAGAAATTGACACCATTAAGACACTTCTTGCTAAATCCAGAGAATGTGGAATGTTCCATCAATAAATGATACAGTTTTTCAACTTTTTCTCTTTTTTGTAGGGAGAACTGTTAAGACTAAAGGAGACTTAAAGCATATCAACCAAATGCAATGAACATTGTTTTGATTTTCAAACTTTGTAAAAAGACACCTTTGAGACAATCTGAGAAAGTCATCTATGGACCTGATGTGTTGTTAATGTGACAAGGCATTGTGGGTTTTTCTTTTTCTAAGATGTCCTCTTTTATCATATATATTAAAATATTTATGAGTGACGTCATATCTAGGATTTGGTTTAAAATATTCTAAGAGAACAAAGTGGGATAAATACAACAAAATGGGCAAAATGTCAATAATTGTTGAAGCCAGGTTATATTAGGTAGGAGTCTGTTACATTAGTCTACTTCTATGTATGTTTGATTCTTTTTTATTTTTATTTTTATTATTTATTTATTTATTTATTTTAGCTTTCACATTTTCCATCACTCCCTAGAACATTTTCATTAAAAAGAAAAACTGGCCTTGGGAAAAAACTAATTGAAGATGACCACAACCCAGGGACCTCAGGACTGCTAATGACTCAGAGCGCTCACAAATGAAGGTTCAGGCCACCCAACAGATGAGGGGCTGGCAAAGGGGGAGTGGAACTTAGTAAAGGCTTTAAGCCAACACCCTCCACAACCAGGGACAGAAACAAGAACCGTGGCAGCGATGTGCATTTTATTCCTTCTTATATATACATACACGTTTGCAGATACGAACCAACTTTTCTCTACTTTCCCCTACTAATTTACATAAATACAATGTATTCCTTAAGATATCTAATAGTTAGGTGAGACTGAACTTGAAGTTAGTATCACCTAAAAATGGACTTAACAACTGATAGATGGGACGAGGGGACACAGTGTTAGTGGTTTCCCTACAGTTATTAACTAACCTTTCAGTAACTTTCCCCCATGTTGCTCCCAACACTTCAAACACCAATTCTTTTTCTTTTTCACGTTCATCTAGGGTGGTTTCTGTTTCACAACAGGACCCCGACCTGCTTAAGGCTCCATTTCATGTTACCAAAGTCAGAAAATCCAGGCAGATGACTGTCCCCCTAAGCAAGGCACACCAAGCTTGCCTTTCAACTTGGGTCTCCTTCAGTAAAGCTGCAAAGAGTTACTCGTCACACACCATCAAGAAGCCAAATGTCAGCAGTTTACTGCAGCACACATGCCTCACACTCACACACATACACTAGGCCGCTGGAGCTGAAATCTCAGAGCTAGGCTAGGCTGGTGGGTCCCCACTGAGGCTGTCCATTAAGAACTCTGGGGAATTTGAAAATAATTTCCAATGCACGGTCCCACCCCAGATTACAGACTCTGGGACATGGAGCTAAGGGATTGATTTTTGTTCCAAGTTCTTTAGGTGATCTGGGCCAACCACCTCATCTAACAGACAATGAAACTGAGGACCAGAGACATGACAGAAAAAACTGGTTAATAATAATGAGGCTAGTACTTACGTGCAGCCTCCTGAAACCCATACCACATTGCCTAAGGGTTACTTCTTTGCACTAATTATAAGACATCTAAGAAGGTGTTTACTCTGATTTCATATGCTCTACTGCATCTACGTATGTGCCCACGAATGCCCTTCTCACTTGCAAAATGGCCTAGAAGTAGTATTTGTCGCCGGGCCTGGTGGCTCATGCCTGTAATCCCAGCACTCTGGGAGGACAAAGCAGGCATATCACCTGAGGTTGGGAGTTCAAGACCAGCCTGGCCAACATGGTGAAACACCGTCTCTACTAAAAATACAAAAATTAGCCGGGCGTGGTGGCACATGCCTGTAATCCCAGCTACTCATGAGGCTGAGGCAGGAGAATGGCTTGAACCCGGGAGGCGGAGGTTGCAGTGAGCCGAGATCGTGCCAGTGCACTCCAGCCTGGGCGACAGAGCAAAACTCTGTCTCAAAACAAAACAAAAAACACAACAAAATAACAAACCCCAGATTCTATGTAGAATTAGGAAATAAAATACACAGTAAGGCTGGGTCACTGACACCTGCTCTGGGTCCCTAGCTCTGCACAGCAACAGAAACCAGAGCTTGCTGAGTCCCCCCATTGGGAAAGCCTGAGATCCTCAGTCCACAGGCAAAACTAGGGTACCCACGAGGACTCTTTTCCCATGATCAGTGTGCACAAACCATCCCACGTTTCCCACTTTAAAACAGAAGACTGCAGAGGATGTGGTAGAGACTGCAACTGCCAATGTAGCATCCGTTTTCCCAATTTCTCAGTAACAGGATCCCAATGACATTTGGGGATGATAGCACTCAACTAAAATCCCAAAGCTTCCACAACTAACTGTAGTTATGTATCTACATTCTGGCTGGTAAGACTTAAGATGTTGGATAGCGCTCCCCAAAAAGCTCCTTAAACAGGGCTGAGTAGGAAGGTGTGCTGTTTGCCTCACCCCACTCCTTCCTCCTGCCTGGAATATAGGCATGATGGCTGGTGCTGTAACAGTCACCTTGGATCACGAGTCAGAAGAAAGCCACAATCAGGATGCTGAAACAGAATCTGGGTCCGTGGGCCACCCCACAAGCTTTGGACCTACGACCTATTTCACTTGAAAATAAGTGATTTTATTGTCACTGTTGACTTTGTATTTTGTCAGATGCAACCAAACCCAATACCGACCCACTGACCATTCCCAGGAGCATTTCTCATGCTAAAGGAGAAATTCAAATAAAAAGGCAATTTGCTGCCAAGGGAAACTAACCTTCCACTCCTACAATTGGGGGACAAGTAAACAGTCTTTAAGAGGTGATGTCTCTGCTTGTTATATCAGCTGGATTGAACCAAGTGTGGAGGTGATCATGAATTCCATCCCCATGATGTCATCGCTTTGGCAGCAATGAAAGGGAACGCAATGACAACTTTTAGGTCGAAGATCAGCTGTTAGGTAAAGAGCCCACTTCTTCCTTGCCAGCATCTATATGCTGTTTCTCCCATGTGGTGCCCCACTGCTATGGTTGACACTTTTGTTGCAAAACATTCCCACTGATTAATTCTTTGGAGGGAAACTGTCCTCTTGAAGGTTTTAGGTTCCCAGTCCAAAACCAGCACTACCAAAAGCTATACGTGTCCATCGTTCTCAGGCAACACCTGCAAATAACTATCACGCATCTGGCTGCTTCAAGGTTCCCAGACTCTCCAGAGTCTTAGAAAGCATTGCAGCTTCCTCACCAGAGACTGAACTCACGCAGGACCAAAGGCACCCTTCATAGCTGGGCTTTTGTTGTTCTAAGAAACTCATTAACTATAAGGCCAACTTCCATTTGGAATGTGCTCTGATTGTACTTTACTCTCTGTAGAATGCGCTTGCCTGCTACTCTGTTGAAAATGATCTACGTCACATATTGGAAGGACAGTACAGAATATGTTCATTTCAAAGAATCACTTCTGTTTAATTAGAGTCATTCACATACTTTTATTAATAATGCACAGTTGGGCATTTTATACAAAATTACCAATTTTGTTATCAGTCAATTTTAAAGTAGGGTGCAATATATATACGTATATAACATATATGTATATATTATATATATATTGAAAATGTAAAACATATACTTTTATATACATATTTGTATATATAAAAATATATGCATGTATAAATACAATGGTTTCCCTAAAAAAATTATTTAAATAAAGCCAGAAGTACCATTATCTATCCTAAAATTTAAAAAAAACAAGCTGGGTGCACTGGCACATAGCTGTAGTCCCAGCTACTTGGGAGGCTGAGGCAACAGGATCACTTGAGCCCAGGGGTTTGAGACCAGCCTGGGCAACATAGTAAGAACCCATCTCCAATACAAAAACAAAAACAAAAACCCTCAACTTAAAGCCAATGAAAATAAAGTCCTTCATGTATGCATAAACTCATTTTATGCAGATATTTCCCAAAAATGGCTATAATATCTCCCACCCCACAAGCTCTTCTCCAATGTGACCTTGTCACTCCTTTCATCAAGGCGGGGGGGGAGGGGGTTGCAGGGAGAGGGCCATGCTCCCTTCTCTTGAATCTGAGTGGGTTTGTGACTACTTTGATGCAACACAGTGTCACAGAAGTGACTCTATGTGACTCCTGAGCTAAGAGCTCAAAAAGGTAACACAGCTTCTGCCTGGTTCTCTGGGGGAAGCCAATCACCACTTAAGTTCAACTCCTCTGAAGCTGCCATTCCGGAGACGACACACATAAGCTCCTCCAGTCATCAACCCAGCTGAGTTCCCAGCCTACAGCCAACGTCAACTGTCATTACACGAGTGAGCCATCTTGGACAGCTTGCCTAATTCATTAAGCCTTCATAGGAATGATGCCCTGGAAGACATCTGACCACAACCAAAGAATACCCCAGGAGAACCACCACCCAGCTGAGCCCTATCCAAATTCCTGACCCACAGAATGAAGTAGCTGTTGTAAGCCAATCTGGAGGGAATCTGTTATGCACAGCAGCCACCAGCACACCAATCTGCTTGGGGACAGTCTCCATAATCAAACTGTCTTGTCTGGGATGTTTTTAAATCTCTGAATTTAAACAAATCAACCAACAAAACTGGAGCTGGGCATGGTGGCACACACCTGTAGTCCTAGATATTTAGGAGGCTGAGGCGGGAGGATCACTTGAGCCCAGGGGCTCGAGACCAGTGTGGGCAACATCACAAGACCCTATCTCCAAAAAAGCCAACCAAACAAAAAACCGGAAGCAGAGAGGGTACAAAACAAATACTTCAAAACTCAGGAATAGTTAGGAGAATTTGGAAATAAGTTCATAGAATGGGATGAGAAAACGGTGGCTCTAAGTGAAAGGGTGAGCAAATGAGAATATGAAAGAGAGTAGCATTGAGAGAGACAGAAACAAACATTCCCAGGGAAGAGTGTTTCTTTCTACTAAGTGGGAAATTCCTCAGATAGAAGCAAGTCTCCTTGGTTAAGCAAATGGATGTTCCATGACCAAAATGACTTTGTTCCCCCTAATCTGCCCATTCCACTCCCAATTTTTAAAAATTTATTTTCATTTTTCCTGAATACACACACAGAGTCTAGTTGGGAAGGTGTGGGCAAGCTCTGGAGGGGTGTGTTCAGAGTGGGTGTGTCTGCGGTATGAGGGCAGGAGCTGATCCACATGTTAGCAGAAAGGGAGAGTCAAAAAGAGAAAAGATATTTGGTCAAACTTACCGACATCTGCCTTGACCTCTACATTCTCAAATACAGAACCAGCCAGTGCTACGTGGTCTGGCAGAGAAAGAAGCCATGGCTGCCTCCATGTCTTGGGTGCTTGGAGCTTTTCCATGGTACCAAGAGGAACAGTTTAGTGCAGAACTCAGCCTCCATAAAGGTGAGTACAAGAGGTGCACTCAGATAGAATACAATCAGATTTTATTTAAGTTCTTTTTTATTTTCCTCCACACTGGCAAAAGTTCCGAGGGAGCCTAAAGTTTTGTAAACATTTTAACTATCCCTCTTACCCACCCCCAACTTTTGAATTTACAAAGCAAAGGAGAGTAGGAGCCCCAACTTTTAATGGTTTCCTCTCCCCTCATGCTATTTGATCCAAAAACTATATACAATTTTGTAGCAGTCTCTGTATAGTTATTACACATGTTTAGAAGGGAGGGAGGCAAGAAGGGATAGGGAGAATGGTGATCCAAAATAATAAAAATAGAAGCCAAATATAATACTCCAAACCCAAACTGCTCTCAGAGCAACTCCAGCCTTCTTCAGGCAACAATGACAGGCAGCAAAGGTGCTTTTCCAGGGGCTGCCCAGACCACAGCACCTCTCGCACAGGCACAGCTGCCCAATGACTCCAACCCAGTGTGAGTGGCAATTCCAGGTGATGTTCTGTAGGGGTTTGGTGGAGGCAGGAAAAGTATTTGTTTATAAATAGGGCTTGAGTACATTTCTACTTGAAGTTTAAGGTTTTAGGAGGCCATGACCAGAAGCCAGGCCAGGCTTCCTGCTCCCATTTTCGCCCATCCCCTCCAGCCCACTGCATCCTCCTGTATAGTAGATTCCATGGATGAAGGTCTTAAAGATGGACAGGTTCTGTATGTTCTCTTTTCAGAAAAGGCAAACAACTTGCCATCCCAGAATCTTTACACAAAACCTTTTCCGGGCTACAGCAAGACACACACGCAATGCTCTGAGGACCAGATGAAATTCCAGGCTTTTATCAGAAGCAAAAGTTTATCCCTATCCAAAAATGAAATTATACAAATTCATACATATGGTAAAGATTCTAGCTGCCTCTTAAACGAGACAAATTTTCAGCAGAAGGGCCCAAAACAAAATGGTCCTAGTCCTCTGAAGTAAAAATATTTATGGGAAAAATCAGTTTTTGTAAGAAAGAAAAATTAAGAATAGTCTCTCTCCCAGGCCATAGAGCTTCCTTTGTCCAATCAGGTTGGAGCATGCCAGGGGAGATCAGCTTGCTCAGAAGTCACTATCTAACGAAGAAAAACATAAATCCTTTCAGAGAAAGGACACTCAGAAAGAACAGGTGAGGAGTGTGTAACATCAAACCAAACCAACCTCATCTCAACCCCACTCAGGGCCTCTCTGATGCAATCCCAAAGTTAGCAGTGGCAATGCAACTTTCAGACCGGGAGAGCTCTGACTGCCTGTTGGATACTCGAGTCACAGTCCATGGGGTGTTTTGTTATTGGCCAATGTCTGTTAACCATTAACTCTCTTCATGATTGCACCAGTTAGACCATTTGCCCTGATGGGGGGAAAAAGAAGAAGAAAAAACAAAATAGAAGAAAAAAAGTGACAAGAGAAAGCAAGCTGCTAATGGCCGATCCCAACACACTTTCTGGGAGACAGTAGATGAAATCACAGCACAGTGAACACATGCTGCCTAAAATCAGCCTTGTTGGGGAGTAATCCCAACTGCCACCCCCAAGACACAGGGTCCAGTCCACTTATCTATAGTCTGAGATGTTCACCAACAAAAATGGATTAAAGAATCTTGGACACAAAGGGCCAGAAGAAAAAGCCTGAGATGATCGGTTCTGTGATTTGTTGCAGAGTGATAAAGAGTAAATGGTGAGTAAGTGTTGTGTCCAAAGGTGGAGACTCCATAGTCGGCAGACAGGAGAGGGATGGCCAGTCCACTGGCAGGTGCTCAGTAGTCATCCAACGTCTCGATTTCACCCATGTTGAGTCGCTCCGATGATGCATTGACTGAAAATCCTGCAGAAAAAAAACTGGCTATGAGTGACCACACCCAGGCAACCAAGCGGCTCAAATTCTAGGCGGTGAGCTGGAATGTAAGTCTGTGTTTGTTTGTTTGTGAGACAGGGTTTCACTCTGTCACCCAGGCTGGAGTGCAGTGGCGTGATCTCGGCTCACAGCAAGCTCCACCTCCTGGGTTCAAGAGATTCTCATGCCGTAGACTCCCAAGTAGCTGGATTACAGACACATGCCACCATGCCCGTCTCATTTTTTTTGTATTTTTAGTAGAGATAGGGTTTCACCATGTTGGCCAGTCTGGTCTTGAACTCCTGACCTCAAATGATCCGCCCGCCTCGGCCTCCCAAATTGCTGGGATTACAGGCGTCAGCCAACGTGCCTGGCCAGTCTTTTGTTTTTGAGCATACCATAGAAGTATTACAGGGAGACAAAGATAAAGGTCACAGCAGTAGCTTTCTGTTCTTCCAATGAGAGAGATTTTTTATTTTCTTAAGGTTCTGATATAACCTAATTAGGAAGGAAAATAAAACAAAATAGCATCACCAATTAAAAAGAACTGCAGGCCGGGTGTGGTGGCTCATGCCTTAATCTCAGCACTTTGGGAGGCCAAGGCAGGCGGATCATGAGGTCAGGATATCGAGACCATCCTGGCTAACATAGTGAAACCTCGTCTCTACTAAAAATACAAAAAAACATTAGCTAGGTGTGGTGGTGGGCACCTGTAGTCCCAGCTACTCGGGAGGCTGAGGCAGAAGAATTGCTTGAACCTGGTCGAAGGAGCTTGCAGTGAGCCG
The DNA here is from genome assembly GCF_000001405.40 of Homo sapiens. Lineage (NCBI taxonomy): Eukaryota > Metazoa > Chordata > Mammalia > Primates > Hominidae > Homo > Homo sapiens. Next base: position 232,855,998 of record NC_000002.12, on the reverse strand, counting down.
AGATCGCGCCACTGCACTCCAGCCTGGGTGACAGAGCGAGACTCTGTCTCAAAAAAAAAACAAAACAAAAAAACCCCCTGCAAACCACTGCTTCAGAGAATCAGAGAAAAGAATGGGATGTGAGTGTGTATCAAGGACAGGCTGGGCTGGCCCTGGAGGAAAGTTCATGCAGGAGGTCTACCTTAAAAGAGATGGGGGTGGGCAGGGGGGTTACCATGGAGGGTTGTATACACTAAGTTCTTTGTAACTACTTGACCACATAACTTTGAAATCTGAGTGGGATTAATACCCCTTTAAACCTCAACCCACTTTAATGGGAATACTTCTTCCCACCAGTCAAAAACTTTATGAAAGTTCTGGCCCAGAGCTTTTGATACTCAGGGTAAGAGGCTCCATGGAAGACACACTATTAAGATCCTTAGAGTCCTCGCATATTCTCTTTCCCACAGTAGACAGAGCAAGAAGATTAAAGTACTCTAACTCGATCTACTGTAAATATATCTGCAAAGGAAAAGATTTCAGTTAGCAATGTTTGATTAACCAAAAGGGAATTTGGCTTAGAAAAAGCAGTACTAGCATACCCATTGAAGGCAATAAGCAGTACTCACAAACACAACTGACAGCTGAAAACCTAATGCTGGCTGGGCACACTGGAGGCCGAGGTGGGTGGATTACTTGAGGCCAGGAGTTAGAGACCAGACTGGCCAACATGGCAAAAACCTGTCGCTACTCAAAATACAAAACATTAGCTGGGCGTGGCGCTGCACGCCTGTAATCCCAGCTACTCGGGAAGCTGAGGCACAAGAATTGCTTGAACCCAGGAGGCAGAGATTTTAGTGAGCTGAGATAACATCACTGCACTCCAGCCTGGGCAACAGAGTGAGACCTTGTCTCAAAAAAAAAAAAAAAAAAAAAAAAGAAAGAAAAAGAAAAAAAGAAAACCTAATGCCGAATGCCCAATGGTCACATGTATGTAATTTTTCCAAAACTTCTATAATTGGAGGTTGATAAAAATGATGAACAATGCCTCTTTAAACTGAGTGACTCCCCAAAAATGTTCCAGTTCTTCTACCTTGAATAAAATCCCAAACTGTTTTAGTTATTTGAATACCAAAAAGTAAACAGGCAATGTCCTTATTCTAAAAGCAGTTCTGTTAATATTAGCTGGGTTTTCTGCAGCCTCTTGTTTTTTCATGTTCAAGTTTTCAAATAAATACACATTTGAAATGTAACAGTAATAAACAAAAATGCCTTACATAAAATACCTTAATTAACTGACTCAAAAATATCATGATTCAAAAAAATAAACATGCCTATTTATTAACCAAAAAAGCTGTGGTACCAACTGCTTACAAGACCAAATATAGGGAGAGGCTAGGATTCCAAACCCCATCCTGAGTTTGACCCCATCAACTGTGTTCCAATAACCCACAAGTCTTTTTCTTCCCCCTTGAAAATAGTGACAGCCTTAGTGTTTATATATATATACATATATATGTATTTTTAAAGACAAGGTCTCACTCTGTCGCCCAGGCTGGAGTGCAGTGGTGTGATCTTGGCTCACTGCAACTTCCACCTCCCAGGCTGAAGCGATCCTCCCACCTCAGCCTCCCCAGTAGCTGGGACTATAAGCGGGTGCCACCACACCCAAGTAATTCTTGTAATTTTTGTAGAGACAAGGTTTTGGCATGTAGCCCAGGCTGGTCCCCAACTCCTGGATTCAAGCAATCCGCCCACGCTGGCCTCCCAAAGTGCTGGGATTACAGTCATGAGTCACCGTGCCTGACCCTAATGTTTATGTTTTTAAAGTAACAGTTAATTAGGCAAGTACAAGAACCTAAAGGCCAGTCTATGAAATAAAATACTACTTTATTCTGAGGCAGATTTTTCATTGACTTCACGTGTATCTTAAGAACAGATAAAATGTGATAAAAGGCAATAATGAACTATATGCAAAAGAAGTGGAAGTGTAATTTAAAAGCTAAATTAATTTTACTCATGCAAAGACAGGAAGGGAAAAGTCTGTGGCCAAAAAAAGTTGATTAATATGTTAATTATCAGTCTAGGCTTTTAGCAAACAGACATATTCTCATTTAACTGTCATTTAAAAAACCAGCAAGGTATGCATTCATCCTTTGGCTGAATGCCATTCTTTATCAAATTCAGCCATTTGATGTAAGGGAAAGTTCTGGGTACTGTGAAACCCAAGGCAACACAAACACGGATTCAATCCACTATGCCTGGCTCTAAAGATGACATTCTGTGAGGTTCAGAGCATAGTCTCACTCACATGAGTTCTTTAAGATTTGTGAGGTTGTTCTTACAAGGAAAGTCTGGGGAGAAACTGTATTGTGTGTTTATCACATCTGAGTGCAGGTTGCTGATTCACAATGACCACCTGAAGAGCTCTAAAAAAAGAGGAAGCCAGCCGGGCACGGTGGCTCACCCTTATAATCCCAGCACTTTGGCAGGCCAAGGCGGGCAGATCACGAGGTCAGGAGATCAAGACCATCCGGGCCAACATGGTGAAACCCCATCTCTACTAAAATACAAAAAGTAGCTGGCGTGGTGGCACGCACCTGTAGTCCCAGCACTCGGGAGGCTGAGGCAGGGGAAATCACTTGAACCCGGGAGGTGGAGGAAGCCTACTGAAGATAGGAGATACTGGAGAATATTGATAATTAAAATGAGGCTGTGGCCCCCTCTGCTGGTTTGTTTTAGAAGCAAAATTCTCTTTCCATCAGTGACTGCTTTTTCAACGAAGACTTCCCATTTTCCCATTTTATGCATGGGGAATGTGTAGCTAATGGATAGTTATTAATTTTTTCTCAGTATACAAATTATATGAAATATGTAAATTAAAAAGTAATAAATGAAAATGAAATAAGTATAGGACAAAAATGAGCAATTATGAGAGGAATTTCCAGAGTGAGGTTTAGGTGAGCAGTAATTTTCATAACCTCAGTGAGTATCCTCAATACTTTGTTCAACGTTTGTTTTTCTTCCCCTTCAAGGTATATGGATTCCTTAAACTCTACTCCTAGGATGACCTATCTCCCACACCCTTATAGTGAGGTTTTTAAAGTCCCTTCCTTTCTTAGATCTATAAATAGAAGATGAGATCCAAGGGAATATTTAAGTCCAAACGGTCTGACCTCATTTTCAGAGCAACCTTTTCCCTAACAGCCTATCCTCAAGTCCCAAAGCTTCTTAGCTAGAACCCACAGTTAGAATTTAAGGAATGTTTTAAAATCTATTCACCAATTTCATCCAAATTGGAAAAAATTTCAGGCTGCTCCATCCATCCTTATCAACTTTTGAGACAAGCAGAGGAAAACAGAATTGCACCAGATCTACAAGTTCCCAAACCCAGCTTTCAGGCACCAATTCTTTGTTATTATTATTTTTAAATAATATTTTAAACATTATTATTTTAAATTATTATTTTTTTGAGACGGAGTCTCACTCTGTCGCACAGGCTGGAGTGCAGTGGCGTGATCTCAGCTCACTGCAACCTCCGCCTCCTAGGCTGCTCAAGTGATTCTCCTGCCTCAGCTTCCCGAGTAGCTGGGATTATAGGCACCCACCACCACGCCCAGCTAATTTTGTATTTTTACTAGAGACGAGGTTTCACCATGTTGGCCAGGCTGGTCTCCAACTCCTGACCTCAAGCGATCCACCCGCCTCAGCCTCCCAAAGATCTGGGATTACAGGCGTGAGTCACCGCGTCTGGCTTCAGGCACCAATTCTAAAGGACAGTCCTAAAAGTTAGGTTTTACTGTCATGTTGTTTTCACCAGGGCTGGAAGGCTCTGAGGGAAAGAGAGAATCCTACCAAGGGTACAGTAAGGTTACCACCTGCCTCTCACTGTGCGGGGTCTCACGCTCTTCATGATGTCCCACAGACATTTCAAACTCAACCCAGTCAACACTCAATTCCCCTCAGCCTGTGCCATGTTCCACTGCTTATCATTTCACAGCAAATGGCAACACCATCCATCCATCCTGGTCCCCAAGCCTGAGACCTTTCCACTCTTCTTGTCCAGTTAATTCTATCCCCTACATTTCTGAAATCCATCTAACTCCTTTTCATCCCCACTACCAAAACCCTATTCCAAGTCACTGGTATCTTTTACCTAGTCTATACTGCAGCCTCCTCACTGTTCTGCCCTCCTGACAGGACAACAACCGGAACTTCCATCCTTGCGAATGTATTCTATTGCAGACAACATGGTTTTATAGCCACTAATTTTACATTCACAAATAGAAAATAATTTTAGGGCCGGGCGTGGCGGTTCACACCTGTAATCCCAGCACTTTGGGAGGCCAAGGCAAGAAGATCACCTGAAGTCAGGAGTTCAAGACCAGCCTGGCCAACATGGCAAAAACCCCTCTCTACTAAAAATACAAAAATTAGCCAGGTGTGGCGGCATGTGCCTGTAGTCTCAGCTACTCAGGAGGCTGAGGCAAGAGAATCGCTTGAACCCGGGAGGCAGAGGTTGCAGTGAGCTGAGATCACGCCACTGCACTCCAGCCTGAGCAAGAGTGAGACTCCATCTCAAAGAAAAAGAAAAAGAAAAAAAAAATGTTAGTTTCATCACTGTTGCAAAAAACATGGGCAGCCTATACTGTTTGTTATTCCTGAAACAATATTCCCCATCCTTTCTGCCATTCTTTCAAAGCCCAAATTCAGATGTCACCTTTTCAGAGAAGCTAGAGTGCAGTGGCATGATCACAGCTCACTGCAGCCTTCAACTCCTGGTCAAGGAATCCCCCTGCCTCATTCTCCCAAGTAGCTGGGACTATAGGTGGGCACCACCATGCCTGTTTTTAAAATTTTTTTTAGAGATATGGTCTCGCTACGTTACCCCAGCTGGTCTCAAACTCCTGGCCTCAAGTGACCCACCTACCTCAGCTTCCCAAAGTGAGCCACCGTGCCCAGCCTGCCTTGCATGGTCCATAATGCTAGATAAAAATAGCCGTGGGTAACACAGAAGGGTGGAAAGAAAACAGGCCTGCCTTGAAATCCCAGCATCCCATAGCAGAAAGCTATGTAACACTGGGAAATGTTCTCAATCTCTGTGCCTTGGTCTACTCATTATTGGTGAAACTGGTATGTCACCTCATAATGCAAAGTAATTCTGAGAATTATATGATACATAGAGTGATTATGAACATATACTGGTTCTCTTCTTGGAACACCTGATCGGATTAATGGTCTGCTTTCAATACAAATAAGCATTTAAGTTTTTAACATACTTTTAGTATCGTTCATTATTAGCATCATTTTCCAACTAAATTACTCAGGATCCTCCAGGGAAATTCATATTAAATATCAAACAATACTTTAAAGCACCAAACAATACTTTAAAGCACCATACAATATAAGTTGTTATTACATGAGGCACAGGTCCTGCACTGAGACGCCCAGTAAATACTGGCTACTTATTTTGAACCAGTTAAAACATTAGTTATTGATAAAAAGAAATATTTCCCTTCTTGAAAAACAATGCTCAATGGAAACTCACACAGGATAACTGGTATCACCTGCACTCCTCCAACACTCAGCTGAGACTAGGACCGTGCTCACCTAATAAACTGGGATCTGCTCGGACCATCTTCTGCTTTTTCTTCTTCTTGCCACTCTGCACAGCCTCAAAATTGGATTGTTGGTTGTTGCTTTGATTGGTCTGAAATACTGAATGGAGTGTACTGTGGTTCATCCCCCACACAGAGTCCTGTGAAATAAGCAGCATGACTGAGATTACACAGCAGATTCAGACTTGGCTCACCCTAGGAAAATGTTTGGTTTGTCCTCACCTTATCAAGAATGAGCTTAAAAGCAGAAAAACAAAAAGCTTTTCATCACATGTTCTAATAATAAAATCAAGAGCGGCCACTGAGCCACCATTTTCCTCTATTTAGACCAAGACATCCCACTCAGGGCTCAGTGCCTCCACAAAGCCTGTCCTGGTTAACTCTGGGTTTCCACCCTGCTGTGACGGCAGAACTTCTCTGGTACATACAGAGTCTGTATCAAATGCTAGGAAATGAATACTGCAAATAATCATGAGCAGACCACTGCACCTCTCACCTAACCAAGAGCAGAAAGTCTCTTTGTTCCCTGGGCCCCAGGACAGAGAGGACAGGGGTGGCATATTACCAAACAAAGTTAAAGTCGTGTACCTTATTCCTATCAGCAATCCCAGAAACGATCTGGCCCAAAAATACTGTCTGTATACTTTCTACCAACTGGTTACACTATGAAATTGCCTACTAGCCCTTCACGCCTACTTGTGGCTCTTATTAGCCAATGAGCCAGTTGAAGGCACAGGTGGTAGTAGTGGGGGAGAAGTGGAAAAAGCTCTGTGGAAGGACAAGCCTGGTGTGAGCATGTGTGTATGCGTGCGCCCATGGGTGCACGTGCTTACTGGGCTTCCATCTTCCTGTTTTAGCCCACAGAGAAGCCATTTCACAAATGCAAAGAGCCTTCTATATTGCTGTATGATGCCTTCTCCTTAAAATATTTTTCCTAGGGCCGGGCGTGGTAGCCCATGCCTGTAATCCCAGCACTTTGGGAGGCTGAGGAGGGCGGATCATGAGGTCGGGAGTTCAAGACCAGCCTGGCCAACATAGTTAAACCCCGTCTCTACTAAAACTAGGAAAAATTAGCCAGGCATGGTGGTGCGTGCCTGTAGTCCCAGCTACTCGGGAGTCTGAGGAAGGAGAATTGCTTGAACCCGGGAGTTGGAGGTTGCAGTGAGCTGAGATCGCGCTACTGCACTCCAGCTTGGGCAACAGAGTGACACTTCCTCCCAAAAAAAAAATTTGTTTTTCCTAGTGTTTCAGTGTTTACATCTTTCACTTTTCCTTCAATTTATGCCTGTTAGCCCATTACCCAGTTGGATGTTAAATGCCTTGTACTTCTCTGTATCTTCCACATCCTCATCGTAAGTGACCCATAATGAATACTGATTATCTCTAGAATAACAATTACAGGAGTAAAGGATATGAATATCTTTAAGCCCTTCCATGAGCCTTGCCATCTTGTCTTTCAGAAAACTTGTAGAATTGATTCTCACAGATTCCATATTTGTGAATTCACCTACTTGTTAAAATGTATTTGTAACCCCAAAATGAATACTTGTAGTGCTTTTATGGTCATTCTAGAAATACACATACTCAGAGCAAAAAACATGAGATGCTAAAGGCATATATTCCCAGTTAAGGTAGAACAAGGAAACAATGCCTTCTTGTTACAGTTCTCAATACTGCCAACAAGTGCCCTTTTTGTGGTCTATTTAGTGCCATGTTTTCCAAATTTTTGTGCTTTTTGTTAATGATTTCACTTTTTGTTTGTTTGTTTTTTGAGGCAGTCTCACTCTGTCACCCAGGCTGGAGTGCAGTGGTGTGATCTTGGCTCACTGCAACCTCTGCCTCCCAGGTTCAAGCAATTTCCTGCCTCAGCCTCCCGAGTAGCTGGGACTATAGGAGCACACCACCATGCCTGGCTAATCTTTGTATTTTTCGTAGAGACGGTATTTCACCATGTTGGCCAAGCTGGTTTTGAACTCCTGACCTCATGATCCACCTGTCTCGGCCTCCCAAAGTGCTGGGATTACGGACATGAGCCACCAGATTTCGCTGTGTAAAGTGGCCCTCAACTATAGTGCTGAAGAACTGGTTGTTGTTCCTAAGCACAGGAAGGCTGTGAGGTGCCTTAGGAAGAAAATACGTGTGCTGGATAAGCTTCATTTGGGCACGAATAGTAGTGCTATTAGTTGTGAGTTCAATGTTAATGAATCAACATATATTAAATGAGGTGTCTTTAAAAAGACACACACATAAAACAAGGTTATGTACTGATCTGGTGAGAAAAATATTGTGACTAGAAGTTTATGGGAACCTAACCCTATATATCCCCTAGGAGCAATGGTTCAGTATTTGCTCAAATTCAGTGTTCATGGGGACTTTACAGAATGTAACTACTGTGAATAATGAGAATCACTGCTGTATTTTTTACATCCCCAACAACAACATGAAATATCTGGCATGCTGCAGTGTTGTCAGTACTCAATACAGTGCATCCTGAACACTGGAAAATTCAACATTTTAAGTTTTAACTTTTCAAAACCAGATCTATGGGTTTGACATGTTGAAATGTGCAATCTAACTATGACACAAATACAAACCAAGAAAAATGGAACTGGTAAACCTAGTGTAAAATGAATGGTTGTACTTGCTATTTGGGAGATACACAAAGGTATCTGGACAAGTAATTTGAAAATATGAAGTATACACATTTTTTAAAGCATGGTTATTGGATATACAAAAATGGTACCTTTGTATTAATTTTCATTTCTTGGGTTACTCAACATCTAAAGGTATTAATCCTCAGAGGTACCGCATACACCACACTACTTTATACCTGCTGTTGTGGCTGCTGTGGCGGCTGCTGTGGCGGCTGCTGCTGCTGCTGCTGTGGCAGCTGCTGCTGCTGACGCTGCTGGTTGGCTTTCTGTTTGGCACGGCGCTCAAGGAACTGCTTGGCAAACTCCTTGGCCTCAGAAGTATCTCCTAAATAGGCCCTGATATAATCATGGACCTCATAAGGAGATTCTACTTCTTTCAGGAAAGAAACAAATGTGGGAACTGCAAAACGGGAGGGGAGAAGATAAGGGTAACAATGAAATAATGAAAGAGAACTTACAAAAATCAGTTTCCATTTTTAATGTATCTTTATACCTAATCAAACATTAATGACAGACACTTGGTAAGTATGCAGCAATTGTGTTTAAATATTCTTTTATCTACCCTATAGAAATGAAAAAAACACTATAATCACAACATCCATACCACATGTTTAATTTCACTGAATGTTATACTGACTGAAACAGTTACTTGACTAAGGCTGAAGTAATTTGGGGATTCATTCTTTCCTTAAGAACCCTCAAATTCAATCAGTATTTATTAACTCCTATGATATGTGTCAGGCACTACAACATACACTAAAGAAAACAGCTATATCTTCCTGGAACTTTCAATCCACTGAGATTTTTTAGAGAGAAATCAAATGGAAAATGTAAGCAGTGTGTGGTATAGGAGAAAAGCATGAGTATCAGAGTTAGACAAACATGGGTTTAAAACCTGACTCTGAAATTTGCTGGCTGTGTGACCTTGATGAGTTATTTAACCATTCTGAGCCTCTGTTTCCTAATTTATAAAATGGGGATAATATCACCTATCTTGTAAAGGTATCTTTAAAAATCACTGCTAATCAAATAACTGGGATGCTGCATGTTAACTCCAAGAGAGTGCCTAGCACACATGGTAGGTGCTTAATGCATGGCAGCCATTACTGTTATTTAAAATTGTTTTCTCTGTAGGCTTTTAAACCATTAGATATTGTTACACTGCTGCAAAGGAACTCTTTAATTCCTTTACTGCTATTTTTCACAGTTTCTTGGCTTTAGACAGGGTATCAGAGGTGGATTAATTCAATTCAGCCTATTAGTTAGGGGAATCCTGACATGTTGACCAGTCTCTCTTCAAATATTCAGGGATGGGAGACAGTTCTGTTTGTAAACAGCTAACCATGAGCAAGTTTTTCTCTAAACTGTGCCAAAGCCTTTTCACTTCTGCACATTGGTCCTAGTTTTATCTTACACAAAATAAGTGTACTTGCTTTATCACAATTCCCATTCCCTCCCCCAAAGGTAGAAAGGGAATGATGTCACATCACTTCAGCCATCACTTGTCCAGGTTGACCTTTGTCCCCAGCATGAGAGTTACTTTTTTTAACTTGACATAGCTGGCAATGTTCCCCATAAAATGAACAGTATGGAACTAAGACCTCCTCTGTCCTGTGTATCATTAAGGCAGTCTAAGATGGCATTTACTTTTTGACAACCACCAATAATCTATTTGAGTTTAGTATTACTGGACTTTTCTCACAAGTAATACTATTAAAGAGTCAAGTTCCTATGGCAGGTGCAGCAGTTGACCTCCTTAGATTTCATCTTTTGACTTTTGGCCCACTGTTCAAATTTGCCAGCCTCTCTGTGGGTCCTGCTCTGTCATTCCACATGCCGGGTTTCCCTCCCCAATTCTTACCATCCAAGTTATTTGCCGTATTAAGGGCATGAAGCATCTGTTCACACCACTGCGTAAATCCATCTTGGGCTTTATTTACTCCCTGAAAGAGCTTCAGCAACTTTTCTTCTTCTTCTACTTTCTTATTCTGCCGGTTAGACACACCTACAGATTTACTAAAGCAAAACAATAGGGTGATATTATATTCCCAGAAACTGTTACTATATGATTATAGTACAACACCATAAATAATGTCTTGGCAATACTGGATGGATGCCCAGTAAATAATCCAATGCTTGGCTCCAAAAAAGAAAAAAATTCAAATATTTGGATTGGATATACCCTTAAAATCTAGCCTCAGTTAATATATCCTAATTTGTGGATACAGGGGTTCTACTTAGAAAAAATGATGAAATTCTTCCTACGTGTCCTTAGGTAAGTTGTTTAATTTTACTAAGCCTCAGTCTCCTCATCTGTAAAACGGTACTAACAACTTTTTTGGGTTATCATAAGTAATAAAGATGTTCTATGAAAAGGCCTACAGCACAGTGCCTGGCAAAGATGCTCAATAAACTAACAGAAATTTATTGTTCTATTCATAATATGTTAGGCCCTAAATCAAGAAGAAACAATCTGACAACACTACCATTTATTAAGTAGTTACTATGTGCCAGGCACTTACTACTTATCATGTATTCATTTAATCTTTACAATTACATGCATAAAGTTGTTATTATTATCTTCATTTTACCGATGAGGGAACTGAGGCCCAAAGAGGTTCCCTCTTGCCCAAGGTCACACAGCTAATAAGTGGTAGTGCTGGGATTTGAGTTCATGTATTTAACACTAAAACCCATGCTCGTTCAACAACACTGTATATTGAAGAAAGAAAGATGAAGATGAAAATGTAACTAACTTATAAAAATAAATAGGTTTAAGGTCATTACAGAGGTATTTTATAATACTCATATTAATAGCATAAATTACTTAAAAATACAAATATAGGAAAAATGCTAAGGTATCTAGAGAATACCTTGGAGAAATGTTCAACAACACAACAAAAACATTATACTATTCCTAATATTTATTAAGTGGTTACCATGTGCTAGGCGATAGAATAAGTGCTCAGCAGGAGCCCCAAGAAATAATACGAATGTGTTTCTATGGGGAAGAAAGCAATCACCATAATTATGACTGCATGTGCTTGAACACAGATGAAAACGGTAAGCAAAAACTCAATAACTACCTTTTCCTGCCCACCCAACATCCCACTTCCTCCATCCCCACCTCCCAACCAACCAAGGTGCATAGGTGTGGTCATTTTGAGCCCTACCTGAGACTGGCGTTGTTTTTATTTTTATTTGTTGAATTCCTAGGTCCCACCTCTTTCACTGCATCATCCCAGAATCCCATGTTGGAGTTTTTAGTGTCAGCATTACTCCAAATACTACTGACTAGGTCAGATGCCCACTGGTTAGGAGGACCAGTATTTATAGAGCCCCAAACAGAATTCCCAATGCTGGTGTGCAGGTTGGAATGCTGTTAAAGAAAAAGAGAAAAATGATTATCGTGAATCATGTTAAAAAGATAAGAAGACAGTCAGAAAAGATAATACTAGTCCATACAACGACAGCTTAGGAAAATGCACACACCGTATTGTTACGAGCTCTGTTTGGTTGCTGGTGTTGCTGCTGCTGCTGCTGCTGCTTTTGCATTTGCCTGGCCTCTTCCTGCTGGATCTCCAGAAGAGATTTCGTGGTACCTGAAGGTTTGCTGACATTCCCCCAACCTGAGAGTTTCTGCTGTTGCTGTTGCTGCTGCTGCTGAAGAGCTTTCATCAACTCCCTCTGCTGGCGCCTTTGCTGTTGCATAAAAACAGAAGCTAGCTGAGGATTCCTGTTTTTAGATAATAGTTATAAATATCCAGTATACTAAATGGAATGTAAATACACAGTAGCTACATAAAATTAACTTGATGGGATTAAATTCTGCTGTTGCAAATAAAAATGTAAATCGCTAACAGTATTAAAAAGGAGAATAAAAACATGAAATGCAAAATTACTTCTTTTTTTATTGTTGTTGAGACTGTGTCTCACTCTTCCGCCCAGGCTGGAGTGCAGTGGCACACTCTCAGCCCACTGGAACCTCCGCCTCCCAGGTTCAAGCCACAATGCCCGGTTAATTTTTTGTATTTTTAGTAGAGATGGGATTTCACCATATTGGCCGGGCTGGTCTCGAACTCCTGGCCTCAAGCGATCTGCCCACCTCGGCTTCCCAAAGTGCTGGGATTACAGGCATGAGCCACAGTGCCCGGCCTCAGAATTACTTTTTTTTTTTTTTTTTTTGAGACAGGGTCTCGCTCTGTCGCCCAGACTGGAGTGCAATGGCACGATCTCAGCTCACTGCAACCTCCGCCTCCCGGGTTCAAGTAATTCTCCTGCCTCGGCCTCCTGAGTAGCTGGGATTACAGGCGCCTGCCACCACACCACGCCTGGCTAATTTTTGTATTTTTAGTAGAGACGGGGTTTCACCATGTTGGTCAGGCTGGCCTTGAACTCCTGACCTTGTAATCCACCCGCCTCAGCCTCCCAAAGTGCTAGGATTACAGGAGTGAGCCACCGAGCCTGGCCAGAATTACTTCTTAAAAATTAAGTAGGCTTTTGGTTAAGCACAGAAATAAAACACATGTTTACTTCCTAAAGCCCCCACCAAAATGACAGATTATACACACACACACACACACACACACACACACACACACACACACACACACAGCATAAACACATGAGGACAAAGAAAACAGAATAGATTTTTTAAAATCTGAAAAGCAGATAAATAATGAGAACCAATGTAACAGACCTAATAAATTGAAATCTAAGTAAAGGAGCTCAGAAACAGGCAGATTCACAAAGAAGGCTCAGGAACTGGAGGTGCTGAGTCTCTCAAACAGAGGAAGACTGGTTGAAAGGCTGTAAAAAGAAGCAGTAAGACTCCAGATTGCCTCCCGCACTCTGTGCAGTTAGGCAATTCACTCTCCCTCACCACAGCAGAAAACCGAACATTCCCTGTCTGAAGAAGCCAAATCAGACTGGCACATTATCCTGTGGGGAAGCCAACCAGCTTGACAAGAGAACACACCTATAAGTAGGTACCAACAAATTGGAGTGGGGGTGGGGGTGGAGGTCCCCAACAGAACAACCCAGCCAGAATCTATTATAGGAAAGCCCATCAAGGTGCTGTACATACCAGAACCTCCAATCAGCTTCTGAGTGCCTTATTTGTAAATAGGAACAAACAGCCCAGAATTACCAAACATTTGACATAAACTTCTAACATAAAAGCCAAAGACCAAAACAAAAATAATTCAGCAGAAATAGAAATAAGAGAACGGCAAAATAGGAGTTGGCTTTTTAAGAAGCTATCAGTAAGTAATATCCTTAGAGAGGTAAGATGGTGCATTTAATGAAACAATAAAAGGCTATAAAAAATACTTAAAGAACAAAATAAGGACTCACAGATGTTTGATATAGCATATATTAAAAGCTCAACAGGGCCAGGTGTGGTAGCTCATGCCTGTAATACCCAACATTTTGGGAAGCCTAGGCAGGAGAATCACTTGAGCTCAGGAGTTCAAGGTTACAGTGAGTTACCATCACACCACTGCACTCCAGCCTGGGTGACAGAGCAAGACCCTGTCTCTAACAGGAGAAGCCCAATAGAAGGACTGCAGGTAAAACTGAGAAAATGCCCCATAGAAAAGATAAAAAGGGTAGGGCGTGGTGGCCCATGCCTATAATCCCAACACTTTGGGAGGCCAAGGTGGGAAGATCGCTTGAGCTCAGGAGTTTGAGGGCAGCCCAGGTAATGCAGTGACACCCGTCTCAAAAAAAAAAAAATTTTTTTTTAAATTAGCCAGGCATGGTGGCACACACCTGTAGTCCTAGCTACATTCCAGCCCAGGAGACACAGCAAGATCTTATCAAAAAAGATAAAAGCACAGAGATGGAAAACAGGAGAAAAAACATGAGAAAATCAAAATCAGTCCTGGGAGAAACATGTAAATAACAGGAACTCAAGAAAAACAAAACAGCAGCTATAAAGCAAGCTGAGAGTGTCCTGATTGGAACAGGTTAGAGGCCCCCAGAAAGGATGCCTCCAGGGATGATAATGAAATAAAATCATCTTGGGTTTTTCTACGTAAGAAATATGTGAAATGTGTATTAAGAGGCACCCTTATAAAGGGTACAGGGAGACTTAAAAGTTCCAAGAAAATTAAATGAAAATACAAATGAAGGCAGGGCACGGTGGCTCATGTCTGTTATTCCAGCACTTTGGGAGGCCGAGGCGGGTGGATCACTTGAGGTCAGGAGTTTGAAACCAGCCTGGCCAACATGGTGAAACTCCGTCTCTACTAAAAATACTTAAAAAAAAAAAAAAAAAAAAAAATAGCTGGTGGTGGTGGCAAGTGCCTGTAATCCCAGCTACTCGGGAGGCTGAGGCAGGAGAATCACTTGAACTCAGGAGGTGGAGGCTGCAGTGAGCCGAGATCGCGCCACTGCACTCCTGCCTGGGTGACAGAGCGAGCCTCAGTCTCTAAAAGAAAAAAAAGAAAAAGAAAACACGAATGAAATAATTATTAACTTCTGGTAGACAGGAGAAGACCTGTGATTCCTTGTCATTACCACTATTATTATCTTCTCATTCAGTAGGGACCAAAATTAGTGGAATAATTTCTAGCTTTGAAGGGAGAGACATACTCTGTTCTGCATCCATTTGTTGATAACCTTTTAGAGAAAGATGATTCCAGAGAAAGTTCAATTCTTTTTTTTTTTTTTCTTAAATAAAGGTGGGAAATAAGGTCATCTTCAAGTGTGAAGAAACATCTTATCTTACTGGATGACTTCAAGCACACTACCTGGTAAACACATATAGACAATTTCTATTTCTCCTTGTGTATCCAAAGCCCTCCTAATTTCAGTGAACCACATGACCCAGATCCAAAAATGACAACTTACATTCTCTAACAAATTGACTGCTCTACCTCAAATCATATCCACATAAAGCATCTTCAAGACTCTGCTATATTATGTCACCTTTTCAGAGGCCTTCTCAGAACACACTACCTAAATTTGGACAATCCACCACACCATCATTATCCCTGACTCCCAACACTCTCCCTACCCACCTTCCCTTGTTACCTCTCTGACACTTATCAACCTCTCATACGCTTCATTTTCTACTTTTCTCTTCTCAATCAGAGGGTCAGCTTCATGAATGCAGAAAATCTTGCCTGTTTTAGACTCAGCTATATCCCCAGACCTTAAGTGAGTAGGTACTCAGTAAACATGTGTTGAATGAATGAATGAATGAATGAATGAATGAGCACCGAATGGCATACTGAACCAAACTATGAAAATTATTCATTTTCTCCTCTCTGTCAAAAGCTGTGTTATTCCCCTTCCCTTTTATACTCTTTTGTATCCTTCCTACCCTAATGATGAACTACAGGATATACACTTAAAAGCAGAGGTACTTTATTTCTGTCACATTTTTCTAGACTAGTCAGGGAACCCAGTGTCTTTAGAGAAAAACATATTCTGCTTTCTAGACATCAGACTTATAAAAGATTATCTGCACACAACTCACCCACAATTTTGAACAACCCGTGTAGTTTTATTTATGAGGTCTTCTCAAGAACTACAGTAAAATGTTTAAGAAAACTGAACAGTTATGTTACTCAATCTTCATGTTATACCTATGAGATCCTTCACATTTGCTAGGGTAACCAAATTATGGGCTGAAGTTTAATAATGAACGTCCAATTCAGACACACAACAATTCTGACAGTAATTGTCCTCAGTAACCACTAACCCATAATGCATGCTAGATATTCTGGAACATCGCTTGACTAGATCCCTTTTACTTTAAAATTTTACCTCTTCTCGAAGCTGCCGTTCTCGTTCTTCCTCTAGTTTTTGGATTTCAGCCAACGACAGCGTGGCCTGGGACTGACATGCTGTTGTATTGGACTGCTGGCCCCACGTTGAAGAAGAAGGAAGCTAACAAAAAAGGGAAGGCCAGAAAGTTCATGAGGAAATGTGGACAGGAAACAAAGAAGCAATAATGCATTATGTATACCCAGAACAAATGCATTTCTCTCAACTCCATTTACCACATTCAATTCAAATTTCCTTCTTCATTGCTTTTACTTACTATCCTCTCAGCTTCTTTTGCTTAAGTTTTTGTCACTGCTCCAAACCTAAGTTTATTTTAAAACAACTTATAATACACATACACACTTACATTTCATCTACCTCTTGGTGACAACAAATTTGTTACATCTGGTACTGACATAAACAGCAATATACAACCATAAAGAGGAGTAAACAAAAGAATCACTAAATTGGCTTAAGGATTTTTTAATTGACGAAAGCAACAAAGGACATGATATGCTGCTGTCCAGTGAAAGTGTTAAGGACACGATTTCTGAGGGTAGCACCATGAGATTTCTCATCTCATGAGAGATGCTGGCATAGTTCTTGATCAGCCTTTATGAAAGGGAGCCACTGTTAACCAGGCTGTAGCTTCTAGTCATGAGCATTAAGCTGCTTTTAATCAATAATTTTATTTTTCCCATCCCTTAAGATTATTGACTAAAATAGAGTATAAATATCTAGGTCCTGAATATTTCAATATTCTCAAAGCCTGATTATTCTCAGAGAACCCCTTGCTCTTCCTGGCCAGAAAAAGACACACTTTTAATACTGAGGCATCAAACAAGCGAACACAATAAAAAAGAAACCTAACCAGACTTAAAAAATGTATTTAATAAAAATAATACATGAACATAGATCAAAACAAATAAAATGCCAAACAGTCCCCAAAAGAATGGACCTACAGCAGAAATCTATAACAGTGGATATTGATAGGATAAAAGGTATAAACAGTTTAAACCATCACTGATACTGCCAAACAACTCTTCAAATGAATGTCTTCAACACTACTGAACATAATCAACTCTTAACATTTTTTAGCCAATATGACAGACAATAGGGCATTTCTCTCAAAATGCACCTGCCCTGGGGTGGGGGAGGGGTGCAGAGGGAAGTTAACAAAGACTGGGGGAGGGAGGTGTTGAGAGGCAAAACTGAGCAAAAATTAACTTTGTCTCCACAGGAAATGACTCATTTGAAGGCACTATCAAGATCAAGTAAGGCAGTAGATCTCAAACTGGCAGCATAACCTGAAGGGACCTATAAAAATGTAGAGGCCCTGGCTCCACCACACCTAATCAATCAGAAGATCAGAAGGGAAGGCAGGAGAATCAGCATATTTTAATCATTCTGATGCAGCCAGTAACCACTGATGTTGTCTAAAATCACAGTAGATGTGTCACCCCATGGTAATCAGGAAACAATCTTTCAAGCCCGCTTCAGCAGAACTCAGCCAGCACTGGGAATAGAGGCAGTGCCTCCAGAAATGGCCATCTATCCTCACGGGCACCTCTGAGAATCTTCCTATTGCTGTGCCAAAATATATTTATTTTCTCTCTCCTCCCTGGCCTGACTCCCTATTTCTCTCTATATACACACACATACATATGCGTGTATATATATATATACACATGCACACACACATACACACATATACATATACATACACACGCTCTTTCTCTAGGTATATATACACACAAAATATATACTCTATATTTCATAGGTCTGTTCTACAGACCAAAGTTAAGTCTTCCTTATATAGACTTATGTCTGCTGATAGCTTTCATTTTCCTTAAGTCTTCTTTGTACATCGGAAATAATATCCCAGAGCTCTTTCAACATTGCCTCATGACACTTACCAGCCCACCCTATAATGCCCACTCAGGAGAACTGCAGTGTGTCAATCATGCTTCTCAGAACAAACTTTTGACAAATCAAAAGCAAATAGGGACCCCCGAATGCCTAATGTCCTTCATTGATTTTTAAAACTATACTCTTCTTGTTCTGCGCTGACATTGCTACCTTACATTTCAACACTGGTTTTGCTTTAAGAAATAACTGTTTCACTGTCGGAATGACAGCATGAGGAGCTGCGTGGACCTGCTCCCTGGCAAAACTGGTGAAGATCATTTTTAAAATAATCATTTAAACTCTCTGGCTGGCAGCAGGGCCCCACACCTGTAATCCCAGCACTTTGGGAGGCCGAGGCAGGCGGATCACTTGAGGTCAGGAGTTTGACATCAGCCTGGCCAACATGGCAAAATCCCATTTCTACTAAAAATAAAAAAAAAAAGTAGCTGGGTGTGGTGACGCACACCTTTAATCCAGCTACTTAGGAGGCTGAGGCCAGGAGGATCGCTTGAACTCAGGAGGCGGAGGTTGCAGTGAGCTGAGATCGTGTCACTGCACTCCAGCCTGGGCGACAGAGCCAGACCCTGTCTCAAAAAAATAAATAAAGTCTCTGGAAATACTCCTAAGGGCATACAGCAAATGAAAAAAAGTTTATTCAAGAATATTTGCTAAAACTCAGTAAGAACAGCAAGAGTTGGTGATACTTAAACCAAGACCTACTCTCCTTCTCTCCTCCCAGCTTAATGAGACAGAAACTCCACTCTAGACTGGTACAGTCAAGACACGGCTTCCCTTCTCCCCTCAGCCATCAGTCAGCAGGCTTTCTTCCTGGGAAAAGCACATCGGTGTGTCTCACCCTGATGGCAGTCACCTGTGACAAATGCTAAGTTCCAAACAAGTGCAACAGATGTGGAGGCTCTCTTCTTGTGCCCAGCCCCACTCATAGGATGGAAACTTGACCACAGCAACACCAACACTAGGGTCGTGATCACCAATGCAGCTGGCCGGGCCAAGCCATCAGGAGAGGCAAGCCAAGAATACCTGAGGCTACTATTCTGCCCACCCTTCAGCAAATGTTAGAGGAAAGCAGACCACTGTGCCCACTTCCAGAGCTGACTGAGAGATTTTTGTCTGAGGGTAGTGGTGTAGGAAACAGGTAGAAAACAGAAAGCTCCAGGTTTCTTCCCAAAGGAACTGACTTTATTTGCAACAGACAGTGGATGAGTTCAAGCCTAATGGTGTTTTCAGAAACAGTAGAAGTTGGGATAAAAGGCAATTAGGAGGAGACTGGTAGATTCATAGGAGATACAGGCTAAACTGTAGGAGGCTGCTACCTTATCTGAGAAAACTAGTTAAAGAAAACTAGAAGAAATCCTCCCGGAGTCAAAACAAATTTCATATATAGACCTCAGGAGCTATTTCTTCAAAGAAACCTGAATTTAAGTGGATCAGTCTGTCAGTGTATGCCCCAAGGGATTTTTTTTTTTTTTTTTTTTTTGAGACAGGGTCTCACTCCGTCACCCAGGCTGGAGTGCAGTGGTATGATTTTGGCCCACTATAACCTCTGTCTCCCAGGCTCAAGTGATCTTCCCACCTCAGCCTCCTGAGTAGCTAGGACCACAGGCACACATCACCACGCCTGAATAATTTATTTATATATATATTTATATTTATATATATTTATATTTATATATATTTATATTTATATATATAAATATATAAGTATATATATGTATATATATATATATATATATATATATATATATATATATATATATATATATATATATATATATATATGTAGAGATGGGGTTTCACCATGTTGCCCAGGCTGGTACTGAATTCCTGAGCTCCAGCGAACCACCAGCCTCGGCCTCCCAAAGTGCTGGGATTATAGGCGTGAGCCACTGCACCCAGCCCAGGACAATTTTAACCCATTTCCCATCTGCCCCGAGAATATTTGCTGGCAGCATGTGCAGCTGCAGCGTTTACCCAGGGCTAACTCGCAGGTTTTTTTTCCTAGATCATTTGGCATCTGTTTTCTGTTCCAACAAGCTGTCCTAACTGCATCAGTGCTGTTTGGATATAATTCTCTGAAAAGCATTTAGGGGTAAGGTTAGGACTGTAATCCGAGAGTTATCTCGGGGTCAGCGCTGCAGCCACACGCACCACCAGGGATATTCTCAGGGCAAACGGGAAATGGGTTAAGAACAACAGAGCAATCAGCTAGCAATAAGTGGAGTGAAACAGCTGGGTGTGGAAAAGACAATCAAAGAGAGCCCTGCCAAACCCACGGTCACCTCGGAGTCACTCTGGGCACACCCAGTGCTATATCCCCAACATGGGCAAGAGCAAGGGCTTCAACATGGTCGGGGGGAGGAGGGGAGAACTGGATTCCACTAAAATAATCCATCCAGTCACAAAACAAATAAACAAACAAGTAAGAAAATCAAGCTGGGAAGGGCGGGTGGAGATACCCAGAGTTGCTAGAAGACATTATCAAAAAGTCCAGCTGCCAATAAAAAATTACGATACATGCAAGAAACAGGAAAGTATAACCCATACACTGGGGAAAAAAGCAGGCAACAAAAACTGCCTGTGAGAGTGAACAAGATGTCAGATTTCACAAAGACTTCGCATATGTTATAAAAGTTGTTCAGGGAACCTAAGGAAGCTATAACTAAAGTAGTAAAGGAAGGTATGATGACAGTGTCACACCAAATAAAGAATATTGATAAAGAGATAGATGATATTTTTTAAAAAACCAAAAGGAAATTCTGGAGTACCAAAGTATAATAACTGAAATTAAAAACTGCCCATCAACAGAGGATTGGATAAAGAAAATGTGGTGTTTATATAAGGCATGGAATGCTACTCAGCCACAAAAAAGAATGAAATCTTGTCTTTCACAGCAACACAGATGGAACTGGAGGCTATTGTCCTAAGTAAGGTAACCCAGAAACAGAAAGTCAAATACTGCATGTTCTCACTTATAAGTGGGGGCTAAACAAACAGGCACACAAAGTGGAATAATGGACACTGGAGACCCCCAAAGCTGGGAGAATACGAGGTGAGTAAGGGTTGAACAATCACCTACTGGGTACAATGCTCACTATTTAGGAGATAAGTACACGAAAAGCCTGGACTTCACCACTGTGCAATATATGCTATTAAGAAAACTACACTTGCATGCCCTAAATATATATAAAAAACTTTTAGTTAAAAAAAAAATCACTAGAGGTACACTATAGTGTATCTGAACTGGCAAAAGAAAGAAACTTAAAGATAGATCAATACAGATTACACAAAGAATAGAGAGAAGAACATGAAAACTGAAGAGAGCCTTAGAGAAATGAGACACCATTAAGTGCATGAAGTGCATCAACATAAGCATCACTCAAGTGCCTGAAGGAGAGAGAGAAAGGAACAGAACATACAATTGAAGAAATAATGGCTAAAAACTTCTCCAGTTTATGGAAAAACATTAATCTATACATCCAGGAAGCACCATGAATTCTGAGTAGATTAAACACAAGGAGATCCACAAACAGACACGTCATAGTAAAAATGCTGAAAGCCAGACTCAGTTTGGAAGTTACCTTTTTTCAAGAAGCCTCTCCAAACTTCCCAGATGGACAGTGGTTCTCACATTTTAGAGAGCATGGGTTTGTTTAAATACAAGATTTCTCAGTTCCACCCTTAGAGGTTCTGATTCAATAGGTCTGGGGTGCGAATCTGCACATCTCACAAGTTCCCAAGTGACGGAACTCTGAGAATGACTGACTCCATGCCACCTCTCCCACTATACTCACCATACTGTATTCTACTTGCCTGTTTATGTGTCTAACCTGTGAGCTACTTGAAGATAGGGGACACTAAACCTTACTGCGCACTGCAGACCCAGCATGAAGTTATGCAGAACCTGCCATAAGTCTGCTCCTCCCTTCCCAATTACTCCAATTCCATCAACAGTTCCACTATCTTCTCAGTCACTGAAACTTATCTGGCAGGCACCCCAGCTTCTGCCTTCCTCCCTCAGCTCCAGAGACTAATTAATTCTTGCTGACTGCTATCAGGCCAGCTCCCTCCTGCTGGCCTCTCCTATTCATTCACACCAGCACCAACACAGCCTCTTTACTAGGCTCCCAGTATTTACTTTCTCCTTATTAAAAAAAAAAAAAAAGTTTTGAATCCTCTTTAAAACAACACTTTGTATATATCACCTCTTAATGTAACTTTCAATAAATGCCTATGGCCAACTCTGTTTCAAGCCCTATATTCTAGTTCCCATTTACACATCTGAACGTTTACATGCCTATATTTTTAAGTTGGTGAGCTCTCTGGGAGCAACTGCCTTGTCTCATTTATGTTTGTCTCAGCAGCGCTGAACTGGTATGGAATAGGCACTCCAGTGTTTACTGAGCCACATTAAATTTACAAACCAAACAGATTTACTTGTTTTGCCTGCATTGCTGCTCATGTCCTATCCTCTTGTTTACTCCTCTCTCATTTAAATGCCTAATACAAAGTATGTGCATTATGTATCTTATTGATGATCAAAAAACCAAAGTACTAATATTCAACGATAAAGAAAGTACTGGGCACAGTGGCTCACACCTGTAATCCCAGCACTGGGCAACATGGTGAAACACCATCTCTACTAAAAATATAAAAAACTAGCTGGGTGTGGTGGGGCATGCCTGTAGTCTCAGCTACTGGGAAGGCTGAGGTGGGAGGATCATATGAGCTGCCCAAGGAAGTTGAGGTTACAGTGAACCAAGATCGCACCACTGCACTCCAGCCTGGGTGATGGGAGTGAGACCCAGTCTCAAAAATAAATAAATAATTTAAAATATTTTAATATTAAAAAAAGAAAGAAAGAACAGTTTTACTGCTACTGGTACAGCCAGCACCTACCTAACTAAAAAATGTTAGCAAGGAGCTCCTAAGGTTGATGCCTCGGGCTTTACCTTCATCTGCGCCAGCTGTTGTTGCTGCTGCTGCTGCTGCAACCTCCGGAGAGCCTCTTGCTGCTGCTGCCTCTGGCGCATTAACTCCTTCTGCCGCTGGACCTCCAGCTCCTTTCTCTTCCGTTCTTCTTCCTCATGCCGGAGTCTGGCTGCCTCCTCTTCCATCCGCAGCCGGTTCTCCTCTAATCGACGCTGGGCTTCTTCTTCTTCCCGGGCCCATTTTGCAGCCTCCTCTTCCTTTCCAGAAGGAAAAATTAAAGATATAAAAATTTTATTAATTGTGGGGGGAAAAATCTGACTCACTTTTGAAAGCTTCTGTCAAATGGCTATAGAGATGACAGAGAAAGCAGAAACTCTGTTCATGATGATGCAAGGTAGAAGTAACCTTTCTTTTAAAATATATTTATAGTAGCCACAAAGGCCTGGTATGCTTACAGGATGAAATTTTAATTAAAGGACTGTCATTTTAAACATGTGCAGTCAAAGCTCTGATCTCGAAGCAGCTCACCATCAACTACAGGAAAGTCTCCTGGAAACACTGCTCCAACATGTGAGGTGAGCAGGCCTTTCAGGGTGCTGAGCGCTAAGAGCTACCAATACCTTTTAAGAATGCTGATTACCATGAAAGCACCAGCCAGTTCTGGAACCAAAGCAACTTTCCAAGACCACAGAATTCCATCCCTGGCTCTTGCCCCTTGTGGCCCACAGGCCCTTCAGAACATCTCTCCTCAACCAGTCCTCTACCATCTACTGCATTTGCCCTCACCTGGGCTCATTTTCCTTCTGCTTCCTTCCCTCAAAACCATTCCATTGTGCCCTGCGGAACTCATTTCACTAAGAAATTCCCTTCATCTTTGGAGTCTGCTGTGTCTGCAATGCTTTGTCTTACCCATATCATATTCCTCTACTTCATTCTTTAAAACGTAGGTCAGATAGAAGTCAGCCACTCGGAGACTTGCCTAGCCTTTAGGAGGTATACTTCACCTTTGCCTTTTGATTAAGGTCAACTATACCCTGTCCTTATCTATTTGCTTCTAGTCCACCTATGGCAGCTCCTGTTTCTACCTATCCAATAACCACTACCTTTGTCAGGCTTATTCCTGGCAGACAAAGCCTCCTGCCACATCAGAGGTTTAAAATGTCAGATTTTGCTTTTAAGCTTCCAGTGTTAACTAGGGGTAGCCATGTGATCCAACTGGGGTCAAAGAGATGTCTACTGGGAGACCTCTAAGGAAGAAATTCTTCCCAGATAAAAGGAAGAAAGCATGAGAGAAGGGCCATTTCCTGTCTGGATACAGGTTGCACACACTGTGATATCCAAAACTCTTAACCATGACGTGAAACATCTGAACTCAAAAGTCAACACACCAGGAAATGGCAGAGGAGGAGTATGCAAAGGCCGTAAATACTTAATGGCATTCACTGAATCACTGAAGCAAGTGTACAACAGGCTGATGGGCAGACCTCCTTAGAGTGTGAGGCAACAATTTCATTTATTATTAAAGCCACCTTAAATGGGTATTTTTATTTTGGAGCTGAAAGTATCCTAATGATGGCGCTTACTTCTTGTATATTCATCACACACATAGGCTGTGCTTCTTGAGGACAGAAACAATTTCCTAAAAAGTCTTATACTCCACCAGAAAACAAGCACAGTAACTGGCATGTAGTACATTAACTAAACATGTTAACTGTTAAATGAATAAACCAAAGAATGAATCAACACACAATGTAACTTGGAAGCTATCTATGTCTAACAGAATTTAGGTTTCTGAAAAAAAATCTCAATTTAGAACACAGGCAAAAGTAAGCAAAACTCTACATTCTTAAGTGTGGACTGCACAGAGTGACTTCCAAGGAGTCAGTACAGTCCTGACTTACAGTACTACTTACAGTAGTAAGGGGGGAGGTAACTTACGGTGGAGAAACCTGGCAAATACTACTTCAGCCAGGTGATCAAGGTCTACATCAGCAGTCCCAAACACTGTTGGCAATACGTGTACCCCTTGATTTGATGTGATGAAAATGCCACCTTGCCTCTGTGATCTTCCTCCCAAATACCCATAGTCCAGTCTATTCATGAGAAAAACTTCAGATAAATTCCAATCAAGGGGTACCCTATAATATACTAACCAATATTTCTTAAAACTGTCAAAGTCATCAAAAACAAGGAAGTCTAAGAAACTGTCATAGCCAAGAAGGGCCTAAAGAGACATGACAGCTAAATGTAATATGATATTCTCTTTTTTACAAGTTATTATCATTATTTTTTTTTTGTAGAGACAGGGTCTCGCTATGTTGCTCAGGATGTTCTTGAACTCCTGGCCTCAGCGATCCTTCTGCCTCAGCCTCTTGAGTCGTGGGGATTACAAGTGTTAGCCACTGTGCCCAGCTAATACGATATTCTGAATGGAATCCTGGAACAGAAAAAGGACATTAGGGAAAAGCTTTAAAAATCTCAATAAACAATGGATGTTAGTTAATAATAATGCATTAGCACCAGTTTATTAGTTGTAACAAATGTACCATACTCATGTAAGATATTAACAGCAGGGGAAACTGTGTGCAAGGGGAAATATGGAAG
The DNA here is from genome assembly GCF_000001405.40 of Homo sapiens. Lineage (NCBI taxonomy): Eukaryota > Metazoa > Chordata > Mammalia > Primates > Hominidae > Homo > Homo sapiens. Next base: position 232,830,509 of record NC_000002.12, on the reverse strand, counting down.
CTCTGTGTATTATATTCCCAGTTTCTCTGAAAATCTAACACTGTTCTGAAAATAAAGTCTACCAATAAAAAAAAAATCTATGTCTTAAACATTAAATAAAATGATTTGGGGGTTCTAGTTTCTTATAATGACAGAGTACCATGGTTGGACCAACTGTCACACATGTAATTATAAAAGCTGAACTAAACATCAATGAACTAAAAACGAAAAAAAGAACAGGTATACTGAGCCAGGCCCAGTGGTTTGTGCCTGTAATCCCAACTACTAAGGAAGCTGAAGTGAGAGGATCACATGAGGTCAGGAATTTGAGATGAGACTGGGCAATACAGTGAGACTCCTGTCTCCAAAAACATAAAGTAAAAATTAGCCAGGTATGGGGCATGTGCCTGCAGTCCCAGGTACTTGAGAGGCTGAGACAGGAGGATCGCTTGAGCCCCTGGAGTTCAAGGTTGTAGTGAGTTATAATCACACCACTGCACTCCAGCCTGGGCGACAGAGTGGGACACTGTCAATAAAAATAAATAAATAAATAAACAAACAAACAAACGAATGAATGAATGAACACCAGAGAGAAATCAAAGAAGAGTCTACCTTTCCCTGCCTGCCAACTGTCTACTGTCAACTGTCTACTAATCAGAAAGCATAACTTTGAAAAAATACATGTAAGATTTTTATTTATGTTTTGCCTAAGGGCACTCCCCCATTCACCAGCAAGGGGCTCAAAGTGTTACTAGCAGTTTTGGTGGTCAAAAGAGAGAGTTCTGGGATAAAGAAGCAGACATTAACCTGGGGGGGAAATTTGGAAGGGGGACCATCAGAAGGAAGGGAACCAGAAAGAGATGAGCCCCCAAATCTCTAGAAATCCTTGGCTGGCTCATAAACTACAGGCATGAAGTAGACCTCGGGATCAAGCTAAAAGGTGCAGCTGGAAGCTGGAAAAACTCAGTAACTGAGATTAGAGATTTCTGCTGCTCTACCATGAGTGGAGTGCAATGTTGAAGACTGAATTGACCAAGGTAACTGCCAGCCAGAACTAAACTCTCTCTAAAGGAACAAATCAGAATGCATAATCTCTATCATCTACCATTCAGAATGTTCCTTATACAATTTTTTTATTATAAAAATCAGTAGATACATACAAAAATGGAATAAGGAAAAAAATATATACCGTGCAAACACCAAAGACTACTAGAATGGCAACCTTAACGTCAATTTAATAGACTTTAAGACAAGGAATACAATCAGAGGTAAATAGGAACATTTCGTAACAATAAAAGGTTCACTAAGAAGACAGAACTATATAAATGTATATGCAAGTAGTAATAGAGCCTCAAGACACAAGAGCAAATACTAACATTTAAAGGAAGAAATGAACAAATCAAAAACTGCAGTTTCAGATTTTAGCATCTGTTTTCTTAAGATGAAAATGCATGGCTAATTTTGAAAAAATTTTAGCATCTCTCCCAGGAATCAATATAACAACTAGATAAAAATTAATTAAGGATATAAAATATTTAAATGTTACCAACCACCCTGACCTAATTGTCATTCATGAAACACTACACTCAACAATTGAGAAATACACATTCTTTTCAAATGTAGGAGGCCAAGCTTGGTAGCTCCTGCCTATAATTCTAGCACTTTGGGGGGCTGAGGCAGGAGGATTGTTTGAGGCCAGGAATTCAAGACCAGCCTGGGCAACACAGCAGGACCCCATCTCTACACACTGTATATATTTTTAAATTTGTTTCCTTTTTAAAAAAACTAGTTAGATTCAGCAGTGGGGGGTTGTATACTAACTTCAGTGACACTAATAATTTTAATAAATTCTGATAACCCACTACCATCAGACCAGCCAAGACCCTGCCTCTATAAAAACTTTTTAAAAAATTAGCCATGCATGGTGGTATATGCTTGTAGTTTCAGCTACTCTGGTGGCTGAAGTGGGAGAATAGCTTGAACCAAGGAGTTCTAGGCTGCAGTGAGCTATGATCACACCATTGCACTTCACTGTGGGCAACAGAGTGAGACCTGGACTCAAACAAACGAACAAACAAACAAACAAAAAACCCCACCCAGAAATGCACATGGAATAATTCACCAAGACAAGACATATACTGAACCAAAAAAAAAAAAAAGTCAATAAATTTTTAAAAATTGGGATCTTACAGATTGTGTTCTCTGACTACAACATAATTAAGTTAGAACTAAATATAAGTAAGGGGCTAGGCACCATGGCTCATGCCTGTAATCCCAGCACTTTGGGAGGCCAAGGCAGGCTGACTGCTTGAGCCCAGGAGTTCAAGACCAGACTGGGCAACATGGCGAAACCCTATGTCTTCAAAAACAAAAATTAACCAGGTGTGGTAGCACACATCTGTGGTCCCACCTACTCAGGAGACTGAGGTGAGAGGATCACCTGAGCCCAGGGACATAAAGGCTGCAATGAGCTGTGACTATACCACTGTATTCCAGCCTGGGTGACAGAGTGAGACCCTGTCTCAAAAAAAAAGAAAAAGAAAAGAAAAGGCTCCCAAATACTTGGAAATTAAATAACCCATTCTCAAATAACTCATAAGCCAAAGTGGAAATTACAAAAATATTCAAAAGTGCTTTAAACTAAATAATAAAGAATGCAACATACTAAAAAGTGTGACACGTAATTAAAGTAATGCTCAGAGAGAAATATATTGCTTTACATGTATTTATTAAAAAGGAAGAAAGGTTTAAAATTTATTATCTAAATTTTTGTCTTAAGAAACTAGAAAAAGATGCAAATTCAACTCAAAGTAGAAGACAGAAAATAACTGTGTGGCAGGAATCAACGAAAAGATAAATAAGTAACAAAGCCAAAAGTTGGTTCTTTGTTCAATCCTTCAAAAGACTGATAAACGGAACACAAACTACCAATATGCAGAATAAAATGAGGACTATTGCTACCAACCAAGCATAAAAAGAATAACAATGAATAAAATTGTGCCATTGAATTTGACAGCTTTGTTAAAAGGACACAGATTACAAACACTGATAAAACAACCCGATTAGCCACATAATTCAAAGAAACTGAACTTTATAAAAAATCTCTCCACAAAGAAAACACTAGGCTCTGATGGTCTCAACGGTGAACTCTATCAAACACAAGCATGCCTCAAAGATACTGCAGGTTCAGTACCAGGCTACTGCAATAAAGTGAAGATCGCAATAAAGCAAGTCGTACAAAACTTTTGGTTTCCCGGTGCATATAAATGTTTATACTCTAAAGTAGTCTATCAAGTGTTTAACCACATTATGTCTTAAAAAACAATGTCTATACCTTGAAAATCCCGAGGGCCCTAGGATTTTCAGAATGGTAAATGAGCACTGGCTTCAACTTAGTCACCAGCCGCATTAACCGCTAACAAGAGAGTCAGCCTGTCCTTTGAGGCTTTGAGGCCAGGCACTGAGTTCTCCTCTCTAGCTAAGAAAGTCCTAGATGATATCTTCTTTTATTAGAAGGCTGTTTCACCTACATTGAAAATCTGTTGCTTAAAAAAATGCAACAATCATCTGAGCTTTCAGGAGTTGTATTCTTTTTTGATGGTCTTGGCTTGATGTTGATGGCTGCTGATCAGGGTGGTGGTTGCTGAAGGCTTGGGATGACTGTAGCAATTTCTTAAAATAAGACATCAGTGAAGTCTGCTGCATTGACTGACTCTACTTTCTATGAAAGATTTATCTGCAGTATGTGATGCTGTTTGATAGCATTTTATCTAGGGTAGAACTTCTTTCAAAATTGGAGTCAATCATATCCTTTGCCCACTTTTTGATGGGGTTGTTTTTTTCTTGTAAATTTGTTTAAGTTCTTTGCAGATTCTGGATATTAGCCCTTTGTCAGATGGGTAGATTGCAAAGCTTTTTCTCCCATTCTGTAGGATGCTTGTTCACTCTGATGATAGTTTCTTTTGCTGTGCAGAAGCTCTTTAATTAGATACCATTTGTCTATTTTGGCTTTTGTACACTTCTCAAAAGAAGACATTTATGCAGCCAACAGACATATGAAAAAATGCTCATCATCACTGGTCATCAGAGAAATGCAAATCAAAACCACAATGAGATACCATCTCACGCCAATTAGAATGGCAATCATTAAAAAGTCAGGAAAACAACAGATGCTAGAGAGGATGTGGAGAAATAGGAATGCTTTTACACTGTTGGTGGGAGTGTAAATTAGTTCAACCATTGTGGAAGACAGTGTGGCAATTCCTGAAGGATCTAGAACTAGAAATACTATTTGACCCAGCGATCCCATTACTGGGTATATACCCAAAGGATTATAAATCATGCTACTATAAAGACACATGCACACATGTTTATTCGGCCACTATTCAGAATAGCAAAGACTTGGAACCAACCCAAATGTCCATCAATGATAGACTGGATTAAGAAAATGTGGCACATATACACCATGGAATACTATGCAGCCATAAAAAAGGATGAGTTCATGTCCTTTGCAGGGACATGGATGAAGCTGGAAATCATCATTCTAAGCAAACTACCACAAGGACAGAAAACCAAACACCACATGTTCTCACTCACAGGTGGGAGTTGAACAATGAGAACACATGGACACAGGGCAGGGAACATCACACACCAGGGTCTGTCGAGGGGTGGGGGGCTGGGGGAGGGATAGCATTAGGAGAAATACCTAATGTAAATGACGAGTTGATGGGTACACAAACCAACATGGCACATGTATATCTATGTAACAAACCTGCATGCTGTGCACATGTACCCTAGAACTTAATTAAAAAAAAAATTGGAGTCAATCTCTCAAACCCTGCCACTGCTTTATCAACTACGTTTATGTAATCCTTTGTTGTCATTTCAACAATGTTCGCGACATCTTCACCAGGTGTAGATGCCATCTTAAGAAACTTCTTTATTTGCATATGGGAAGTAGTTGCTTCCATAAGAAGCAACTGCTGACACATTCAAACTTTACCATGAGATTATAGCAATTTAGTCACATCTTCAGGCTCTACTTCTGAATTCTAGTTCTCTTGCTATTTCCACCACATCCGCAGTTGCTTCCTCCACTGAAGTCTTGAACCCCTCACAGTCATCCATGAGGGTGGGAATCAACTTTTTCCAAACTTCTGTTAATGTTGACATTTTGACTTCCTCTCATGAATCACTAATGTTCTTTAATGGCATCTGGAATGGCAAATCCTTTACAGAAGGTTTTCAATTTACTCTGCCCAGATCCATCAGAGGAATCACTACCCATGACACACAGAGCATTATGAAGTATGTTTCTTAAATAATGACACTTGAACATCAAAATTAATCCTTGATCCACAGGCTGCAGAATGAATGTTATGTTGGCATGGATGAAAACAACATTAATTTCCTTGTACATCTCCATCAGAGTTCTTGGATGACTAGGGGCATTGTCAATGAGCAGTAATATTTTGAAAGGAGCAGTAGGTCTTCAACAGTGAGTTTAAAATATTCAATATACCACACTGTAAACAGATGTGCTGTCATCCAGGCTTTGCTGTTCCATTTATACAGCACAGGCAGAGTAGATTTAGTATAATTCTTAAAGACCCTAGGATTTTCAGAATGGTAAATGAGCACTGGCTTCAATTTTAAGTCACCAGCTGCATTAGCCCCTAAAAAGAGAGTCAGCCTGTCCTTTAAAGCTTTGAAGCCACGCACTGACTTCTCCTCTCTAGCTATGAAAGTCCTAGATAATATCTTCTAGTAGAACGCTGTTTCATTTATACTGAAAATATGTTGTTTAGTGCAACCACCTTCATCAATGATCTTAAGTAGGGCATCTGGATAACTTGCTGCAGCTTCTACATCAGCACTAGCTGCTTCACCTTGTGCTTTTATTTTATGGAAATGGCTTCTTTCCTTAAACTTCATGAACCAACCACTGATAGCTTCAAACTTTTCTTCTTCAGCTTCATCACCTCTCTCGGCTTTCACAGAATTGAAGAGAGTTTTGAGGCCTTGTTCTGGATTAGGCTTTGGCTTAAGGGAATGTTGCGGCTGGTCTGATCTTCTATCCAGACCACTAAAACTATCTCCATATCAGCAATAAGGCTGTTTGGCTTTCTTGTCATTCATGTGTTCACTGGAGTAGCACTTTTAATTTTCTTCAATAACTTTTCCTTTGCATTTACAACTTAGCTAACTGGCACAGGGGGTCCTAGCCTTTGGCCTATCTCAGCTTCTGACATGCCTTCCTCACTAAGCTTAATCATTTCTAGCATTCAATTTAAAGTGTGAGACATGACTCTTCCTTTCACTTGAACCCTTAGAGGCCATTGTAGGTTATCCAATTGGCCTAATTTCCATAATGATGTGTCTCAGCGAATAGGGAGGTCGAAGGAGAGGAAGAGAGACAGGGAATAGCCAGTCAATAGTCAGAACATGCACTATAGGTATGGATTAAGTTTGCTGCCTTACATGGGCACAGTTCACGGCACTCCACAACAATTTCAATAGTGACATCAAAAATCACTTATTACAGATCACCGTAACAGATATAACAGTAAAAAAAATCTGAAACATTGCAAGAATTACCGAAGTGTGACACAGAGACAAAGTGAGCACATGCTGCTGGCCAACAGACTTGGTCGATGCAGGGCTGCCACAAGCCCTTCAATTCGTAAAAAATGAAATACGTGCAAAGCACAAGAAAGTGAAGCACAATAAAATGAGGTATGCCTCTATTCAATGAAGAAATAATTCCAATCTTACACAAACTTTTTCGGAAAACAATGAAAGTATCACATTCCAATTTAAGAGGCCAGTATAAACCTAACACCAAAAGGGGACAAAAGCATTACAAGAAAATTACAGGTCAGGTTGCGGTGGCTCACTCCTGTAATCCCACCACTTTGGGAGGCTGAGACAAGAAAACTGCTTGAGTCCAGGAATTCAAGACCAGCCTGAGCAACACAGCAAGACCCCATATCTCTACAAAAAATAAAAAAATTAGCCAGGAGTGGTGGCATGAGCATGTGGCCCAAGCTACTGAGGTGGCTGAGGTGGGAGGCTTGACTGAGCATGGTAGGTTGAGGCTGTAGTGAGCCAAGACTGCAGCCTGGGTGACAGTGTGAGACCATCTCAATAAAAAAAAAAAAAAAGAAAGAAAGAAAGGAAAAAGAGAAAGAAAATTGTAGACCTATCTCTCCCTCATGAACACAGATGCAAATATTCTTAACAAAACAGTACCAAATTAGATGCAAATATTCTTAACAAAACAGTACCAAATTAGGTTAACATATGTATCAAGTAGGGTGGTAATCCAGGAACACAAAGTTGACTTAACCTTCAAACCTCAGTTATTAATAACTCAGTTATTAATATTAATATTAATAATTCACCATATAAGCAGAATGAAAAAACTAAATGATCATCAATCAATGCAGATAAAGCATTTTACAACCTCAGTATCTATTCATTGAAAAACTTTCAGTAAACTAGGACTGGAAAGAAACTTCTTCAGCTGGATAATGGATACCTATGAAAAACTATCAATATATTTAATGGTGAAATACCGGACATTTTCACCCCAATACTGGAAATAAGGCTATTATACATTTTAACCACTTCTATCCAAGGTTGGAAAGGAAGAATTAAAACTGCTCCTATTTATCAATAAGATTCCATAGAAAATCCTAAGGAATCAACAAAAATACTATTGGAGGTACTAAGTTGAGTTTCACAAGGTGTCAGAATATAAGATCTATATATGAAAACCAATCAATTCCATTTCTATAGAACTGGCAATTCCAATTCCATAGAACTGGAAAATAAACAGCTTTTCCCCCTCCGAGACAGAGTCTTGCCCTGTCGCCCAGGCTGGAATGCAGGGGTGCCTCGGGTCACTGCAACCTCCGCCTCCCGCGTTCAAGCAGTTCTCCTGCCTCAGCCACCCAAGTAACTGGGATTACAGGCGCACGCCACCACGCCCAGCTAATTTTTGTATTTTTAGTAGACACAGGGTTTCACCCTGTTGGCCAGGCTGGTCTCGAACTCCTGACTTCGTGATCTGCCCGCCTTGGCCTCCCAAAGTGCTGAGATTACAGGCATGAGCCACTGCACCCAGCCTGCTGGAAAATAAACTTTTAAAATTCCACTCATAATAGCAAAAAAGAAAAAAATCAGTTTTTTAAAGATGTACATAACCTGTATAACGAAAACAAAATGGTACTGAGAAAAAACAAGGAAAACATAAACAAATGGAAAGTTATACCATGTTCATTGCCTGGAAGCCTCAGTATATCTTAAAATGTGAATTCTCTTCAATTTAGATTCCACACAATCCATATCATAACCACAGGAGGCTTTTACTTATATAGAAATTAAGAAGATAATTTTAAATTTTAATAGGAAGGCAAAAGATCTTAGTCAAGCAGTCTTGAATAAAAAGGCAAAGCTGGAAGACATACTGACTTACTTCTGTTACTATAAAGGTACAGTAGTAATCAAATCAGTGTGTACTCATTTAAGGACAGGCAAACTTATCAATGGAAGAAAAGGGAAGAGTCCAGTAAAAAAAAAAAAAAAAATATTTATACAATTGACTTTGACAAAAGCATCAAAAATTCAATAGAAAAAGTAAAGACTTTGCAAAAACAGGCACTGGAACAACCCATACCTCATATCATACAGAAAAAACAATTCAAACTATTTGTAAAACGAAAACTATAAAGCTTTAAAAAAAATACAGGAGATATTTTAATAATCTGTAGGTTGGCAAGTATTTCTTACATAGAAACAAAAAAACACTAATAAAAGACAAATTTAATAGGATTTCATCAAAATTAAAAATCTCTGCTTATCAAAAGATCCCCCTAGGAAAATAAATAGACATGCTATAGCCTGGAGGAAAGTATGCACAACATTTATCTAACAAAGGACATGTACTGAGAATATAAGGAATCCAAACTAAAAGTAAGAGCTAAAAGTATACAACTTGTAAGAAAAAAAATAGATAAATTGGACATTATTGGCCAGGCGCGGTGGCTCATGCCTCTACCTCAACACTTTAGGAGGCCAAGGCAAGCGATCACCTGAGGTCAGGAGTTCAAGACCAGCCTGGCCAACATGGTGAAACCCTATCTCTATCAAAAATACAAAAATTAGCCGAGCGTGGCAGCACATGCCTGTAGTCCCAGCTACTCGGGAGGCTGAGGCAGAACTGCCTGAACCTGGGAGGCAGAGGCTGCAGTAAGTCAAGATGGCACCACTGCGCTCCAGCCTGGGCAACAGAGCGAGACTTTGTCTTAAAATAAGAAAGTAAGTAAGTAAATAAGTAAAATAAAAAGATAAATTGGACATTGTCAAAGTGAAAAATTTACGTGTTTCAAAGAACACTGTCAAGAAAGCAAAAAGACACACCTGTAATCCCAGCATTTGGGAGGCTGAGGCAGGCAGATCATTTGAGGCCAGGAGTTGAGACCAGCCTGCCAACAAGGCAAAACCCCATCTCTATTAAAAATACAAAAAAATTAGCCAGACGTGGTGATGCCTGCCTGCAGTCCCAGGTACTTGGGAGGCTTAGACACGAGAATCGCTTGAGCTGGGGAGGTGGAGGTTGCAGTAAGCCAAAATCGCGCCACTGCACTCCAGCCTGGGCAACAGAGTGAGGCTCTTGATCTCCAAAAAAAAGAAAAGAAGAAGAAAAAAAGAAACCAAAAAGAGAATACAAAGCCTAGAAATAAATCCATACATTTACGCTCCTTAACATAGATCCCAAAAACATACAATGAAGAACAGTCTCTTTAATAAATGGTGGTGGGAAAACTAGATATCCACAGGCAGAAGAATGAAATCATAGCCTCATCTCATACCATACATGAAAATCATTACGTTAGAAATTATTGCTGGGTGATGGCCGGGCACAGCAGCTCATGCCTGTAATCCCAGCACTTTGGGAGGCCGAGGCGGGTGGATCATGAGGTCAGGAGATTGAGACCACCCTGGCTAACACAATGAAACCCCGTCTCTACTAAAAATACAAAAAATTAGCCAGGCATGGTGGTAGGCGCCTGTAGTCCCAGCTACTTGGGAGGCTAAAGCAGGAGAATGGCATGAACCCAGGAGGCGGGGCTTGCAGTGAGCCAAGATCACACCACTGCACTCCAGCCTGGGCGACAGAGTGAGACTCATCTCAAAAAAAAAAAAAAAAAGAAATTATTGCTGGGTGATTTATGAGAATTTGTTGTACTATTCCGCTTTAGTTTGAAACTTGCTTTAAAAAAGACCATGTATTTTACAACATTTCCACTATACAGCTGAGCAAAAACCAGAAAGATAAGACAAATTTTATTTTTCCTCTAGAAAACAGGTTTTCATTTGAAGAAATTTAGACAGAAGTAATAAGAGCCAGTTAGGTTTCTTTTGGTTAATTTTTAGCAACCTGAAAAAATTTTAGATAGGCTACCTTAATGTCCTAATATTTTCTAAATCACTAATTCCCAGCTTCAAAGGAACAATTAGAAGACAAAACCATCTGGTCACCTGTTTGCGTAACAATTCTTCCTGCTTCCGCCTTTCTTCCTCTTCTCTTCTCCTCTCTTCCAGTCTTCTAAGAGCTTCTTCTTGCTGCTGTCTTTCTTCCTCTTCTCGCTGTCGCCTTAATGCAATTTCTTGCTCCCGCTGGCGACGCAGAGCCTCTTCCTAAGGAAAAAAGATGGAGGGTGGGGGGTGGGGGAGGGACTCAGGTCTATCATTCAATTTATTATGTCATATTTGGAAAGTAATAGGCTATCTGCTGCTAAGACTCTGTTAAACAGTAAACATAAAAGTAATCATGATCTGGAGTAAAAAGTATACATGTAAATTGGGGAATTGGACGCATTACAATGAAAAGAAAATTGAATTTAAAATATTAGCAGTTAAATTACAATAAACTGTGAAGTCTACCCTGGTTTCTATATTAGCTACATCATTTACTGATTAACCGTAGAAAGAGCTACATTAGAAGTATAGCTTTGTTTCTCCACTGGTATCTTTAATCCCTATTTTTTTAATTAACTGGGAACTTAAGGCATAGAGAGGGCAAATCAACATAGCCACCAAAAATTTGGGGTAAGATAAGTTCTCCCAGTCAGAAGTAATGAGTAAAGCCATGTGTCCCAGAACGTGTTCTGAAGATCAAAAGTCCCACCAATACTATTAAGTATTACACAGAAAGAAGTCCCATTGTTGAGATCATTTATAGAAAACTGCGCAACACAGAACTAAACATACTTTTTTACTGCAATAATCCTTAGAGCCTCTATATGCTGCAGTATAGTGTGACTCTAAGAATTAACCGTAGTTCTCATTTCATCTCAGCATGGATCTTTTTTGTTTTTCAAAGAGCACCTCTTGGGGCCAAAAAGTAGGCAACAAGTGGTAAAGGCTAGACTGTGGGGCTATTAAAAGAGTGGATCCTTTCAAGTGAAGCTAGGAAAACCCCAATGGAAAAATGAGCCAAGCACATGAATGGTGAATTCCCCCCAACAACAAAAAAAGAAAAAGAAAAAAAAAGACCAAAAAATATTAAAAGTATATACCTCGCTGGTTATAAATCCTTAAGCAAAGACTTAACTACAAGGACTTTCATTCGAACACTTATCTAACAATGAAGAACTGGAAACAACCCTCATGTCCAACAATAGGGAATTGGTCAACTTATTATAATTTACTTATAAAATGAAATTTAATACAGCTAGCAAATATGATGATGTAGATTTTTAGATACACATTTGACATGGAAAGATGACATAATTCATGTCAAAAGGAGGGCTATAAAACACAAGTACAAATAATATATACCTCCAGCCTGGGTGACAGAGTGAGACTCTGTCTCCAAAAAAATAAAAAAAAAGAAACCAAAAAGAGAATACAAACCCCAGAAATAAATCCACACATTTATACTCAATTGATTTTTGACATAGATGCCACAAACACACAATGGGGGAAACGACAGTCTCTTTAATAAATGGTGGTGGGAAAACTGGATATCTATAGGCAGAAGAATGAAGTCAGACCCTCATCTCACACCACATACAAAAATCATTACATTCAAAATTATTGCTGGGTGATTTCTGTCTAAATTTCTTCAAATGAAAACCTACTTTCTAGGGGAAAAATAAAATGTGTCTTATCTTTCTGGTTTCTGCTCAGCTATATTGTGGAAAATGTTGTAAAGCAAATATACGTGTAGAGTTTGTTTTTGCTCCCTATTTAGAAACACTAAAATAGAGAGAAAAGGTTCATTAAGGGAAAGAATAAAGAGAAGGCAGAAGTCTTAGCCAAAGATACTTTTTTAAAGTACATTTGAATGGTCAATAAGCATGTGAAAAGATGCCCAACAACACTAATCATTAGGGAAATGTAAATCAAAACCACAATGAAATATCACTTGATGCTCATTAAAAGTGTCATTATCAAAAAGAAACAAAGCAAAAGCAAAAAAATAAAATAACAAGTGTTGGTGAGAATGTGGAGACACTGGGAACAGCTGTGCCTTGTCAGTAGGAATATAAAGTGGTGCAGCAGCTGTGGGAAACAATACGGCAGTTCTTCAAAAAATTCAAAAGAGAATGACCATATGATCCAGCAACTCCACTTCTAGGAAAGTGTTGAAAGCAAGGACTCAAACAGGTATCTATACACCCGTGTTCACAGCAGCATTATTCACAATAGCTAAAACGTGGAAGTCATCTAAATGTCCATCAACAGAGGAATGGATAAACAAAATAGGAATGGATAAACACACAATGGAATATTATTCAACCTTTTTAAGAAAGGAAATTCAGATATATGCTACAATATGAATAAACCTTAAGTGAAATAAGCCCAACACAAAAAGACAAATACTGTATAATTCTACTTACATAAGAAATTGAGTTAGTTTAAATTCACAGACACAGAAAGAAGAATGGTGGTTACTAGGAGCTATGGATGGAGGGAGTGGGGCTCCTTGTTTAATGGATATGCAGTTTCAGTTTGCAAAGTTGGAGAAGTTCTACAGACATGTTTGTGAGGGTTGCACAGCAATATGAATGAATATACTTAACACCACTGAAAGTACACTTAAAATGGTAAATTTTATGTTATGTATATGTTAGCACAATTTTTTTAAAGCCCATGTAACTTTTAAAATTTGACATTTAATGCTGCACATCAAAGTTACTTTCTCATTGTTTTTAGATGCAAGGACAGAACTTCTGAAATCTAACTGGTTTATAAAACTCTAGGAAATATGCAAAGAATATCAATTCTAGTGGTTTACTAGGACTGAAGAATATCCCTACAGTGGGTGTTGGTGAAAAACAGAGATTCTTTCCAAAGGTGAGTGAGTCTTCTAAGGTTCTAACCCCAATCCTGTGGACTTCAGGAGTATCTGTGAAATGATGAAAGAAAGCAGCCTGAAAGCCCTCATCAAGCACTAATCCTATGGTCAGAGTTCCCAGATACATACCTGTTTCCTTCGGGCAAGTTCTTCTTCCTCTCGCCTTTTCCTTTCTTCTTCCTGCTGTCGCCGAAGAATTTCCTCCTGTTGTCTTCGGAGTTCTTCCTGCCTCTTTCGCTCTTCCTCTTCCCGTTTTGCCCTCATTTCTGCCTCTCTTCTCTCTTGCTCTAGCTGTGATTACACAAGAGTACTCTTAGAAACTTGAAACCAAGCACAGGAACACTCCGAAAGCACTGACCAGTAGTATTCGTTCATTCAATCAGCTGCTTGTACCGTACTGCACTGCAACCAGGTGATCCAACAGATCAATAGATAAACAAAATATGTTATATACATACAATGGAATATTAATACTATTCAACCTTTAAAAGGAAGGAAATTCTGACATACGCTACAACATCAACACCCTGTAAGAGCTCTAAGCTGTGACATATCACAGTAATTAGAAGAATTTTATGACTGTCTCAATTGAATGCACTTTCCTCCCACCTGTACTTGCCTCCACACTCCACGTTACCATTATACCACCCATGAGAGTAACATCAGAATGCTCTTGGATGGTACTTCTTTACTCATCCCTACAAATAACTTTCTGATTGAACATTTAACAGTGTGGCTATAACGTTTTAACAGCAATGTTGTATGAACCTTTCCACATTCTGGGAACTCTAAGGAGACTGTCACGACCTCAGGGGATAAGAATGCATTAAGTATAAAACAGCAACAACACTCTCTTGTACGCCTGAGAACCTAGAAATCATTACAATGACACTAGGTATTGATGTAGACATTCTTTTCTGGCAAGTACTAAAACCAAAATTCAAGATTTAGCTCTTCCAAAAAATGTGAATGGAACACACAATCTAATGTTAATGTCGGGCTTTTTGGCTGCTACGTCTGAGGATACTAAGAAATATAAACAAATACCACTACAAAGATTCAATGGGAGAACTCATGCCACATATCAGGAGTCTCATAAACAATGTAGTGGATATTTTCTCACATTCTTGTTACTTATAACAAATGTTCATACCATGAATAATGTTACCTAAAATATATATGTGTCTATAATCAACAATGTGCCAACTAACCAAACCAAACATAGTAATTTAAATTCTGTTTTGAGTTTTTTTTTTTTGGGAGAAGAGAGCACAGTAAAGATACAATATGAATGTACTTATACCAGCTAAGCAGCAGTAAACTGAAAGTAAAAAGCATAGCTAGCTAGAGAGATGAATAAACAGCAATGTTTATGTCCTGCAGCCAGATGACAATGCACTGTTGCAGAAGAATGAGTTTCAGACCTTTGCAGCTTTGGCCTTCTCTAGCTGCTGAAGCTGTTCCAGGGCAGGGCCTGGTGTCGTGGTGTCCAGAGGAAGATCCCATACACTACCACCTTCCCAAACTGTAAGACAACAAAAGAAACAACGAGGAATGACAGAGCTTACACACATGGTGACATATCCGTAGGAATCATGAAAAAAGCTGCTTCCCTGTGCCTAAATGAGCTCCACCAAACACATCTGTTTTGCCTCTGAGAAGACTGAACTGCCAATGGACTCTAGTTTCTGTGAATATCCTTCAACACATCTAGAATGAAGGGAAGTACCAGGCATTTATCAGGGAATTAACTTCATCCTTACAAAGCCCTATAATGTTTCTATTCATACCCCCATTTTTACAGATGAACAAACTAAGGGTCAGAAGTAGTTTCTAACACTCCCAAGGGCACATGGCAAGCATGTGGTCATGCCAGGATTTAAATCCCAGTGTATTACACTCCAAAGCACATAGATTTCCAGCAACCTTACAGCCTCTCACTGCACACCAACTAGAGAGAAGTAGGTGGTTGCACAACATTGTGAATGCCACTGAAGTATTCACTTTAAAATGGTTAATTTTGTGTTAAATGAATTTCATCTCAATAAAGAGGGAGTGCAAGTAAGCATTACAGCTGGAGCTGTGGAGACCTCTGGAAAGGCCAGGCAGGTCTTACAAGTGAGACCTGGTCCTGCTAACCTGAAGGGCACTGCAAGATCACATTTGGAAGTAAACAAACAGATAATGGTTTCTGAGTTCAT
Organism: Homo sapiens; assembly: GCF_000001405.40. NCBI lineage: Eukaryota > Metazoa > Chordata > Mammalia > Primates > Hominidae > Homo > Homo sapiens. The sequence continues at coordinate 232,814,960 of NC_000002.12, read as the reverse complement.
TTTCCTATTGCCAGCGAAGTTTTCTAGCACCACTTTTCAGCATTCTCTAATTTCTACATTCCTATCATAGTCTATTTATACACCATCAAATATTGTCTGTATAAAACCAATGGACTATTTTTAAAGGAACTTGACTGCATATAAACCCAAAGAGATAAATTGTTTAATACAGTACTTAAAAGTTTCCAAAACACTACAGAATACAGGTTGTGGATCCATTATCCAAAATGCTTGGGACCAGAAGCATTTCAAATTTTGGATTTTTTCAGATTTTGAAATATTTGCATATACATAATGAGCTATCTCTGGGATAAGATCCAACATAAAATTTATTAATCTTTCATATACACTTTATAGACATAGCCTGAAGGTACTTTTTTTTTGGGGGGGGGGGGTTTGAGGTGGAGTCTCACTCTGTCACCCAGGCTGGAGTGCAGTGGCGTGATCTCGGCTCACTGCAACCTCCGCCTCCAGGGTTCAAGCGATTCTCCTGCCTCAGCCTCCGGAGTAGCTGGGATTACAGGTGCCCGACACCACACCTGGCTAATTTTTTTTTATTTTTAGTAGAGATGGGGTTTCACCATCTTGGCCAGGCTGGTCTCGAACTTCTGACTTCGTGATCCACCCACCTCGGCCTCCCAAAGTGCTGGGATTACAGGCGTGAGCCACCACACCCAGCCAGCCTGAAGGTAGTTTAATGCAACATTTTTAAATAATTTGAGGCATGAAAAAAATGTTTGTGTTAAGTATTTACGTGTAAAATTGTCCAATCATGGGTTGGGCACCATGTCTCATGCCTGTAATCCTAGCAGTTTGGGAGGCAGAGGCAGGCGGATCACTTGAGGCCAGGAGTTTGAAATCAGCCTGGCCAACGTGGTGAAACCGTCTCTACCAAAAATACAAAAATTAGCCAAGCGTGGTGGTGGGTGCCTGTAATCCCAGCTACTCGGGAGGCTGAGGCAGGGGAATCTCTTGAACCCAGGAGGCAGAGGTTGCAGTGACCCGAGATTGTGCCACTACACACCAGCCTCAGCAACACGGCAAGACTCTGTCTCAAAAAAAAAAAAAAAAAAAAAAAATCCACTTGTGAAATCATGTCAATGCTCAAAAAGTTTTAGATTTTGAACCATTTTGGATTGTGGACTTTTGGATTAGGGATGGGTACTCAACCTGTATTCTTAACATCCTAACTATAAACGGCTATCAAGAAAAAATAAGGTACAAACAGCATGGAAAGTCGATGAGGGAAGACAATCATCCTTCTGCAATAATCTGCGGGGTCAGTGTTAACAACAGAACCATGACCTGAATGGCTCAACAGCTCTAGAAAAACTCCACCAAGGCCTATAGTTCTTGAGGATCTTCAACACCAACTATAATCTCTTGAAAGGACTACCCATGGACCAAACTATCCATCTCTGCAAGTATTTAGACCATAAGAAACAGAGGTGCTCGGCTGGGCGCAGTGGCTCACACCTGTAATCCCAGCACTTTGGGAGGCCAAGGTGGGCGGATCACTTGAGGTCACTTTGAGACCAGACTGGCCACAATGGTGAAATCCTGTCTCTACTAAAAATACAAAAATTAGTCAGGTGTGATAGCGTACACCCAGTCAGGTGTGATAGCGTAATTAATCCCAGCTACTTAGGAGGCTGAGGCAGAAGAATCGCTTGAACCTGGGAAGCAGAGGTTGCGATGAGCTGAGAACGCACCACTGCACTCTAGCCCGGGCAACAGTGCAAGAGTCTGTCTCAAAAAAAAAAAAAAAAAAAAGAAAGCAAAGAAACAGCGGTGCTTCACCCATACCAAGACTTAAAATAATCTCAACCCCAAATTTTCTAATTTGATGTAAAAATATAAAAATGAGAAAAGGTGCTCAATTCATAGCAGGTTTTTCTTTTCCCAAAATTTCTGGGTACCTACAGTGTTTGTTAACACCAATTACTTTTTTTTTTTTTCTTTCTTAGAGTTTTGCTCTGTTGCCCAGGCTGAAATGCCTTGGCATGATCATAGCTCACTGCAGCCTGGAACTCCTGGGCTCAAGTAATCCTCCCATCTCAGCCTCCTGAATAGCTAGCACTACAGGCACACACCACCATGCCTAGCTTGTATTAATTCCTAACTCAAAAGAATAGGTCACCATTACTATGTTTTTATGTATGCTTTTTTTCCCGATCTGGCTAAAGAGATCGAAAATAATTTAAATGATTTTTCCACACTGATCAGAACAACATAAAAGAGATGCTGACTCAAAAAAAAATCCACTAAATAAATTCAAACAAATCCTTAAAAGTATATTTTCAGTAACACCTTCAATATTGCTTGGATCTAGTAAAAAATGGACCTTTTGTTAATATCAAATACAAAATGGATTCAGAAACCTAATATATTTTTTAAGAACTGAATTGTAAAATTATTATTAGACTCTGAATCCTCAGAGTGGTACTAAAGGTTAATCTAAGTTTTTACCTGTAGGCTGTGAAGCTGTTGGCTGAAGCTCCCAGATAGAGCCAGTATCTGGCACGGACACAGACCTAGTTACTGAGGGAATGATGTTCTGATCAGATATTCTGCAAAAGGGAAATAAAAAATTAACTTGTTCTTGTCATTTGCAGGAAAAAAAAAAAAAGATGAAGAGGAATTTCTAGATTAGCAGGTTCTCCAGGTTATTTGGCTAGAAAACGCCTTCACTCTTTTACTAAAACTTAACACTACCAAAGCAGTTTGGGGTGGAACAAAGAGAAGGGCACAATGATCACACTTCTGGAATCCTCTATGGTAATACATATTGACTTCTAAATGATGGATATACCCACTGTATATCTATATCTTAAAAGATATGTATATCTTAAAGATACTGTATATCCGTATCTTAAAAAACCCAGATCATCTCAATAGAAGTCACAGAGACAGCATATTATAATGAAAAAAGGTCTGCATTTTAGTTCTGAGTTTCCTGTGTGTTACATTAATCAAGTCCTACAGCCTCTCAGAGTCCCAGTTTGCCCATCCATAAAATGGAGCTCCTACCACCTAAACTGCCTACCTCATGGGATGGGTTAAGGCTCAAAAGAAATATAAACAGTTTTGGCTTAATGAGACAATAAGATTTTTAAGAGCAGTGACTGATACTTGTTCAGGAGAAATATTACTCTGAACGATAATCTGAAACAGCAGAAATTTCTTCTAGACTTCTAGCATAATTTCCTTTTCCTTAGACCTACCTTAATGGCTTCTGAGTTCTAGAAAATTACAACCTTTTGTGGTGTGGCTAATACTTTGAGATACTATGAGTAAAAGTGAAATTAAAATCCTAGGCTACAGTTTTTCTGTCGCAGGTTCCACAAGATGACACTGTTTCTCAAGAGTTCCCATTATTCTTTGGTCTTTTGATTAATCAAAATTTATATCTATGAGTAAAAGACCAAATAAACGCTTATCTCCACCTGAAATATTTTTTTAAAATATACTTTTTTACATACAACATGCAGGTATGTGTTGGGAGTGTTCCAGTGCCAGAAATCACACACTATACCAGAATTTCTCCTTTCTTCTCTTTCTTTCACAACACATGCACCCCATATGACACATAATGGAATGACCACCAACCTCATCTTCAAGGTCTGAAACTGTTGAAGAAGAAGTGCCAACTGCTGCTGCTGCTGGGAAGACAGTGCTGCTTTCTGCTGTTGGGCCAAAACCTGTGCATATTGTTGTCTTCAAAAAGTAAAAAAAAAAGTATAACCTGTCAATCCACACTTAGTTCACATGGCTGAGATGCTGAAAGACAAAGTTCAATTCAAAGCCCCCCAGGAGACATTATTAGAAATAGCTATCAAATATATTTTATAATTCTTCATTATGATAATAGACACATAGAAAATTCTATGCTTCATTCTAGAAAGAACTGAACTCATAGATGGCGTGTTTCCGAGTGAAAGAGGATAGCAAAAAAATTCACAATTCAGTGCAAAGTGGTCTATTCAGAGAAAATATTTTTAAAATCACGAATGTCAAAAATTGGTAAACTCCAAAGATAACCTTTTATCAGAAATCAAATGAAAAATGAAACAGATTCAAATTAGTAGCTTTAACCATATGACGTACCCTTTGTAAAAAATGTAACACTTCTATAAAAATTCATACATTGATCGTCTTCAACTTGGAAAAATTTAGGTAATTTTTCTTCACTAGATCAGGGTTAAACTTTTGTAATGGGCCAGAGAGTAAATAGTTTCATCTATGCAGCTCATATACTCTCTGTTGCAACTACTCAATTCTGCCATCATAAGGCAAAAGCAGCAATATACATCCTACAAACCAACAGGTGTGTCTGTTTCAGTAACACTTTGCTTATAAATATAAAAATAGAGAGCAGGCCAGATTTAGCCCAAAGGTCAGACTTTGCCAACCTCTGCACCACAAGAACAGCAAATCTTATTTCTTCTACAAAAAGGACATAACAAAACCTGACTGACTTTGCCATCATTCCACACCACTCCTAAAATAATTAACTTTAACTTCTTTCCCACCCTCTCGCTTATATACATATATATTTTTTTTCCTCTGTGGCATTCAAAGCTGAGCCACTCAGGAGGCACTTAGAAACTAAAGAGCTTACAAAATTAAAGTTATGTGTCATCTTCTAAACTTCTGGTATTTAAAAGTAAGATAAGCCAGGAGTGGTGGTTCATGCCTGTAATCCCAGCACTTTGGGAGGCGAGGCAGGCAGATCACTTGAGGCTGGGAGTTCGAGGCCAGCCTCGCCAACACAGTAAAACCCCATCTCTACTAAAAATACAAAAATAGGCTGGGCGTGGTGGCACACGCCTGTAGTCCCAGCTACTCAGGAGGCTGAAGCACGAGAATCAATGGAACCAGGAAGGCAGAGGTTGCAGTGAGCCGAGATCATGCCACTGCACTCCAGCCTGGATGACAGAGTGAGGCTCTGTCTCAAAAATAAATAAATAAATAAATAAATGACAACACTAAAATTAGAAGGTATGGTGGCAAGACGCCACTAGCTGGGTGACTGAAGTGCCATATAAGCCGTTAGTCCTCTCTACTGTAAAAGGTGAGACTTGAGAGCAGATTCTATTTAAAGTCCTTTTTCATGCTGCAGTACATCCTACTGCATTACTCTTCTTACTGTATTAAAAACTGCTGGTACTGCAGGTGCTGCATCTGGTATAAGGCTGTGAGTTCTTGCTGCCTGGTCAGTCGTTCCTGGTCCAGCTCTCCCTAGGAATGAAGTGGTGAGGAAATAAATACCATTAAATAAACTGCAAAGAACCTAAAAGCCACTTAGTACAGGTATCTGAAATCAAAATGAATCTAAGACCTTTACCTCCCAGCTCTACCCTTTTACCCAAACACTTGAATAAAAACTCAGACATCTTTAAAAACTAAACAACACCATCTAGTGGAAACAGTGGTGTCAATATTACAAAAGATTCCCTAAGGTGAGAAAGGGTCCTTATTTCAGCTGCCATTCTCCATTCCTGCCCTTAAAGCTGAATGTTCAACTGTACTTCAGAGTTATTACTGTAACTGAAAGACTGTATAATTAGATAATGTAGAAATTAGAGAAACTGGATATAACACAGAAAAATGTAAAAGTATCTAAAGGTCAAAGGAAATGTTACAGAATTTTATAATGGTATATAAGGAATGCAGGGAGCCAGTATGTATCTTAAAGATGTTAAGAATATAAAAAGAGGCCGGGCGTGGTGGCTCACACCTGTAATCCCAGCACTTTGGGAGTCCAAGGCAGGCGGATCATGAGGTCAGGGGATTGAGATCAGCCTGGCCAACATGATGAAACCCCGTCTCCACTAAAAATACAAAAATCAGCTGGGTGTGGTGGCACATGCCTGTAGATCCACCTATTCAGGAGGCTGAGACAGGAGAATCACTTGAACCTGGGAGGCAGAGGTTGCAGTGAGCCTAGACTGCGCCACTGCACTCCAGCCTGGGTGACAGAGCAAGACTCCGTCTCAAAAAAATATATATATATGTATGTATATATGTATATGTATGTATATAAACTTTGATAACTATAACTCTCTCCCCCAAAATAAACTGTTTCTGTTGCTATTAATACATCATGAATTAGAAAAAATAAGTTGTAGTAAAATAAAACCAATTTTTTAGCTTATATGTGAAATAATATGACTGGAATTTAAATTATAAAAAGTTAAAATTAGGAGAAAGAAACATGAAGTATAAGATAACAGAAGTAAAAGTGTAAGTATGACAGACTAAATAGGTAAATCATGAGTTTATATCTTTATTATATATTGATTATAGTTTGAAATAAGATACTTGATACACAATTTCTTAGGGTAGGGATTACCTGAAATTCAGAGACGTTTTTCTTGCTTTTCGATACTGGAGGATAGCTACTACCTTAGGTTCATCTAAAATGTCTACATGAAAAACTAAGTTTCAAGGTATACATTCATCATGAAGTGGGGCTCTCTTCTTATCAACAATATTCAGGTCAAAGACAATGACAGACAGGAAGCAGGGCTTTGCACAGTTTCCCTCCTATGCAGGTATGACTGAGGCTCAGCTCCTCTAACCGGAAACTGGGAAGTGGACTACTCCAAGTATGCCAAGATCCAAGAGATGAGCTTTTAGCTTCTGAGATGTGTAAGATCAAAACTCATCTTAATTTCAGAGAAGGGAAATAAGGCTTAAACTTGATATATAAGTTAAATTTACATGCTGCAATACACAGTATAATTTTTCTTGTGACTTAAAACAACTAGGATGGTGTGAGAAATAATTCCTCTCACCTAGGAATCTTCCATTCTAGACCACTGCTCTCCACAAACTATAGGTCTCAACACATTAGTGGATTGTGAAATCAAATACTGGGTTAAGATCAACATTTAAAAGAAACAAAATGGAAAAAAAGCCACTTTCCTCACCTACACACTCCCTTGACTACAGAGGCTAGGTCTTGCTCATCTTCATCTCCTAAGAACCTACTACGAGGCCTGGCACAGGCCCTCAATATACAATTGATGAATAAGTCAATGGTGACTTTACTGTAGAAATGCAGTGTCCACACTAAAGGTTTATTGGCTGGGTGCAGTGGCTCATGCCTAAAATCCAGCACTTTGAAAGGCCAAGGTGGGAGGACCACCTGAGCCCAGGAGTTTGAGACTGACCTGGGCAACATGGCGAGACTCCATCTCTTTAAAAAGAAAAAAAAAGGTTTATGGTAACTTTTAACTACAGCCCGTCACCAGACAGTCCAACCTGGAGAAGAAAAAATGAGGTACAGGTGAAAGACCTCCAAAAGGAACACTACTGAGAGGGTCCAAGAGCAGCCCAAGAGGAAGAAGGGTTTCCCTGCCAACAGTACCCCAGTGTCAGAGCCCTAGAAAGATCACTACTAGCATTACGGTTCCTTTTATTATTTTTTTTTGAGACAGGGTCTCACTCTGTTGCCCAAGCTGCAGTGCAGCGGTGCAATCACAGCTCACTGCAGCCTCAACTTCCTAGGCTCAAGTGATCATCCCATCTCTGCCACTGATTGCCACCATACCCGGCTAGTTTTTTATCATTATTATTTCATTACTATTTGTAGAGACAGGTCTCACTTCGTTGTCCAGGGTGATTTTAAACTCCTGGGCTCAAGCAATCCTCTAACTCTGGCCTCCCAAATCCCTCCCACACCAGGATTACAGAAGTGAGCCAATGTGCCCGGCCATGGTTCCATTTTTTAATTAAAATACCAGTAACTAATTTTTTTAAGCCCTAAAAATATTGTGAAGCACTGGTAACATTTATTTTAAGGCAAACCTCAAATTTAGAAACTTTATGAATGAGAAGGCAAGAGGCAAATGAAGTGGAAGAGAGGGGAATGTTTATTCTAACTAGAGGAAGCAAAGAAAGTCAAAGAGGTCAACTGTGTTGAAGCCTAGCAGATAAAGGTAAAAGCTCTGAAATGAGCTTAGAAAGGTAAGGTGCCAGGCATTGCAGGACCTCGTAGGTAGGCCAGGATAAGATGTTGGTCTTCATTCTACATCTGCTGGAATGCTACTGAAGGATTCCGTTTCCCTGTTGGGGAGGAGCTGGGGTGTGAAGAGGATGGGCACAGGTTATTCGAGTTTTGAAAAGATCATTATAGCTAAGTATTCAGTCTTCCATTCAGACTTTCCCTTACCATTTCCATTAATTTCAAAGAACTACAATTCCTTCATTAGATGATATATTTGGGTTGTGTTTTCAAAGAGAATCAAGTGTTTCCGTGACTAATATGTATTCCAGGTGAGGTGAAAGGTACTTACCATATGAGGAGGGGGAGCTGGACCTGGAGAAAAGGGAACCCTTCCCCACATTTTCATGATATCGCCAAGAGGTTGGAAGCTTTCATCACACGCTCTCTTCACCAATAAAGACATAGTAAAATAGCCCGCCTGAAACCATTCTGCCATCTCCTGATTATTGAAGGGACCTATAACAGCACCAATTAAACAGAAAGACAATAAGAAACCTTTCAGACTCAAAGAGAAAAAAAATATTTCCTGCATCTGATTCTCATCGAGGTGGCATCTGTCAAAATGTTTTATACTATCTAATTTAATTCACCTCTAAAGGTAGCTAACAGATTTCTAACTACTAAAATAATTTTTAAATAAAGTCTGTGTTTATACATCCCAAATTATCAGCAGCACTTCAATTATAAGGAGCATAACTGTCTCTATCTCAATCTCTACAACAATTCATGTGTCAGTAAAGTATGATACAATTGAAGAGTTAACTATTTACTAGACTTTGTATCATTTAGGCGTAAAGAATATAAACATGCAGGGCTGAAAACGTTCTCCAATTTTCATTTTCTGCCATAGATTAGCGAAAGTGGGGCAAAATGTAAACAATAATTAAGACAAATTATAATTCGCTCTCTGATCTTGGTAGTGGGGAAAAAACGAGTATTCTCTAAATGTTTTATAATATGAAATAATCAAGTATTTTATATACATAAATAACATACAAATTCACTCTGATTAAAAACCATTAATTCATTCAACAAATATTTACTGAACATTGATGATATATGACATAGACAGTAGGGATATGGCAATAAATAAAGCAAAGCCCTGGAACTTCCACTTCAGAAAATGAAGTAGATGTACTTTTCCCTATTCCTCCTCTAAGCACAACTGGAAACCCTGGACATTGTATTAATATATAAAACAAATAACACTGAAAGGTGGAGAGAAAAAGGCAGGCTAACTAGGGGTCTCAGTGATGACATGATCGTGAATTCCCTGTTTTTTCTTTTTATCGCATATATCACAGATTTGGAGATGAAGAAGCCAGCAACCAGAACACATGACCTAATAGTATGCTATCTACAAGAAAGTCACACAAAATATAACAAAGTAGGCAGACTGAGGAGAGAAAAAGATATATCATGCAAATATTAACTTAAAGTAAGTTATATTCATGTTTGATAAAGTTGACTTCAGAGCAAAGAAAATTATCAGAGACAGACAGATGTAATAAAGAAGGGTCAATACACATAGAAGATGCAGGAATTGTAATATGTATGCACCAAACAACAAAGCTCCAAAATATACAAAACAGGATCTGACAGAACTGAAAAAAAGAAACAGACAAATCCACAAATTGAAGACGTAACCACCACGTGATAGACCAACTAGCAGAAAATCTGCAAGATTACAGAATTCAACAAAACCATCAACCAACAGAAGTGAAGTGACTTTACAGAACATTCCAAATATAGAAAAATACATATTCTTTTCAACTACCCACAGAACATACAGCAATAACAGACCACATTTGGGGCAATAAAACAAACATAAAAAGATTTTTAAAAATTAAAATCATATTCAGTGTATACTGCTCGAGTGATGGGTGTACCAAAATCTCACAGATCACCACTAAATAACTTACTCATATAACCAAATATCACCTGTTCCCCAAAAACCTATGGAAATAAAAAAAAATCACATATAGTATGTTTCTTTGACCACCAAGAATCAAGCTAGAAATCAATAAAAGAAAAATAACAGAAATCTTCCAAATACTTAGAAACCCAAAAATATACTTCAAAATAATCCATGGGTAAAAGAGGGAGTCTCAAGGGAAATTAAAATACACACAACGGAATGAAAATAAAAATACAGGCTGAGCACAGCAGTTCACGCCTCTAATTCCAGCATTTTAGGAGGCCAAGGTGGGTAGATCACCTGAGGTCAGGAGTTCGAGACCAGCCTGGCCAACATGGTGAAACCTTGTCTCTACTAAAAAATGCAAAAATTAGCTGGGCATGGTGGCGCATGCCTGTAGTCCCAGCTACTTGGGAGGCTGAGGCAGGAGAATCGCTTGGACCTGGGAAGCAGAGGTTGCAGGGAGCCGAGATCGCGCCACTGCACTCCAGCCTGGGTGACAGAGTGAGACTCCATCTCAAAAAAAGGATAAATATGACTGTCTATGTAAAATCTCAAGGAAACTACCCAAAAAAACAGAAAACAAAAAGAACTCCTTGAGCTAATAAATGAGCTCATTTACTATCACTGAAAAAAAAAAAAAAAAACTGAGATGCTCAGATGTAAATCTACATGTACAGAATGCATGCTGAAAACTACGCAACACTGATGAAAGAAATCAAAGATCTAACAACACAGATAGACATACCAAGTTCATGAACTAAAAGACTAACATGGTAAAGACATCAAGTCTTCTCAAACTGATAGAGAGGTTTAACATAATTCCTATCAGAATCTCAGCAAGATTTTTAGTAAATACGGACAAAATTATCCTAAAAATTTTTATGGAAAGGCGAAGGAAATACAAAGCTAAAAAAAAATTTTTTTAAAAGAAGATTAAACTGGGAAGAATCAGTCTACCCAATTTCAAGACTTATTATACAGCTACAGTAATCAAGATTGTACAGTACTGGTGAAGGAAGAGACAGTGATCTATGGGACAAAATTAAGAAGCAGAAATAGGCCTGTAATCCCAGCACTTTGGGAGGCGGAGGCGGGTGGATCATGAGGTCAGGAGATCGAGACCATCCTGGCTAACAAGGTGAAACCCCGTCTCTACTAAAAATACAAAAAATTAGCCGGGCGCGGTGGCGGGCGCCTGTAGTCCCAGCTACTCGGGAGGCTGAGGCAGGAGAATGGCGTGAACCCGGGAAGCGGAGCTTGCAGTGAGCCGAGATTGCGCCACTGCAGTCCGCAGTCCGGCCTGGGCGACAGAGCGAGACTCCGTCTCAAAAAAAAAAAAAAAAAAAAAAAAGAAGCAGAAATAGAAACAGACCCACAAAGAAATAGACCCACACAAATATGCTTAACTAAATTTTGACAAAGGTGAAAGAAAACAATTTAAGAGAGAAAAGACATTCTTGGTCCCGAAGCAAACGGACACTCATTGAGAAAACAACAACAAAAAACAACTAGCTTATATGAAAATTAATTTAAAATGGACCATGAACTTAAATGTAAATTATAAAAACTATAAAATTTTTCCACACACACACAAAAAAAACCATTGGCATCTAAAGCTAGGCAAAGTGTTCTTGTTAAACTTAATACAAAAAAGAACAACCTATAAAAGAAAAACATTTATCTATTGGATTAATCAAAATTTACACCTTTTTGCTCTGTGAAAGACTCTATTAAGAGAATGAAATGAAAAGATAAAGACTGACAAAAAATATGTACAAACCACATATCCATCAAAGGACTAGTATCTAGAATCAGTAATCAAAAATCTCTGAACAGGCCGGGCACAGTGGCTCACGCCAGTAATCCCAGCAGTTTGGGAGGCCAAGGCAGGCAGATTATCTGAGGTCAGGAGTTCGAGACCAGCCTGGCCAACATGGTGAAACCCCATCTCTACTAAAATGAGCCGGGCATGGTGGCACACGCCTGTAATCTCAGCTACTCAGGAGGCTGAGGCAGGAGAACTGCTTGAGCTCGGGAGACAGCGGTTGCAGTGGGCTGAGACTGTGCCACTGCACTCCAGCCTGGCCGACAGAGCTAGACTCTGTCTTTAAAAAAAAAAAAAAAAAATCTCTGGACAAAGGAAAGCCCTGCCCTGATGGCTTCTCTGGTGAAAAACGCACCAAACATTTAAGGAAAAACTAATCATAATCCTTCTCAAACTTTTTCCAAAAACTGAAAAGGAAGCAAGATTACCTACACTTCCTAACTAATTCTATGAAGCCAAAATTACCCTGGTATCAAAGTCAGACAAAGGCTCTAAAGAAAAATATAGACCAATATCCTTTATGAACACTGATGCAAAAATTCTTAACAAAATACTAGCAAAGCAAATTCAGCAATATATTAAAAAGATTATACACCATAATCCAAGTGGGATTTATTTATTCCTAGAATGCAAGGATGGTTCAAGGCATCAATATATGAAAATTGATCAATGTAATATACCATATTAATAAGGGGGGAAAAAAACCACATGGTCATCTTAATTGACACAGAAGTAGTATCACCCTTTCATAAGGGTCAAGAAACTAAGAATAGAGAGATCTAACTAAATATAATAAAAGTCATATATAAAAATCCCACAGTGGACATCATATTCAATAGTGAAAAACTGAAAGCTTTTCCTCTAACATTAGGAGATAGCGAAGGACGCCCACTTTCACCACTTCCCTATTCAAGATAGTACTAAAGGTTCTAGTCAGAACAACTGGGCAAGAAAAAAAAAAAGCATCCAAATTAGGAAGAAGTCTGTTCACAGATGATATAATCTTTTATGCAGAAAATTCTAGATTCTTTTTTTCTAAAAACAGGTTAGAAGTAAAAAATAAATTCAGCAAAGTGGCAGGACACAAAGTCAACGCTGAAAAATCAGTTGCATTTCTATACACCAACAATGAACAATCTGAAAAGAAAATTAGAAAAAAATTCCCCTTACAATAACATCAAAAAGAATACATACTTCGGGATTAACCAAGGATGTAAAAATCTTGTACAAAGAAAACTACAAAACACTGCTAAAAGAAATTAAAGACCTAAATAAATGGAAACACATCCATGTTCATGGACTGGAAGATTTAACATTGTTACAATGTCAGTACTACCGAAAGCAACCTACAGATTAAAGATAATCCCTATTAAAATCCCAATGAAGCTTGCTGCAGAAACAGAAAAATCCCATCCTAAAATACATACGAAGTCTCAAAAGACAGCAAATGGCCAAAACAATGTTTCTTTCTTGAAAAATAGCAAGAGATCTATCATGCAACAATGACTATAGTTAACAATGTATTGTACTCTTAAAAAACACTGCCAAGTAGATTTTTAAGTGTTCTCACTATAAAATGATTAGTATGCTTGTTAATTAACCTGACTTAGCCATCCATAATATGTATGCGTATTTAAAAACATCATGTCGTATACAACAAATATATAATGTATATGTCTTTTTTTTGTTTGTTAAGACAGGGTCTCTGTTACTCAAGCCAAGTGCTGTGCTCAATGCAGCCTCAACTTCCTGGGCTCTAGCAATTCTCCTGCCTCAGCCTCCCAAGTAGCTGGGACTACAGGTGCATACCACCATGCCTGGCTTTTTTATTATTTGTAGAGACAGGGTCTCACTGTGTTGCCCAGGCTGGTCTCGAACTCTTGGACTCAAGTGATCCTCCCGCCTCAGACTCCCAAAGTGCTGAGATTACAGGCATGAGCCACCACGCCCAGCCCCTTATATGACTATTTAAAAATGTAATTAATAAAATTTTTTGGCCAGGTGCAGTGGCTCACACCTATAATCCCTCTTTGGGAGGCCAAGGTGGCAGAGGAAAGACAGGGAGTACCACTTACGGCCAGGAGTTCAAAACCAGCCTGGTCAACATAGCAAGAATTTGTCTCTTTTTTTTCTTTTTAAAGATGGGGTGGGATCTCTTGGCTCGGCGCAATGGCTCATGCCTGTAATCCCACCTACTTGGGTGGCTGAGGCAAGAGAATTGCTTGAACCCAGAAGGCAGAGGTTGCAGTGAGCCAAGATTGCCCCACTGCACTGCAGACTGCGTGACAGAGCAAGGCTCTGTCTCAAAAAAAGCGAGAGACAGGGTCTCACTATGTTGCCCAGGCTGATCTCAAACTCCTGGACTCAAGCAGTCCTCTGGTCTCAGCCTCCCAAGGAAACAGGATTACAGGCATGAGCCAGCGTGTGTCAGCTGAAACCTCATCTCTAAAAAAGAAAAATAATTAGCTGAGTATGGTGGTGTGTGCTTGTTCTAAGGAGGCTAGGGTGGGATCACTGGAGCCCAGGAGTTTGAGGCTACAGTGAGCCATTATCATACCACTGCACTCCAGCCTGGGCAACAGAGCAAGACCCGGTCTTAAAAAAAAAAAAAGAAAAAAAGAAAAGAAAAACAAAGCTGGAGGACTCACATTTCCTGATTTCAAAATTTATTGCAAAGATAGAGTAATCAAAACAGTGTAATGCCAATATAAAGACAGACATATAGAACAATAAAATAGAACAGAGGGCCCCAAAATGAACCAGAGTACATGGTCAAATATTTTGAAAAGGATGCCAAGACTATTCGATGGAAAAAGGACAGTCATTTTAACAAACGGTATTTGGAAAATTGGATATCCACATGCAAAAGAATGAAATTGGATTCTTGCCTAACACCATACTCAAAAACTCAAAATGGATCAAAGATCTAAGTGCATGACCTAAATCTGTAAAACTCTCAGAAGAAAACACAGGGCAAATGCTTTATATAACATTGGATACAATAATGATTTCTAGGATATGACACCAAAGGCATAGGCAACAAAGCAAAAATAGACAAATTGGACTTCTTGAAAATTAAAAAAAAAAAAGTGCATGACAAGACATTATCAGCAGAGTAAAAAGGCAACCCAAAGAATGGGAGAAAATATTTACAAATCATATATCTTATAAGGGATTAGCATCCAGAATATATAGAGAACTAAAACTCAGCAACAAAAAAATTAACAACCCAATTAAAAAAAAAAAGGCAAAGGACTTGAATAGACATTTCACCAAAGAAGGTATACAAATGGCTAATAAGCACATGAAAAGATGCTTAACATTCCTTATGATTAGGGAAATGCAAATGAAAACTGCAATGAAATACCACCTCACACCCATTAGGATGGCTACTATTAAAAAAGTGTTGGAGAGAATTTGGTGAAATTAAAACCCTTGTGGACTGTTTTTGAGAATGTAAAATGGTATAGTCACTGTGGAAAATAGTATGGTAGTTCCTCAAAAAATTAAAAATATAATACCACATGATCAAGCAATTCTGCTTCTTGGTATATACCCAAAAGGATTGAAAACAGGGTCTCAAAGAGATAGTTGTACCTTCATGTTCAAAGCAGTATTATTATTATTATTATTATTATTATTATTATTTTAAAGACAGGGTCTTGCTGTGTCACCCAGGCTGGAGTGCAGTGGTGCTATCATAGCTCACTGCAGCTTCCAACTCCTGGGCTCAAGTGATCCTCCTGCCTCAGTCTCCTGAGTAGTTGGGACTACAGGCACACACCATCCCACACCCAGCTAATTTTTTATTTTTTTTTTTATAGAGACAAGGTCTCTCCATGTTTCCCACGCTGGTCTCAAACTCCTGGGCTCAAGCAATCCTCCCACCTCAGCCTCCCAAAGGGTCAGAATTACAGGCGTGAACCACCACACCTGGCCCATAGCAACATTATTCACAATAACTATAACATGAAAACAATCCAAGTGTCCATCAATAGATGAAATGGATAAGCAAAATGTGTTATACACCTACAGGGGAATATTATTCAGTCTTAAAAAGGAAGGAAATTTTGACACATGCTACAACATGAACAAACCTTGAGGACATTATGCTAAGTGAAATAAGCCAGTCAAAAGACAAATACTGCACGATTCCACTTACATGAGGTGCTCGGAATAGTAAAATTCATAGAAACAGATAGAAAATTCATAGAAACAGATTTCCTCCAGTCCCTGGCAATGGTAATTGCCAGGGACTGGAGGAAATGAGGAACTATTGTTTAATGTATACAGTTCCAATTTGGGAAGATGAAAAAGTATTTAATACCACTGAACCATATATTTAAAAATGGCTAAGATGGTAAATTTTAAGTGTATTTTAACAATATTTAAAATGAATTAAAAAAAAAACGTAAAATAAGCAAACAATCCAATTAGGACATGAACAAAAAAGACATGAAACATGAAGAAAAACTTGAATGAAGAGGACAAATAGATGGCCAGTAAGAACATGCAAAGATGTTCAACATCATTAGCCATTAGGGAAATGTAATGTAAATTTAAAACCCCAGTGAGGTATCACTACACACCTCTCAGAATGGTTAAAACAGAAAAATAGCAAAAACATCAAATGCTGATAAGGATGTGGAGAAACTGGATTGCTCATACATTGCTGGTGGGCATATGAAATGGTATAGCCACTCTGGGAAACAGTTTGGCAGTTTCTTTTAAAACTAAGCATAGAACTACCATACAACTCAGCAAATGCACTCCTGGGCATTTAGCCCAGAGGAATGAACACTTATGTTCCCTCAAAAACATGTCCATAAATGTTTATAGCAGCTTTATTCATTATAGCCCCAAAACTTTAACAACCCAGATGTCCTTCAATGGGTGAATGGTTAAACAAACTTTGATAACATTCATATCACACAATACTACTCAGGAATAAAAAGACACAAGCTACTGATATATGCAACAACCTGGATTAATCTCCAGAGAATTATGCTGAGTGAATAGAACCAATCTCCAAAAGTGTGATTCCATTCCATTCTTGCAATGACAAAATGCAGAGCTGGAGAACAGATTAGTCATTGCTAGAGGTTAACAAAGGAGTTGGGGTAGAAGGGAAGCTCAGGTGGCTATAAAAGAGCAACCTGAAGAATCTCTGTGGAGATGGAAATGTTCTGAATCTTTTTTTTTTTTTTTTTTTTTTTTTTGGAGGCACAGTCTCACTCTGTCACACAGATTAAAGTACAGTGGCACAATCTCGGCTCACAGCAACCTCCGCCTCCTGGGTTCAAGTGATTCTCATGCCTCAGCCACCTAAGTAGCTGGGACTACAGGCACATGCCACCACATCCAGCTAATTTTCGTATTTTTAGTAGAGATGGGGTTTCACCATGTTGGCCAGTCTGGTCTTGAACTCCTGGCCTCAAGTGGTCTACCCACCCTGGCCTTCCAAATGCTGGGATTACAGGCATGAGCCACCACAATCAGCCATGTTCTGAATCTTGACCATACAAATGTCAATGTCCCACTTGTGTTACTGTACTATAGTTCTGCAAGAGGTTACCACCAGGGGAAGCTGTATAAAGGGTATATGGAATCTCTCTGTATTATTCCTTATAATTACATATATAGCTATGATTATCCCAAAATAAATTTGGTTAAAACACACACACACACACACACACACACACACACACACAAGCCCTGCTCTCGTGTATCTTACCAGAGTGTAAACAATGAACAAACATGTAAAATGCCAGGTAGTAATAAATGCTGTGAAGGAGAATAGGCAGGGTAAGGGGATTGAGAGTGCAAGGGGAGTTAATTCATTGGAGAGAGCTCACAGGGTGGGCACACAGTAAAATGCTATCACTAAAATTACACTAATATGAAGTGACCAACCAATTTCAGGGTAACAGGATAGATTTCAAAAGCAGAAATGAAGAATCAACAAATATCCTTTATAGATAGCATTCTGTGCCCATTCTAATCGAACTTACACACCACACAAATCTTCTAAGGGATTCATTTGTAATACAGTACTATATTTTATCTGACATTTTTAGTAGTTCTCTACCATTTTTATCAACTCCACTTGAAAAAAAAAAACAGTCAAGGTCCTCCAACACTACTGCTGCCATCACCTTTTCAGAGTCAGGGAAACGGAAACACAGAGGTGAGTAGGCTACCTGCCTACTTAACCAACTGAGATGCCAGAGCTGAGCGTCTTAAACGTTTTGCTTAAGTTTTAAAAAGTCTTAAACATTTGCTTAAATATTATCCCTGTCATATTTGTCATCACATTTCTGCCTTGTATTCAATTTTTTTTTTAGACAGAATCTCACTCTGTCACCCAGGCTGCAGTGCAGTGGCATGATCTTGGGTCACTGCAGCCTCTGCCTCCTGGGTTCAAGTGATTCTCCTGCCTCACCCTCCCGAGTAGCTGGGATTACAGGCACCTGCCACCATGTCCAGAGCTAATTTTGTATTTTTAGTAGAGATGGAGTTTCACTATGTTGGCCAGGCTGGTCTTGAACTCCTGACCTCAGGTGATTCGCCCACCTCGGCTTCCCAAAGTGCTGGGATTACAGGCGTGAGCCACGCCAGGCTGTATTCGAATTATTTTTACATAGGTTGACTATCTCTAATACAAAAATCTGAAATCCAAAATGCTCTAAAATCTGAAACTTTTTGAGCATCACACAAAGGAAACATTCAATAGAGCATTATGGAATTTGGATTTTCAGATTAGGGATGCTCAACTGGTATGTACAATGCAATTATTCCAAAATTGGGAAGAAATCTAAAAACATCTGAAATCAGAAACACTTCTAGTCTGCGTGTGTGCGCGCGTGTGTGCTTGTTGACTTCTTTTTCTACTATAATTTAAATTAAACAAATCCCTTCTTAGAGATTCTGGAGGTAATGGCACACACTTCAGTATTTAAAGGAAAAAGGAACAACTTGCCTTGAATTTCTCCCTGAGGATCTTTGTAATACCACTTCTGCATTGCTTCATGCATCAATGGAATCGACACTCCTTTAGCTCTGTGCTCTTGCAGTTTTGATGCCAATCTTTCATCATCTAGTGCACTGTCTTGGAGATAAGCCACCATTTTCTCAGCTTGCTAGTAACAGAAAAACAAAAATCAAGGAAACAAATGATCCTAAATTAGTACTTGTACACATAATAACAGTGCCTGCCCCTTTTTTTTGGACTACTTGATCTATGAAAGTCACTATGCAAAGAACATAGCAGGTAACTTCTCCCAACAATGCCATGAAACAGGTACTATCCCCATTTTACAGAGGGGGATGCTAAAGCTCAGAGATGCCAAGTCTTGTTCAAGGTCTGAAAATTACTAATCAAATCAACTAAGATTAAAACAAACACTGCTCTGGATCAAAGCCCAGGGTTCAAATCAACACTAGTAAGAGTACTTTGTTTGTTTTTAATAGAGATGAGATCTCATCACGTTATCCAGACTGTTCTTGAACTCCTGGGTTCAAGCGATCCTCCTACCTCAGCCTCCCCAAGCAGCTAGGACTACAGGACATGCACCTCCTTGCCTGGCTAAGAGTACTTTTTAAACTAATAAGCTGTTGGTCAACTCTAAATGGTATAAACTAAACCTGTAAAAAGAATGTTAATAGAACAAAAGGCTCAATTAATACAATTATAAATGAAACGTTTTACAAGTTTTACTAAGACACTATCTCGCTTTTTCCTTTCTTCAGCATTTCCTGCCACTAACCATCCCACCCCAAAGGGAAGAGAAATTCTTTCGTAGAAAAGCAAGCTATCACTTACTTTACATATAACAATGGTACACACAATCTTGGGGAAATTTAGAGACATGAATAAGATGTTAATGCTCTGAAAGTTTAACTATTTTCCCTGTTATACTTGAAGCAAAAAATACAAAAGATACAGTGACCATCCACAGCTGCTTGTATTCACCATTTTTGGCATTCCATTAATGTCCAAAAAGAAAAAAGAAAAGTAAATAGCTAAGGGCAACCTAAGAGCAAAAAATAACCTGACATAATGACTACTACATAGCAGAAACTTATAAGCATGAAATGATTTGAAAGACAATGACTTGTACAAATAAACACTAAATATCCAGTTTTTCCAGTACTTAAAATCTAGTGACAAAAGTTTTATGTTTGAATATTCATGCAATGCCTGCTAATTCTTACGGCAGTTTAAGAGGAGACAAAAAGAATTAACAGGATTTTTACCTGCTCCAAATGTTTGAGACCTTCTTCATCATCAGGTTCTGTGGAAACACTGCCCATACCAGGAGCACCTACAACTGGTGTTTCAACTGGCCGGAGAGTAGGACTAGGATTGGGAACAGGAGGTGGAAGTATGAGAAGAGGAGAGGCTGTATCTGAAGGAATCTGCGACAGGGGCTGCTGGACATCAGCAACCATTTCTAGGGGGAAAAAATCAGATGAAAATCCTTTGAAATACAGAGACTTCTGTGAAGGCTAACTACATTATCAAGTCGCACAGCCTGCTAAATGGGCCAAACAGAAAACGTGAGCCCTGTCATGAACAGTGAAGCTACTTCTATGGAGAAACGTAATATTCCTTCCTAGAGTGACAAAATTACCTACACAGAATGACAAAAGGTAAGAGTTAAAAGGTATCTAAAAGGTGCTTCTCCAGGGCTTACCTGTGTCACCAGAGCATCTACCCAGTTACAGGTTGACCTCTTAGAAACAATCAGTCTAATCCTTTCTTCATAACATGTCTCCAATTGTAAAAGTTAACAATGCACCCTAAATCTTCTGAAAGATATGTCATCTCTCATCAAAACCTTTACTGAAAATATCAATGATTATGCTCAGTAAGTACCTGTTTCAAGTCATGATTAATATAATTCAATATATTACATGTTGTAGGATAATTAGAAGCACTTGGAGTCTACCTGTACAGTGCAGGATGTTCTTCTCAATAGGAATACAAATTATAAAAGAGGTTCTGTCTTTGTTCCTATTTCTAACCTCTCAGTGTGCAGGTTCTTAAGAAGGAAAAGGGGGATGGAAGTAATTAGGTATAATCGCAGTTTCCCCTTTGAAATCTTGTTTGTTCAATTACAGATAGCTTCTCCAAATTCCTGCTCCTCTCACTGACTCATTCTTTGCCATACTTTTTAAAAGGATAGTCTATACATGCTGTCTCCACTTTACTCACACCTGCTATAAGGGGACTTCTACTCTCACCTTTCCAGTAAAGCTCCTCTCTCAAAGATAAGCAGTGACACAAAGTTGCCAAATACAATGACTTTTCCTAGTCTTCCTCATCCAATCTCTTAGTAGCATCTGACATTATCAACTCAATTCTAAGCTAAAACATCCCCATTCCTTAGTTTCCCTGCACTCTACTCTCCTGTCTCTACTTTTACCTCTGAGGATTTTTCTCTGGTTCCTCTTCTTCTACCCTTTAAAAATGGGAATTACTCAAAGTTCTTTTCTTCTTACCCCTACTAAGTATATGCAATCTTTTCAATTTTCATTCTCTCTCTAACCCTAAACTACTCCCATCTAGCTACAGTCCCTCATTCACAACTGCTCTCTCGCCATCTCCACTTAACTTCTTCTCGTCAACACCTCAGAACCAGTGTTCAAAACTGAATTTCTCTCTCCTCTCCCCAGTGTGCTCCTCTATGGTGAATGGCACCATAATCCTCTCAGGCTCTTTGGCTCTTCCCTCTTCTTTTCGTGTGAATGGCACCATAATCCTCTTATAATCCTCTTTGGCTCTTCCCTCTTCTTTACCCTGATATCCAGTCAATGACTGAGTCCTGACAGTTTCTACTTTAAAATCTCACCTGCCACAACTTCCCTTTACAGGTGTACTATCTACCCCATAGTGACTGCTCAGGAGTCTAAGCGGTCACAGTGAAGCCAAACTGTCATCACAAGATAGTCTATACCCTGCTGTCAAATCCATGTTCTAACTACGTTTCCCAATATCCTCCTTTTCACACTTCATATTTCATCAAATAAAAACAAGAGCTGATTTCCTGCCCAAGCCTGGATCAGTCCCACTTCTTCACTTTAGCTTTCACTGCTCCCTAGTACTGGAATGCCTTCTCCCAATTCATCTATCTACACTTACCTCCAAATTCTACTTATTATTCCAAGATGTGTTCAGAGACCACCTACTTCCTGAAGCATCCCAAGAGTCTGCCAACAGTGAACCCTTATCTTACTTTTTGCCCTAGAATAGTGATATATGCACACTTTATCTCCTCTACACACTATAAATCTGGAGTTTCGACCTTTAATGTACATCTATGAAGCCTTCTCAGAATATATATATCTAGACTTGATCCAAGAATTTCCTGAATAAGGCTTCAAGCACGTACATTCAAAAGAATGTACCACAAGTAGTTCTGGGGCATATCCTACTACAAATCAAACTGCCTCAAAGATATATCAGTCTCACAGTGCCTGCTATGTAGAGCACAGATTCAAATACTTGCTGAGCTAACCAGGAAGCTAAGGGCAGGAGGATCACTTGAGCCCAGGAGTTCGGATCCAGCCTGAACAACATAGTGAGGCCCTGTCTCATTTTTGTTGTTGTTTTGTTTTTAGAGACAGGGGTCTTGCTATTGCTATGTTGTCCACACTGTTCTCAAACTCCTGGGCTCAAGTGATCTCCCCCATTTCAGCTTCCCGAGTAGCTGGGATTACAAGCACGTGCCATCACACCCAGTTAATCCCATCTCTTTAAAAAAATAATCAGCTTTGTTCTAGACATTTAAAAAATTGAAAAATTCCTGGGTTTGAGCTCTCAAAATATTAGTCTACTGGGAAAACAAGGTAATAAACATCTTTATGATATTATAATGCTATGTTAGAAATAAGCCTGGTTGTTTAAGAAACGAAGAAGACACCTACCCTAGTTTGGGGGCTTTGGGTGGAAGAGAGTTTCAAGAACAGAGAAAAGGATGTGCTAAGGTACGAATCCTAGAAAACAGGAGACAGTTCAGGACCTAAAAGGCTTTGAGGCTGGTAAGTAGAACGTGAGGGAAGTAAAGAGGCTGGCAATGAAACTGCACAAAGGGAAGCAGATGCCAGATTGTGCAGTGTCTCATATGCCATGTTAAAGGGTATCAATTTTTATGGTAAATGAATCAAGTAACCCTTCAACGTCAGGCATTACAATGACATTTTTAAATACGTACAAGAAGAAACATGGAAATGAGCATTAATATTGCCTAATAAAGTGTATGAGCAACTTAAACCAATACACTAACAACTGAAAGAGATATGTTTTAAGCTTATTCTGCCACAGATTCACATATGTTCTCTACTTGTCCTCTTTTAGAAAAATGGCATTTTGGTGTGTCATCTGGTAATTTAAGCTGGGCACATAATTAGTCAACACATGAAAGGAAGGTAACTGTCTAATACGGGAATCAAACTAATGCAAAGGCTATGACACCCAGTTCACCAGTAATGACAGGGTGGCTATGTCATAACACCTTAGGACATGAGATTCCAGAGCTCCACCCTTGCAGATTCGAACTCTGTTTTGGTAATTCTGAGATGGACACATACGTGAGAAGCACTGTTTGACTGGGTTTACTGGTAAAATAATCTATTCCGATAATTCACCCACTAAAAGCAGTTCTAGGAGGCATAAGCAGAAGCCTAACTTATCAGTGATCACTGGCCTCAGCAGAATCCTATTTTAGCTTGTCTATTCCCACAAATACATACCATCCCCTCTGCTGGGCACTTTGGCTGGTAGACTATTTTCCATCCGAGTCTCCTCTTCAGCTTTTTCCGTTTGCTCAGTTTTTGGTTCATCTTTCCTCTCAAACTGTGATGCTTCCTGAGACTGATGGTCTGAAGGAGTACCTGGTCTAGCAGATGATGATGAGGTCTGGGGAGTTTCCTCACTAGCTTCTGGAACACGAAGTAATCTTAGTTGAACTTACGAAAGTTTTGGTTTGATGGAGGAAAAAAAAGGCAAAGGGCAAGAAGAGGCCTTACCAACTCCTACTCTATCTGTTTTCTCTCCTTCTTTCTTATTTGTCTTATCGGGTTCTTTGGCCTCTTCATTATGGCTACCCTCAGAGTCAGAGCACTCCTCCCCTTCGTCCACAGGCCGGAAGTCCATCTCCTGCTCTTCTGGAATAGGCTCTTTCTGTACTTTCTGTAGAAAGAGAATAAAACCAAAGATCAACAGCAGATTTGGCTTTGGTATAAGGTTAATGCTGGTCATGACATTTAAAACACGTTTCTTACTTTTAGAGAAAGGAATGCTCCAGATGAGTCAAATGTACCCATTTCTTCTTCAGCATCCTCTAAGCACCATTCGGGCAAGCTATCCCTGTCATCATCTATGCTCCCACTGCCAGAGCGAACCCTTCGGTAACCCCGTTCATCATCTCTATCTCGAAAATCAAACTCAAACCTCCGACGTCGTTCCATGTGTTCCCGCCAGCCTGCAGAACGAGGGCCATCTGAGATGAGAAGGAGGACACAAACCTTAGAAAAGTTTTATGACAGTATTTGAATAAGAAAATCAGGAATAGAAAATAAAGGAGAAAACTACAAGTGACCGCAAACTCAAATGGACTGACCTAGTAAAGAGAACATTAGGCAACTAAATGAAGTTCAGAGTTCAGAGTATATGTACCATTACGAGATGACAACAGTACTTAAGTACTGAGCCAGGCAACATACTCTAAAGCTTTAAAAGATAAATCTAAAATGCAGTACATTTAAAGGACACTGTATTCCAAGTACGCACTTTCAGTAAGTCCTAGGTACTTGATTAAAATACTGATTAGCCGCCAACTCCTCATCCAGACTTAATGCACTAGACATCCTTCCATACTGAAGTTTACACCTTCCTTTTGCCCAATCTTAAAGCATTTTCTTTCTTCCCATGAAAATATCATTGTTTGTGGATAAAATCAGCTCCCTGTGTTGACTTATATCAAACTCATCATGACTATTTATTAATGCCAGGTTCCCACTTGTAATTCTGATCCTCCCCCAAAAATTCACAAAATTACAGTGCTGAAAGTTGTCACAGAGATTTTATGAAGTTCACTATCCTAATTTTATAGTTTAAGAAGAAACTAAAACTTTGCCAGCAGAAGTAACTCGCACATGGCAAAGTAGAACTAAAATCCAATTCTGCACCCTCTGCTGCTTGTTCCACAATAACATACTTACTCCTCTCCCTTCTTTCTCATCTCTTAATTCTCCCTATCCATATAATACCCCTACGGACATTCCCAAATCTACATTTCCCAACAGAAGAAAAGATTGCCTAATAATAAGAGATCCTACTTAAGATATTTTTCTAAAAAAAAGAAAGGGAAACTCTTGCTAAAATCTGACAGACCTGAGTCTAAAAGAGTCTTAAAAAGAAAAGCAGGCTTTAACCTATTAGAATTTTCCATCCTTGACTGCTTTCTCTGTGGGGGATAAGAAAAAGAAATGTGGCCAGAGTTAAATGTTCTCACTATTGAGACAAACTTTGCAAAAACCAGCAATCTAAAAATCAAATTGGAAAACAAAGGGCAAAACGTTAAAATGCCAAATACAGGTAGCATCTGATAAGCCACTCACAAAAAAGAAATCTTAGTCCCACACTCCCATCCCTTCATATAAAAACAACAAAACACTATTTACTACTTCCTATGAGAACTAAGGAATTTTATACTCAGACTGCTTACGTGGAAACCTAGAGCCATTATGTGAAAAGAGTCTTCATGATCAAATGAATTCCAGAGCCCTCTGTACTGCTTTCATTTCTAACAGTCTAAATGTACATCATGACAGGAATCTATCCTTCTAGGTACCTGGCTCATGTTTCTCCTCTTACTGACTTTCCTAGGTTCAGCTCCCAGACTGGATGCCTCCCTGTCCTTAATGTTCCCACCCCCACGCACATCCAGCCGGAAGCCCTATTTTATATCCCATAATGTTATCTTATCAGTAGTTCATAAAATTTTACTCACGAAACTAAACATAGCAAGTAAGACATGCAAGGTACTTATTAAGGCTGACTGCTGATTTACAGACCCTACATCTAAACTAAAGTTGGATACTATTTTCATAAAATCAGTTAAAATAATTTAAAGTTTTACTCAAATCTTAATAAAAGATTAACCATAAACTAACAAACGTTAAGAGTTAACATATGAAAACTGCTATAATCAGGCTATACTTTGAATATACTGGGTTTAAAAAGTGAATCGTATTCTTTTTTAAAATGCATTTACACTGTTTTTTCAGACCCAAACTTTATATTTGGGGGATCTTTATATCCCCCAAACTGTCTTTTAAAAATATATGGATTTCAGCCACAGGTGTGACTGAAAAAATATATATGTATATGGATTAAAAGTTCTGGAAGATACACAAGTTGATGACAAAAATGATATGAAAGTCAAATATTAGGGGGAAAGAAAGATTCAGAAAAGATGAGAAGAAGATAATATATAACCAAATTCTAAGTTGTTGGGTGGGAGGTACTTTGTTAAACTCCCTTTAATAGAATCAACATCAGACATTTGGGCTCAAAAAACACAGTTCATCTTCCAAAACATTCACCTTGTTTGTTTTTGACCAGCTGGAATTTCTTTTCTCTCTCAGCCCAGATCCTATCCATTCTTCACTGAATGCTTGTTGGGAACATAGTCTACAAACCCTCTGCCTACGGACAAGCTCAGCATAAAATGCAGTGATGCCTTTTAGAGAACTATAACATCTGGCCCAGGTCACAGACTAATGAAAATTGTCTAGACCTTGTGATGTAAACAATGCCCACTAATGACAGAAAACCCACCCAAGAGGCAGCCATGAAGAGTTGGTATAAAACCATCCTAACTCTACCCAAACATTAACTTCAGTATGTTTCTATCTACCTACCACTTCCTTAAAATACTCTGAATGCCTGTTATAATGTCTACCCAGATCTAAGCTAGTGGTTTTGCTAATAACTTGATTTTTAAAAGTGAAAACAGTTTACTTATCATAATTTCCTGTATTAAAGGTAAGCCCCTCTGGCACATGGTTGATAAAATACTGTCATACACATGAAATTCATAGGGCATTCCACATATACTCTGTGTGCTTCAGTTTTGCATGACCCCACAATTGGAACTACAGTTGCATCTGATTATCATGAGGCATGGAATCAGCACTGTGGTACAGGATGAACTTTAACACAAAGCACTAGTGTCTTCAATTACTAGCATATCTAATGTCCAAGAAGAACAGTTTGAGCATTTTTAAGAGACAAACAGAAGAACTTTAAAAGCCACTAATCACTACTATTGTCTCTCCTTCTTCTAAAGTTAGAAGGACATAAGAATGAACTTGTGATTATGTTTCTGACCTAGGTTTAAAGCTTATTCTTCAAATAAGGTTAAATCACATTTTCAAAAGGGAAAAAATGAAAGAATAAACCCTTTCTTGTTAGGAAAAACACTCATTGTTGGGGAGGGAAGCACATATTTCAAGTGTGTAATTTTTACACATTTATAAATCTTAAAGAATGCTAAAAAAGATTCAGAGATTTAGAGGTAGACAAAACTGAATGAAACCCTCATTTCTGCAGTTGAGCGCAGGTGCTTCCCATTAAACTACACTATTTGCCCCAGAAAAATAGAAAAGTGATTTCAATCAACTGAATAGATGTAGGAAATTTTTATGTTGCAATTTTTTCTAGTAATAAAACTGTGACAGCATAAATAATATGAATCCACCCCCACATTTTTTAAGCCAGTTTATCTTTTTCATTTAATCCCTATTTCCATCAAACTTTCCCTTATTTCAGTCCCTGTGTGCCTTTACTCAACAGAATTCTTACCAGGACTGTGAGGTCGCCACCTCTCTCCATCCCTCCTTGATCCAGCTAGTCGCCAACCTCCATCTTCATCTTCTCCATTTTGTTCCTCTCTAAAGATGCGCCAATTTTCACTTTCTGAGCGTATAAATTCATGCTTTCTCCCTACTGATGTTGGTCCACCTTCCTCAAAATTTGGTCTCCCTATAAAGAAAATAATATGGTAAGTAAACATGAGCCTCTGCCAGTATAGGCTTTGAAAACAAACTTCACAGCTCAAATCAAGCTTTCCTGCAAATGGGTCCATTTCAATATTCAGAAAAAAATCACTAAAATAACAGTGGGTATATGTATATATTATTAGACACATTTCTTAAAGCCATGTTCAGAGACTGGGCAATTTTTTTAAACAAAAATATTATGTAAAATTTTTTTTGAAAAAGCGTACAATGAAAAGTCCATCTTCCTACACAAGACCCTCAGAGTCGTACTCCCCAGAAGGAACCATCACCAAGTTTCTTATAAAGTCTTTCCAAACACTGTCCATGGGTACACTTACACATGTATACATAGCTCCCTCATCCACACACACAAACGCCACCCTCAGGATGTTATAAATGTTGTTTTGTTTGCTGTTTTCACTAACAGTGTATCTTGCCAATCCTTCCTTACTAGCACATACTTTTTAAAGTTATAAGATATTTTTCATCATACAACATACTTTATATAACCAACACCTACTGGTGATTCTGCCTAAACATGATATCTGTACATTTCAGGCCGTCTTTCATTCCAAAACAGATTATAAACTGAAAAGCAGGCCGCGTGGTGGCTCACGCCTATAATCCCAGCACTTTGGGAGGCCGAGACAGGTGGATCACGAGGTCAGGAGTTGGGAGACCAGCCTGGCCAATGTGGTGAAACCTCATGTCTACTCAAAATACAAAAATTAGCTGGGTGTGGTGACAAGTGCCTGTAATCCCAGCTACTCAGGAGGCTGAGGCAGGAGAATGGCTTGAACCCAGGAGGCGGAGGTCGCGGTAAGCAGAGATCGCGACACTGTACTCCAGCCTGGGTGACAGAGCAAGACTCCGTCTCAAAAAAAAAAATTGAAAAGTAGTATAACCTCATTTACTCTAGCACCTAATACAATACAGGCATACCATAAATTGCTTTTGGACAGAATTTAAAGCTAAGCTATGTCTAACCTAATGTCTCAAAAGTTACATTAATGTCAAAAGAGAGCCTGGTATACCAAGTAAACTAAACTGGTATTTTAAAAGGACAAGATCATTCTAAATTGTGCAAACAAATTCTTCAGTCACCATTCCACATGTGCTAACATATATAACTCATAACATTTATAAAATCTCACATCAAAATAGTTGAAAATCCAGAATAACATACATTGATGTCCTCAGTTTATAACAATAAAAGTTCAAGTTCTCATAATGACAAACTCAATCCTTTTAATTAATCCATACTAAAAGTGAAAAAATAATTGAACAACAGCATATGAAAATGAAATTCTAATTTCTGGTCATTCTGTTATATTCCATCTTACATATATTGAGATTCAGCATCCTGCTTGTCCATATGGTTGTTAGTCTGCTACTAGGTATCATTCTACTGAAAGATAAAATATCTTGGGAGAATGGAAGACATGATCTGCTGCTTTCTTATTGTGGTGGACAGCCTCTAAGAGCTCACCAACAATCCCTGACTGCTGATCTCTGTGGAATCCTCTACCCCCAATTATAAGCTGGACTAACAGAATGCAGCTGAAGTGATGAGATGCCACTTAAAATATTAAAGAAGACTGTAGTTTCCATCTTGGACACTTTCTCTGAAGGACACTAGTTGCCATGTAGTGACACAGACCTCGTGGAGAAGCTTGCATGGCAAAGAACTGAGACTTACCACCAGAAACATGAGTGAGTCTGGAAGTGGATCAAACCCCAGTTGAGCTTTGAGAGACTGCAGCATGGGCTGACACCTTGAGTGCAGCCTTACAAGAACCCTGGGCCAGAACCACCCAGCTAGGCTAAGCTGCTTCTAGATTCCCAACCCACAGAAACTGAGATAATAAATGTTTGCTGTTTTGAACCACCAAGCAAGGGTTTTATTATCTATGACCTTGCTCTTACCTGCAGGACGTGTCTGGAATGTCAGAACTATATTCTGGCTTTCCTTGGTTTATTAGTCCATTTTGCATGGCTATAAAGGAATACCTGAGGCTGGGTAATTTATTAAAAAAAAAAAAAGAAGAAGAAGTTGTTTATTTGGCTCGTGGTTCTGCAGACTATACAAGCATGGCACCAGCATCTGTCTGGCTTCCAGTGAGACCTCAGGAAGCTGTTACTCATTGTGGAAGGTGAAGTGAGAGCAAGTATGTCACATGGTGAGAGAGGGAGCAAGAAAGATGACAGAGATCCCAGACTCTTGAACTCATTACAGTGGGGAGGGGATGAGGGATCCACCCTCATGACCCAAACACCTCCCACCAGGCCCCACCTCCAACACTGGCGATCACATTTCAACATGTGATCTGGAGGGGACAAACATCCAAACTATATCACTTGGTTTACCAGAGAAGTCATAATCTAAATCTATTGTAGTTATTATGTAATATCTGATATATCAAAAACCATATTGCAGCTTTTATAAATTATTTTGTGGCCAGGCGCGGTGGCTCACACCTGTAATCCCAGCACTTTGGGAGGCTAAGGCGGGCAGATCACGAGGTCAGATCAAGCTAACACGATGAAACCCCATCTCTACTAAAAATAGAAAAAATTAGCCGGGCGCGGTGGCGGGCGCCTGTAGTCCCAAGCTACTCAGGAGGCTGAGGCAGGAGAATGGCATGAACCTGGGAGGTGGAGCTTGCAGTGAGCCCAGATCACGCCACTGCTCTCCAGCCTGGGTGACAGAGCAAGACTCCGTCTCAAAAAAAAAAAAAAAAAAAAAGAAATTATTTCGTGTAAGTAGCTAGAACCTCAGGCACATGCCACCACACTCAGCTAAATTTAAAATTTCATTTTATTTAATTTTTGCAGAGATGGGGGTCTTGCTATGTTGTTTAGGTTGGTCTTGAACTTCTGGCCTCAAGTGATCCTTCTGCCTTGACCTCTTAGTAAATTATGTAGAAGGGCACTTCTGTATAATTTATTCAGTTTCTTCATCACTTATTTCCAACTGTTGCCCTAAACAGGCTTTTTAAAAATGTGATCATGTTATGAGAAAATCCTATCCATTTAATTTCAGGGATGCTGAATTTCAGGGAGCTAAATTTTTGATCCTTGTATGTAATTGTTACTGGTACGTAAGTAAATTTTATTGATACTACAAGTAAAAAACTAGATCTGAGGCTGGGCGTGGTGGCTCACGCCTGTAATCCCTGCACTTTGGGAGGCCGAGGCGGGCGGATCACCTGAGGTCAGAAGTTCGAGACCAGCCTAACCAACATGGAGAAACCCCGTCTCTACTAAAATACAAAAAAAATTAGCTGGGCATGGTGGCGCATGCCTGCAATCCCAGCTACTCGGGAGGCTGAGGCAGGAGAATCACTTGAAGCGGGTGGCAGAGGTTGCGGTGAGCCAAGATCGCACCATTGCACTCCAGCCTGGACAACAAGAGCTAAACTCCATCTCAAACAAACAAACAAAAAAACACCTAGATCTGACTTAGTAAACAAACAAAAAAAAAGAAATTATTTTGTGTAAATAATCACTTAGTAACAAAATTTAAGCTCCTTTATAGAAATTTCTGAACAAGTATTGTTCAAAATGGCTTGAACCAATATTCATGTAGAATGGTTTGGAACTAGTATTCTTGTAAATTCAGGCTACTTCATTCTCCACAACACCTCCAACCCCCTCTTTCACAAATGAGGAACTGGGTCTTCACTAGTCAAGGTGTGTAGATAAGAACTGGAGCCAAAAAAAATAAAAAACAAAATAATTAAAAAATAAATAAACAAAATAAGAAAAATAATAAACAAAACAAAAAATAATTGGAACCAGAATCTGAAACCAGGTCTAATGACTCCAAATCTCATCATTCTTTCTTTGGTGTTGCTTTCCTCTTTATCTTCAAATTTTCTGCCTCAAATCCTTTTTGGAACAAAGCATGCAGAATTGGTCATTCAAACTTTATGAGCTACAGGTTTTCCAACAGTTTGAGAATCACAAGGTTGTTTTAAATTTGTCTCTCTTTTGTTAGTACAGCCACATTTTTCATCAAGCCATATAAGTTCTGCCTCCAGAGGCCGTGCTCATTTTCATAAGGGTGAAAAGACCTCAAGAACTTTTAAAATGGACTTCACTCATCTCCCCACCTCTTTAAGAAAACATTTTTTAAAAGTACACTAATCACAAATGTACAACTGACAGTTTTCATAAAGCAAATACATATAATTTAACTACCACCTAGATTTTTAAAAAAAGATTTTAAGGAGCCTCAAAAATCTTCATGCGTCCTCCCAATCAGCCCTTCCCAAGATAAACACTATCCTAATTTCTAGCCCCAAATATTAGCTTTGCCTGCTTTTAAACTTTTTTATAAAATGGAATATTCATTTATATCTGGCTTCTTTTGCTGAACATTACGAAGATTCATTCTCCTTGCACAGGGGCCATGCTAATCTCTGTATCGTTCCAATTTTAGTGTATGTGCTGCCGAAGCAAGCACAGGAGATTCATTCTCATTGTTACAGGGAATATTTTGGTCTTTTACATGGCTGTACAGGATCTCACTGTATAAACAAACCACACGGTATTACTCTTATGCTACTGCTTAGAAACATTTAGGTTGTTTTCTACCTTTTTGCTATCATAAGAATTGTGCTTCTACGAATATTCTTGGACATGAGTTTTGGTAAGTATATGTTTGCATTTCTGTTGGGTATATACTTAGCATCAAAACTGCCAGGTCACAGTATGCTCAACTTTGTTGACTACTACTAAATATTTTCCCAAAGAAATAGTACTACTGGCCAGGCATGGTGGCTCACGCCTGTAATCCTAGCACTTTGGGAGGCTGAGGAGAGAGGATCACTTGAGTTTAGGAGTTTGAAACCAGACTGGGCAACATGGTGAGACCTCATCTCTGTATTTATCTATAATTTTTAAAATGTAAAAAAAAATTTTTTAAAAAGAAATAGTACTAATTTACCATTTGTTTGCTTGTTTGTTTTACTCAAACATCTAGCAACCATTAAATGACTCACTCCTTTACTGACAAACACAATTAGAGACACAGGATTAAAAACAAAGATAAGGCTGAGACATAGCACCTGATCCCCAGGTCCATGGACACACATGTAAATAAATAACCTTATTCAGTTGGCAAAATGTGTTAATGTATCTTATCTGATCTTCATAATAACCACAAGAGATTAAGTCAACCATCATTAACTCTCTTGCTTCTGCAAGGATAGGGATACCAGTAAGGTGGTTTCCCAAGGCCACACAGCTGAGTCATAATCAAATCAGAAACAGAACCTAGGCAGTGTTCAAACTCCTAACCCATGGTTTATTTCTACACTAAGTGATTCTTAATGGTTCACTCATAAATTTGACCCATTGGAAGCAGCCAGAAATTCTAGAGAAACTGAAATGGGAAGACAGAGATCTGGGATTTAAGTATAACAAGCTAAAAGGGTGGTAGACAAATCATGCATGGTACATTTAAGGAAAGTGTCAACATCTCTAAAAAGGGGAGACATAGAACTAAATTTGTTTTCATCTTCCCACAGAATGATTTCAAAATGCATGCTCCTGAAAAAAAAATGGTTAAGACCAACTTCTTCAATATAAAAATTTTATTCTAGAAATTATTTAGAAGGTGACTTCAGTCACAAAAATACACATTTCCAATTACTACTAATATAACTAAAAATTATACTGCATCTAAGCAATCCCCAAAAATATTAAAATAAATCCCTTCTAACCAAATTGATTACAGATTTACTTGTGTAAATTTGGATGGGTGGGTGGGTGGGAGTGCCAAGGAGACCATTATCTTTATAAGTTGTGTGTGTGTGTGTGTGTGTGTGTGTGTGTGTGTATTCCTGATATAATTTAAAATAAATAACAGGTCAGGCATGTTGGCTCATGCCTATAATCCCAGCACTTTCAGAGGCCGAGGCGGGCAGATCACCTGAGGTCAGGAGTTCGAGACCAGCCTGGCCAACATGACAAAACCCCGTTTCTACTAAAAGTACTAAAAATTAGCCTGGCCTGGTAGTGTGCGCCTGTAGTCCCAGCTACTCAGGAGGCTGAGGCAGGAGAATCACTTGAACCCGGGAGGTGGAGGTTGCAGTGAGCCGAGATTGTGCCACTGCACTCCAGCCTGGGCAACACAGCAAGACTCCGTCTCCAAAAATAATAATAATAAAATAAACATAAATAAATAATAAATATTAAAGTCATTCATGGGCAGTTTAGAAGATGACATCTAAGTTCCCTTCACGTCTAAAAATTCCAACAATTCATAGCAACGGAGACTAAAATGAGTGAGAGACAGTTACATGGCCCTTCTCAGCATTCAAAATCAAAGGCTTCCTCCTTCTGTAACGTCAGCACCATGACAAAGTTGACTAACCAAATACTGTATTTCAGTTGACTTACTTTTAAAATCTTAACAGATTTACAAACAAGATGATTTTAAAGTAAACCTTATTGAATTATTTACAAACTCATGCCTGAACCAAATATTCTTAATCTACAGTCAATGAATGAGCTCAGGGCTGTGAATCCTTGCACTGGACATGCACTTTGTGCTGGCATGCTTTCTTCTTCTTTCAGGGAAAAGGGTCTACAGCTTTCGTCAGAATTTTAAAGGTGTCTGTGACCCTCAAAAGGCAAAGAAACACAAATTTTAAATGTATTTTTTTCCATTCAATATAGCAAACATGACTATGAGGAAAACGATATATTTTATGTCCTTACGTTAAAAGCAAATTATGTAAAGGTGCTAAAATACATACGTACTACATATACAATTTCCCCAGTGGCAATAAATACTTGGTTGTTTCAATCTTAGTTTATTAAGTCCAAATAGGATTCATCTAAAAATTAAATTAAATTAAAATGCAGTGTTAGTTTTTGCCTGGTCTAACTGAGTGGACTTCCTAAGGAGAAAGAGCAGTAAAAGGGCACCTGTGTGCATGTTTGACCCACGGCCAAAAATAGTGTTTATGGAAAACTTCAGATGGAGCAAAGAGGCACTCAGCCAACAAAATCTACAGCTGTGAGACTTGGAGCTTACAAGTGCCCAATCTCCACAAGCTCCACAAGCAAAAGTGGAATTATGGGACAGACTTTGAAGCTTGTTTATGTGCAAATTTTTTAAGGAGTGACTTTGTATTACTCTGTTCAGATATATATTATCTGATCAACACCAAAAAAAAATCTAACACCAAAGAAAATGGTGAAAGGGCATCCCACTCAAGTGTTGATATTTACCACCCCTCTCCCCTACAATTACTTATAAACAAAACTCAGGGTGGCTAGGACAGAGCAGTTTAACTTCTGTACCCAGAGAGTTACGACTTTCTCCCTGAGGAATAAATAACCTGCTCAGCTGGTTAACAAGAGTCCTGAAAAAACAGCAGAGACTGGAGAAACTGCAGTGTATCAGAATCTCTGAAAAAGGTCCTCAGGCCATCTGAATATGTACCACAACCCTACAGCCCTCATGCTCAGCTGTCTGCTGGTACATACCCAGAGGCTGCCTGAAATCTGTGGGAAGGCAATTCGTAGTTGGCTTGGACATGTGGAAATGGAAAGAGACTAGGCATCTTCAAAAGAAAGCCAAGTACACTATGTAAGCAAGAACATGGAGACCAGAGCTAACGTTTTAAAGCTGTGAGATTACCTACTTACATAGGCCAGAAATCGCACTCCAACTGAAGATTTTACTGTTCTCAAGAAAAATGTGATACATTTATAGATATATAGTGAATTATTTCAGTCAGAAAGAAAATCAAATGCCTTTAGGGACAGAGGACTAGATTTAATACAGGATAATTAACCAGGTCTTGGTACCTTGTTTAATTTAATCATTATAATTTTGGAGACACAATCCATCAATCTATGAACAGGTATTTACCATTTATGTTCATTCACCGAAGAAATGTTTTAGAGCCATCTCCAATTACCTTACTGTGAAACAGCTACAACAGAAATAACAAATTGTCTAGATGGGAAGGACCATGAGTTTCTGGGTGAAGGTGGCATATCATCTGTGCCAATATCCGTGTCATCTCAGTGAAGGAGCCCCAGGAAACACCACCCCAAAATATACTGCTTTGGTATGCTCATTACTGCAAACTGAGAGAACTTAGGGAACAGCAAGCACAGGGAGGGGCCTTCTCTGATGCCCCCTTATCTCAAAAAATTCCTTTGTCCCCTCCCTAGAATTTCATCAATCAGGGAAGATTAACCTTATCACATAAGAGATTAAAAGGTCTAGTAGCGTTCTTCCTCAAGTTAATTTTCAATACCTGAAAGACTTTATCTCAATAACTAGACAACTTTTGTTCATCATACATTTCCTCCCCTCATTTTCCCACAGCTTGTCAATACCTTCCCCCAGGACCTCCACATCCCTATTCCAATGCTATAAGAACTTCAATCATCTGGTCCTTCCTCAAGTCTCATGTTTTGTGGGACTCTTGTGCATAAGGATGTAAACTGTTTTTCTTCTGTTAAGTCTACCTACTGTTGCTTTATATTATAGACTCAATTATCAAACCTTCAAAAGGAAGAGAGAAGGTCTTCTCTCTCCCCTACACCAGCTAACCTGGTAACTTCAACCAGAAATGACTTTAAATGCTCAGGCTATTGTAATGGGAGAGCTATGCTCCTAAGTGGGCACTTCAGAGCTGGTCTACAATATTCACAGCAGTAGGAATCACTGTTTATAGACCATAGCAAGACTTTCAAATTGTAGAGATCCAGAAATTAGCTTCACTTAAGACATTTCTTTCTTAATTGAAGATCATTTTGCCAAATCATTTTTGTCTCAATATATTGAAACCAAGTATACTATGGAAAAAGACTTTTAAGTTTAATAAAATCCTTAACTGTCTTGCCTACTATAATATGTATTCTCAGGCCAGGTGAAGTGGCTCATGCCTGTAATCCCAGGAATTTGGGAGGCTGAATTGAGAGGACAGCTTGAGCCCAGGAGTTCAAGACCAGCCTAGACAACACAGCAAGACCCTGCCTCTACAAAAAATAAAAAATTAGCCAGATGTGGTGGCATTACTGCAGGGGGTGGGGGATGAGGTGGGAGGATCACTTGAGCCTGGGAGGTCGAGGCTGCAGTGAGCTGTGATCACACCACTGCACTCCAGCCTGGGTGACACAGCAAGACTCTATGTCTAAAAAAAATGAAAATAAAAAATATACAATGTATATTCAAAACACATGACAGATACACTCAAGTGCTTCTGCTTTCTAGAAGCAGTATTATACTATACTTGTTCTAGTATTTTGTTGTTGTGTTGTTCTGTTTTTCTGCAATTTGTTAGCTGGGAATTGATACACATTATAATTCCTACCAGTACATGCAGGGAATGAGCATCACACCACAAATCCTTCTTTATACTTTACCTTCCCTAGTTCTGAAGGTCAGTGTTTCTAATGCTGTGTCTGAACTTGTGTTGAAGTATTTGGTACTAATAAAACAAAGAAGGAATTAATATATTTTTTAAATTGTGGGGCGGGGGGGGGACGGAGAGGATTCTACAAAGGCGGATTTCACTTTCTAAGTAGCATTATATTGGTCTACATTAATAATTTTCCCAGCAGGCCTTCCAAGATTTTACTTTGAACAATCACAGTCTTTGTTTCTCAGATCCTCTTACATGTGACATTTGGTCAAAGTTTTAAAATCAGCAGCTAACGGAGGAGGAGAAAAGTACTGTTCACTAAGGCACTGCACAAAGCCATACCACAGCACGTTTCAGGGTTCCAACAAGCTGGATCACATTTTCCAGCTAAACACTATTTCAATGTTGTGTTACATTTTCTGTACACTGTACACTATGTTTTATTAACACTATACTTCATCACACTGATCAGGAAAACATCTTCTAAACATCATTAAAATAAGCCTTAAGAAAATTCTTCGGTTCTTTCCCACAGGTGTGCATTTTTTAAAGTATCAGGTACAGAACAATTAATTTTATTCCTATTCAAGGTCTTTGTATACAGCCTTTAAAAAAAAAAAGTTTGTTTCCTAACCAAAAAAATAAAAGATTTCACGTAATTATCTATATTACTAGTTCTGGAACTAATGGTAGCCATTCTGATGAGACATGAGAAGAAAACTAAGAAAATCAATGCATTAATTTATGCCTATAAGTCCTTATCCAAATAAATCTTCCCCAAAGACATGGTGGAAAAAAAAAAAGATTAGTAAAGGAAATATCTCACACTTCAACATGCTATATAAGGAAAGACGGCTGAAAAATCTTGCAGGGAATTTTATCCCTTTGAACTTTCAAAAAAACTCTTAAGTAAGATTATGCAAACTTACTAAAGACCGGTCCTGATTAGAGGGAAAAAATGCACCCCTTCTCCAAGTCAGTTCTGGAGGCTTTCTCCAGAGTTGTTAAGGTTTGTGTTGGGTAAAGAAAGACCTCCTAACAAACCAGCATTCTTTTCCACATGATCAGAGCTAATTGGCCCCCCTGCAGGCTAAGTGACCAATCACATCAACCTCAGCTGAAACCAGCCCCCACAACATTATAAACAGAGGAATGTAAGCTGTAAAACCAGTCCAAGAAGAGAACCTACAAACTAGACTTGTAGATTAAAATTATCTGATCAAAAAGGCAGACTCTGTAAATTTCCTTAAGACCTACCTTGGCATAAAGGCTGACCCAGCAAAAGAACTGGTGAGTACATGCAATAATATCCATTCTTCTTTCCTTATGGGAAACAGGGAAAGAAACTGACTGGCAAATAGCAACAGAGCTAGATTACTTCCAACAGATTTTTAAAACAAAGACATTATCTATAGTGTAGGATAGTAAGGTTTCTATATTCTTTTCCCTTAAATCTTAAAAATGCAATAACAGCCATATTGAATGTATTACTGGAAATTTTCTTAACTGTTTTATTAAATGTATACTAATTTTCTATTACAATATATCAGTAGAGGATAAAGGCCTTAGGAAAAAAAATTCAGTGGCTTGAGGAAAAAAAAAGTCTTTTTCTTTTGGAAGGAATTTCAAAAACCCAAAATGAGCATAAAAAAACAAATGCCAAAAGAATAAGCCACTTTGTTTTTACTTCTGTAATCTAAGAAGAAAGTGATGAGTATCCTAATCGTAAATTTTTAAGCATGGAATTATTGCGGAAATTAATAGATACTTCTGCAACTGAGAAATTAAAATAGAATCTCTGAGCTTATATAACAGGGTTAGAACTCAATAGTGTTTGCCCTAATTGTGGAGGGCAGGAGAAATCATTATAAGACTTTCAATATAGTCTTAAAGTATTTACACCAGACATGAACAAA
The DNA here is from genome assembly GCF_000001405.40 of Homo sapiens. Classification (NCBI taxonomy): domain Eukaryota; kingdom Metazoa; phylum Chordata; class Mammalia; order Primates; family Hominidae; genus Homo; species Homo sapiens. The sequence goes on along the minus strand of NC_000002.12, from coordinate 232,775,818 downwards.
TACATAGTAATGCCATCTTCATTTAATGTTTGTTAGTTATAGCCTTTATCTTAACTCCTCAGTATGAACTATACTATTTTTTATCATGGCAACAGAAAATACATACTTTTAAGTGCTACAACCCAATGAGTAGAATGAATTCTGATGATCAGTGAAGCTGCCTATCATTTTTTAATAGGTACTATTTTTCCTCCAAATAATTTATAAATGGGCAAATATTTTACAGCCCACACACAGCAATAGAAGCAAACCTTCCCAACCTTCCACCTCACTTTCTATTGGGATCAGCTGATGAGACTTAAATATCAGGTAACAATAGTATAATTTTTTAAACCATACGAGCAGACATCAAACTATACAGAAATAAAAGAAATCATATAGGAAACTTGTATCCTTTGTAGGAAGTGGAAATATGTTTGTTTACATAAGTCTGTAGAGCTTTAAGAAATCTTATTATCATAATTCCCTCTTTTTTCACTTTCTTTGTTTTAATCTAAGGATGCCAGGCCAATGGGATTGAGTGGTTTGCCCAAAATGACACAGCTATGTAACCAACAGTGCTAGAGCCTGAAGGCCATATCCCCTTATCCTGCGTTCTCTACACTAAACCACACTGACTATAAGAGTCCACAGAATAGTTATTCAGGGTAATTGGTTAAGTGGGAATCAGAAATCAATCTTCCTTCTCTATATTACTCCACTTGCCAACACAATCCAAACCAAATCCAGCAGTCTTAGGTTAAAAAAAAAAAAATGCTGCTTAACTGTTCCGATTATCAGCCTTTTGACTTCCCTGTTCACAGGTTTTTCCATGTATTTAGTTGCAAGAGAAAAAAAATACAATTGTAAAGAGCCTAGAGTAAGAGTGCTACAAAAGTTGTAGGTAAGAAGTAACAACAGTCCTGAAAAAGCCCAAATGAGAATGATGAATTTTGTTAGCTACAGTCTATACAGAAAGGCTCTAAGTAAGGAATTTTAGAACTTTCATAAAATAGGTTGAAAATACAAAAGAATCATGGAGTTTTTTCTTTCTCAAGCTTTTGTGAAACACTAAGCACTTAGCAGCATTCAGTAGGACAGTGGCTCCAAATGTGGAACAAGCACTAGTGTCCAGGAGCATGAGGGGCATTTTCACATAGGCAGGAAGCAACAACAGTGGAGAATGACAAAGTTGTTCACCCACCATTTTGAAGGCAACCAACTATCCTTTCATTGTTATATCCTTCTTCCATGTGTCAAAATCTTTTATTATGTCATCATAATTTTATTTATAATGACAGTATTATACTTGTAAAATTGTCTTCTCATCTGGCAAAACAGAAACTTGGCAATGTTATGTCATAACTCTCCTCTCTACATTGCTTTAATTTTACTGATGTGCAAAACACAACTGGACTATCTAATAATTCAGACTGTGATAATCTTCAAGTCTTGAAAGAAGTCTTTCCTAACTGAATATCTGTTTCTAACCTACAAATAATAGGTCTGAACCCAATAAACATTACTGAAGAACAAACACTCTGGAGCGGCTCTTGAACAAAACTAATCAAATGAAACTGTATTATTCACAAAGGCTAAGCAGGGTCAAACATCTGTTTTGGAGGCAATATGGCACTAACTCTGGACTCAGAATGTATAATATTCATATCCACCACTTACTACCTCATTATACCTCATTTTCTTTCTTTTTTTTTTTTCTTTTAGAGACAGGGTCTCGCTATGTTGGCCAGATCGGTCTTGAATTCCCGACCTCAAGCAATCCTCCCGACTCAACGTCCCAAAGTGCTAGTGTTACAGGCATGAGTCACCATGCCTGGTTCCTCACTTTCGTTATCTGTAAAATGGGACTAATAGTGATACTTATTACTGTGAAACTTAAGACACCTTTTTTTTTTTTTTTTTTTTTTTAAATAGAGACAAAGTCTCACTACGTTGCCTAGGCTGGTCTCTAACTCCTGGACTCAAGCAATCCTCCTGTCTCGGCCTCCCGAAGTGCTGGGAGCCAGACACGTTTTTAATAACAATAAAGCAACTAATACTTTACTGAGAGCTTACTCTGTGCCACTGGCTTCACATCAGTTTGTACATATGAAGTATTTGGTATGATTCCTGGCACATGCTAAACAATATATATATTAGCTAATATTATTAATCATTACTATCTAAAGAATCATGAACAAAGTTAACAATGGTTTAATACAGATACTTGAGACAGTTTCAGGGGCAAGAAAGGCATCTACTAAAGGTGCTAGAAATTTGGCTATCAAAGACCTTCTTGAGAATGCAATATCAATCATTTTTGGAAAGACTGTTATTTCACCAAACGCTTCCTGTATTAAAAAAAAAAATTAACTGGCTTTGAAGTTAGCTAGACTTGAATAACCATCCAAATAATCCAAAGCTCCTATTTGCCTTGTGTAAATTTCTTTTATCTGTCTGAGCACCAGTGACTTCATCTGAAAATGGGAACAATGGCTATCTTGTTGAGATACTGAAGAATTAAGAGATAATACAGTATGAAAGCAGTTATCACAGTGCCTATGAAGATTTTGTTGTTTCCAAAGCGTAGAGATCAGGTCTCCTAAAACATTTAAAAATAATCTAACAAAATAAGGGTCATTAAGTAGCTATGCCAAGAAAAAAGAATACACTAAATGATTATGACAACTTGTTAGGGTAATAAGTTATAAAACATTAAAATAATGCACTAAGATTTTTTAAAGTCTATATCATATGAAACTGAAATCGCCATCTAACCTAAATAAACTGAACAATCATCCCAGTGTTCCATTAGCTCAAATCTGAAGAAAATACAAAAAAAAGTCTCTAATCACCAATAAATGTTAAGTTACCTCAGAGCAAAAGAAAGTTGTATATACCCAGGTGGCCAATATCCAATTCCAACAACACAGAAAGGCAGTCTCCAAAGCCTCAAAGTCCCGAGATATAGGAACTAGGAAACCCAAGCAACAACCTAGCTCCACAAGTCTGTAGTGCCCTTCTCAAGCCCCATTAAAAGGCAGGAAGTGGGTATGCAGCACTCTCAAGGGTATCTACCTCTAAAGGAAGAAGCAAAGAGGACAGTCAAATATAAACTCATAGTCCTGAATTGTAGCAAACAAGAGAGGCTCACTCAAGGGAAGCAAAGCTGCATTTCCTGTTCTGTTCCTAGTAACTGCTACACTAAAGTCTTAAGACACCTTTGTCATACGCAAGGATGATTACAAGGAAGGCACACATTAGATTTCTACTCACCACCTTGAGAAAAGGATAACCACTGATGAAAACTGTTTGCAGCAGAAAACTAATTATACTAATGTTATCTTTTTAAAATTCTTATTTAACCCCTTAATGATTATTTTAGTTCATTGAACTATTCAACCTTTTTCTTCTAGTTTACTTACTTTTAAAGCTAATGCTATCCAGAAATGTCTTCCTGGAATTTCTTATTTTGCCAAGAAACAATTCTCTTTCTACCCCCCAATCTAATCAGAGCCTAGAATATGCAAAGAGATAGCAATCCATCATCCAGGACAGAAAGAATCCACGAACATGGTTGCAAAGTGACAAAAACAAATAAAGCCTAATCATAAAACTCTAAATAAGACCAGGTATGGTGGCTCACCCCTGTAATCCCAGCGCTTTGGAAGGCTGAAGTGGGAAGATGGCTTGAGAACAGGAGTCTGAGACCAGCCTAGGCAATATATTGAGCCCAGTACCAACAAAAATTAAAATTCTAAAAATTTGCTGAGGTTGCAGTGAGCTATGATTGTGCCACTGCACTCCAGCCTAGGAGACAGAGCAAGACCCTGTCTCTAAAAATACAAATCAATAAATCAAACTCTGAATAGGCTAATTATAAAGCATACATTAGAACTACAAACCTCTAAAAGCTTACCACAAATGTAAGCCTTGTCCTATACTAAATCTGGCTTCAAAGGATTTGCAGACAGTTTAATAATAAGCTTCCAAATGACTTCTAATTATTTACACAGAAGAACACTTACATATTTAAACATACCCCTTTTAATTATGAATAATGCATAATTATAAATTAACTATGAAATGCTAGTCTTTATACACAATATTTGGTCAAATCAATAAATGCTTGACACCCGGACTTGTGCAAGGAAGACACAGGGGTATATAATCTCTACCTACAGGAATTCTAAAATATACTTAGAAAATGTTTAAGTGTTAAACAATGTTTTAACTGTCATTCAAAGAAACAATAGAAGAGATATTTTAAGGTAACACACAATTAGCTCCCAAATGAATGACTTAGTAAATGCCATCTAACGTGAAGAGAAAAGCGAGAGAGTTGGCAAAGTTGTGGTTAGAGAAGCATTCCCAAGAAAGCAGAAAGTCCATGAGCTCTCCAAATTCACAAACATTAACTATAAAACAGTTAAGAGCTTACTAATTTACTCTTGATTTTAGAGAAATACAGCCTGAGATGGACAGCAGTAATTGCAAAGTTATTGCTCCTCTCCTAAGTCAAAGATACCGGAGGATGGTCACCAAGGATGGCCACAGCACACTTCAAATGGATGGCGCTCAAAGAGGTCTTGCATATCTTCGAGATGCTTGGGGAATCCTAATGGACATGCGCTGGCGTTGGATGATGTTGGTCTTTTCTGCTTCTTTTGTTGTCCACTGGCTTGTCTTTGCAGTGCTCTGGTATGTTCTGGCTGAGATGAATGGTGATCTGGAACTAGATCATGATGCCCCACCTGAAAACCACACTATCTGTGTCAAGTATATCACCAGTTTCACAGCTGCATTCTCCTTCTCCCTGGAGACACAACTCACAATTGGTTATGGTACCATGTTCCCCAGTGGTGACTGTCCAAGTGCAATCGCCTTACTTGCCATACAAATGCTCCTAGGCCTCATGCTAGAGGCTTTTATCACAGGTAATTTTGTCTTTGTTCTTAAAAAAAACAAAAACAAAAACAAAACAAAACAAAACTACAGGTGTTTGGAAAGGGTATAGTCAGTTATAAGTAATGCTGTTACAGAATAATTTATCTATATTGATAGCAGGTAATGTCTAAGATAGAAAAGAAACAGTTTAGAGCCAAAAAAAATAGGAGAAATGCATAAGGAACCTGTCTCAATGCCAAAATTTTACTTACTGTAACTACTTAAGAAAAAAGAGATCAGTATGATACTAAATTGCAGAAATATCCCATATCAAAAAAAAAAAATTAACAAAAGGTTTAAAAGGAGGTTTTCACTGAAGCTAATCATTTTGTCAAATACATAAATAAATACATTCAATACCTATTTTGACAGTCATTTTACCTAACAAAAGAATTTGGTTTTTTTTCTTCACTGAGCTAGAATTCCCTCCTATGAGTTCATCTTTTCAACATTTACTTTATGCCAGTGAGCCCAGAACACCACAGTCAGCATTATATGTTAGAGAACAAGTTATGTATACACATTCTTAGCAAAATGCACTGGAAATATGTCCACAAAGATTATGAAATTTTGCTCATGAACACAGAAAACTCTTTCCTTTAAAGGAGGACTAGTGCCCTTTTTATGTGACATACATAATTTCAAAAGAAAACTTGGCTTTAATATACTATTCAATAATAATCTGAGAAGGTAAGCATTGGGCCGTATGAAGAATGATCTGGAATGAAATCCCAGTGTGCTACCAACCAGCTCTATAACCTGCAAATCACAAACTTCTACAACAAGAGTTCCTATACTGGGTCAGTCCTTTGCATACAATTAAGGGGGTCTATAAACTTATATGGGAAAAACTTGTATCTCTTGGCACTAACCACTAATTGAAATTTGGCATCTCCTACAGGCAACAAAAAACAATACCACCAGCAGTATTAGTAGCTTTGATTCAAACAGAAATCATAAATATTTTGTCATATCAAACCAGAATACTTGAAAATCACAGTACTAAAACCACCACTAGACTGTTATTTAATGTATCAGTAAGGCACATATAGTACTATAATAACATTTCTTAAATGTTCAACTGAATTTCAATAATTTGGTTTCTTTTATATTTTACTTTTAAGCACTTAAAACATAATTCTGGTAAGTACTTACTTCTTAGACCTTACCAACAGCCCGCCAACAAAATCTGTGGCACAAAACTGATTAAGAAACTCTTATATATAGCTTAGGGCACAAGGAAGATAGACCTGAAAGGTGCACTGAAATTACCTGATAGTCAGTCCTCCCCTGCCCCACAAAAGGTTTCTGAGTTTCAAAGTTTAAAAATACGTTTCAAAGTTTAAAAATTCTTCAAAATATCACTTTTTTTTTTTTTTTTTTTTTTGAGATGGAGTCTTCCTCTGTTGCCCAGGCTGGAGTGCAGTGCTACAAACTTGGCTCACTGCAATCTCCTGCCTCAGCCTCCTGAGTAGCTGGGATTACAGGCATGTGCCACCAGACCCAGCTAATTTTTGTATTTTTAGTAGAGACGGGGTTTCATGATGTTGGCCAGGCTGGTCTCAAACTCCTGACCTCAAATGACCCGCCCGCCTCGGGCTCCCAAAGTGCCGGGATTACAGGCGTGAGACACCATGCCTGGCCAAAATATCACTCATTCTATTGGTCCCCTCCCCATCCCAAATCATTCTACTCTGAACCTAGTCTCTACTTCAACGTAATCTGGCTGTAGCCAAGTTGCATTTATTTTCTATTACTTTTTTTTAAGCACAGGCAGGAATATAGGAAATGACCAATTCTTTGACTTTGTAAGAAACTAGAGGATGAAGTTTTACATTTCTCTGTAACAAAATCATTTTGCTTATCTATTCTGAAATCATGGTTTTTAAACAGAAATGTACTTTGAAAAATGCTTCAGGCAAATAAGACTGACCAAATTAACAATGAGTTCAATTCCTGACTCACTGAAAGGCATGGCACCAAGAAATGTGTAAATATTTGATATACACTTGTCATTCAGAAAAAGTATTGATATTTAAAGTCTTCATTCTAAAAAAAAATCAATAATTTCTTATTTAGGTGCTTTTGTGGCGAAGATTGCCCGGCCAAAAAATCGAGCTTTTTCAATTCGCTTTACTGACACAGCAGTAGTAGCTCACATGGATGGCAAACCTAATCTTATCTTCCAAGTGGCCAACACCCGACCTAGCCCTCTAACCAGTGTCCGGGTCTCAGCTGTACTCTATCAGGAAAGAGAAAATGGCAAACTCTACCAGACCAGTGTGGATTTCCACCTTGATGGCATCAGTTCTGACGAATGTCCATTCTTCATCTTTCCACTAACGTACTATCACTCCATTACACCATCAAGTCCTCTGGCTACTCTGCTCCAGCATGAAAATCCTTCTCACTTTGAATTAGTTGTATTCCTTTCAGCAATGCAGGAGGGCACTGGAGAAATATGCCAAAGGAGGACATCCTACCTACCGTCTGAAATCATGTTACATCACTGTTTTGCATCTCTGTTGACCCGAGGTTCCAAAGGTGAATATCAAATCAAGATGGAGAATTTTGACAAGACTGTCCCTGAATTTCCAACTCCTCTGGTTTCTAAAAGCCCAAACAGGACTGACCTGGATATCCACATCAATGGACAAAGCATTGACAATTTTCAGATCTCTGAAACAGGACTGACAGAATAAGACTTATCCATTTTTTAATGTATTAAATACACCCAGCCAGTTATGCAGCTACTTTTTCTTTACTGTATCTCATGTTTTCTTTTTTCAATGCTAATTATAGCTCTCTACATCACGGTAATCATGCCTATGCCTACATAAGAATGGCTGAGCTAACAATACACATTCTGGAAACATAACACTCTACATTACAAAGTTTGTTACCTGCTGAAATCAATGTAACTCAACTTGACAGACACTTATACAGAAATGTTGCTGGTGAATTTATAAGAATGTGGTATGATACTAGTAATGAAGGCAAAATGGACAGTGAAGTTTAACACAACTGAACTCTAAGAAAATCAACCATTAATCTCTCATTTTCATCTGCAAATTGAAGCAACAGTTTAGTTTCAAACCTAGCTCCCTGGGTGGAATGACGACTTCACTATACTTAGTGAATATCCTTTAAGAGCTGGGATTTTTTTCAAGACAACAAAGATCATTCATTTGGTTCTTTATACTATGAAACTTGAGTAAGTATTACCTCCTTAATTTTTAACAACTAAGAACAAAAATTAACGAGAAAAACAACAAAGTACAGATTTATACATAAACCTAAAAGCATTTGAACATGACACCCGAACACATACATATATGTTCACTTATTTGTGGCAGAAGGTGATCAGATAAGCTCCAGCCCAAATGGAACCTGTGGGGTGGTATTTTGCATTGCAAGGAGACGCAAAATTTTATTTTAAAACTGTCCTCCATAATAATCAAACGGTGATTCATCTAAATGACTTCTAGCAACCTAAGTAAAAACATTCCCCTCCTATGTATGATTCATTTGATCATATAAAACATCATGATGGCTCTAATTCATAAATACAAAAATATATTTAAGTCTTTATAGATATAAAGCTTTACTTAGATATAACTTGAGTGAGTAGGGAAAAAAATCTACAGTAGATAAAGCAAAAGATAATTAGGCAACAAAGCATTTTCAAACTCAAATTCCTGTTTCCAACTTCAAATAGTTTTTTCTATAAACACAAAATCAGTGTTTATTCACCAGTAGGAGGTTGGACTAGATGAACTCTATTATTTCTTTCTAAATCTAATAGTCTATAAAAATTATGTTTCCTCTGTTTTTTATTTTATCTATGCTAAAATGAGCCCTTTCCCTTATGTCCAGTTTAAGATGATCATTTGCATGATTTTCATTTCAATAAAAAAAAGAGAAACTGTCCTTAAAACAAAACAAAAACCAAAAAAGTCACCCTATCAGGTTTCAAACAGATTTGTGGCTGTTCTTTTCTGAAATTTCCCTTATTCAGGTTTCTGTGGGAAAAATGAAAGATTAACCTTCCCCACTGGTGATGACCTAGGCAGGAATCATCTCTTGAAATAAATACTAGCTGAGTAAAGGCAAGCAGGTGTGAAGAGCAGGGCTCAGCAGCAAGTCACATTTTTCTACTATTTGACCAAAAGGAAAAGAAAATAAAGAAGAACTCTGGAGTGGTCTAAGACTGATAATAGCAGAAGAATATCAAGAACACAGAAACTTAATTATTGTGAACTTTTGCTGTTTGAAAATCTTAGACATTCATTCTTAAGTAGAAATCAGACCAACAGATTTTCCCAACCCAAGACTATTGTAACACATAAAGACAGCAAGAATTCTTATTTCTATAATAAATTAACAAGATTCACCTAACCTTTGAAAATAAAGTAGTATTGAAGACTTACATGGTATGTTTTTTCCTAAAGGCACTACATCACTTACACAGTTCACCCTCTCGCTTGTTAAGTGAAGCTGCCCAAGGTGACATAAGTGAATGAGTAAAACCTGAGATCTAAGGTTCCATTTAAGTCAGATGAGTTTCATATTATACTTACTGTTTATAATAAATTTGGCATTTGAAAACTAAATATGACTTCCCCTACACATGCCAAAAAAAACTATTGGTAAACTACTGTTATTTAATAAACACTTTATAAATCTATAAGAAACGTGATCCAAAACTTTTTTGCAGGAGATAGAAAGTTTCTGGGAGGACTGTTCATTGTTTCTTTCACTTATTTCAAATCACAGTTTCTAGGTTAAGGATTAGGTTTTCTATAGAAAGACCATTATCCTCTGAGGAAAAGGAAGTAACAATGGAAAAAGGGCGGAAATTACTGGGAGGGAGGAATGGCTGCTCTGCCTTTCTGGATGTGCAGCTCACTAACCTGGATCATCTGGGAGCTTGGTCATGAAGTCTTGCACACATGATCAGGAAGACTACTTCGGAACTAACTTTAAACGTTCCTTTGGAAACTGATAAAGATAGCATGACAGTTTCAACAAACTGGAGGCATGTCGTTACCTAAAAATCTCAGGGGCCTAGTTTTACATATGTACAAGCCCATACTACCAAGTACCAGAAGAGTCTATAACCAAAAATTGCTATGTCTATTAACAAGTACTTCATACCAAAATACACTAATTTGTATTGCACTGGGCTGAGTGAACCGGTATCATATGGATTATTTTTTAATAATCCTTTCATTTCACCCTTACAGAATCATACCATAAGATGGGCACCAGAACTGATCTCCCCCTGTGCACAATCAATTCCTACTGAGTAGGAATTCTAATTCTAGTATCAAAGACATTTTTCCACCTTCACATTCTCCTATGGTTGTTCACAGGGGTTATGCAAGCTTCTTACATCTTACAAGACATCTTACATCTAAAGATGTCTGTAATTCTACCCATTTCTCTTTTCATGAGAAGCAAATACATGGTAAGCATCATTCCTAATTTTAAAAAGAATAGATCATCCTGGAATCTTCAGTACTTGAACTGTCTTAATGTGATGTCGTAGGATATCTCACAATATACTCATATTGACCTCATACTGATCAATGTATCAGTGTGCCTGAACAAACTAGTTTAGTATTGCTACTCTTGGAGAGTGTAAGATATAATTATGAACAATGTTTTTTAAAGACCTACATTATCGTCAACAAAAGTGGATTACTTCCAAAAAGTAAAAGCTCAGAATCTTTAGCAGTTAACCTGAAGTGAGCATCTTTTCAAAAAGCATTCAATCAAAGTGACTATGACATATTAGAATATGTATGTATGTGGAAATTACCATGATATTTTAGTATACTAGCAGTTATATAATAGTAGATACTAACTAGAAGTTAGTATCCTTAATATTCTGAGATACTTCATGTTAGTTTAGTTTTATGGAACCTGCCTTTTCAAAGATATACCAATGGGATGTAAATAAAAGAACCTTTACCTTTAATAGAGGGTGGCTAAGAAAATTACCCTCATTGGATTAATATAGTTAAAATATGAAAACCACAAATAACAACGACTAAACTTGACTATTCCAAACCACCAAAGTGTGAATATGTGTGAACAGTTAAAACCAGGCTATTGTTCTATCAACTCACTACTTTCCCAAGGCAACCCAAGCCATTTTCAGACAATTCTAATAATTAGATCTTTTAAGATTGTGTCCAATACCTGCCCCCTTGAACCTTCCAACAGTTAGCCCTTTTCTGCCCTTTAGAAACATACAGATCAAGTCTAAGTCCTCACCTCACATGATCATGATTAGTAGGCAGGTATTGATAGAGAGTGACCCTATAAGCCCTCCTCCCCACTCTGCCCTGTCCACAATCTTGTCTCCTATCTAAACAGCTCCATTTCCTTCACACAGTTCCCATCGCAAGGCTTCAAATGCCCCAGCCCTCCTACTCAAATGTGTGGACCCTTTCAAGGGGTGGTCCCAGAAGTGAACACAATGCTTAGGCTTGCCTGTGACAACATAAAAGACAATGGGCCTATCACCTGACTCACTGAGGACACTTTAGTAAATACTGCCCATGGCTGAGAGGACATCAGCACACCGCTGATGAACATGAAGCCCAGAGTCACTGAGAGGGTTGTATCCTTTCCACAGAAGGCTGCTTTTACATGCAGCCACTCCTTAAATTCTGTAATTTCCTTATGTAAGACTTTTCATTTCTGCTGTTAAAATGCCCCATTTGATTAGATTTGGTCTCGATTCACCTTGATTCTGATCCCATGTCCTAACTGTTCCACTCCATAGATATCCCTCACAATATTGAATGATTTGAAAATCTGATCAGCATACCAACAATATCCTCTAAAGAAATATTTTGCACCTAGCACATAAGTGAGAATTTAATATTTGTTGAATGAATAAATGAGTTCATATGCTCTTATTTACAGTAATCCCGCCTTATCCACAGTTTTGCTTTACAGTTTAACTATGGTCAATCATGATCAAAAAATATTACAGTACTTTGAGAAAGAGACAGAGACCACATTCACATAACTTTTTTTTTTTTTTTGCAGACAGAGTCTTGCTCTGCCAGCCAGGCTGGAGTGCAGTGGCACAATCTCAGCGCACTGCAGCCTCCACCTCCCGGGTTCAAGCGATTCCCCTGCCTCAGTCTCCCTCAGTAGCTGGAAGTACAGGTGCTCACCCACCACGCCTGGCTAATTTTTTTTTGTATTTTTAGTAGAGTCAGGGTTTCACCATGTTGGCCAAGCTGGTCTCCAACTCCTGACCTCACGTGATCTGCCAACCTCAGCCTCCCAAAGTTCTAGGATTACAGGTGCGAGCCACTGTGCCCAGCCTCACATAATTTTTATTACAGTATATTGTTATAATTGTTCTATTTTATTATTAGTTATTACTGTTAATATCTTACTGTGCCTAATTTATAAATTAAACTTTATCATAGATATATATGTATAGAAAAACACAGTATTTATGGGATTCAGTACTATCTGTGGTTTCAGGCATCCACTGGGGGTCTTGAAATGTATCTCCCACAAATAAAGGGGGAGAACTACTATAATCCTAAAAATTCTGTAAGGCATTATCACTCATTTTATTATGAGACTAATGAGATCTGAGAGCTTAGAATAACCATGATCTTCTGATTGCAAATCCTGTACTCTTTAAACTACTGTTCATCCCCTCTACATATTCATGGCAAAAGTACTGAATCAGACAAGGATGGGAGCAGAGGTCTTGACAAGCCCCCCATGATTATGTTAATCCAACAGTCTACAATATGGCTAAAGCTAACAATAAACTATCTACCTAGTCTGTTCCCAATTTCCTCATGCTACACACCTTTAATTTTTTTTTTGACAGGGTCTCACTCTGTCACCTGGGCTAGAGAGTGCAATGGTGTGATCACGGCTCACTGCAGCCTCGACTTCTTGGGCTCAAGCTATCCTCCCATCACATGATGGCCTCCCAAGTAGCTGGGACTACAGGCACATACCATCATGCAGGTCTAATTTTTGTACTTTTTTGTAGAGACATGGTTTCACCATGTCTCCCAGGCTGTCCTGCCTTGGCCTCCCAAAGCACTGGGATTATAGGCATGAGCTACCACACCTGGCCTTAACGGTTTTCATTAATATAAATATAACTACGTATTCCCAATGCCACATTCATAAATGAGAAATTTTAATTATTGATATCTTTAAGTTTTTAACAGAAACAGTGATACAAAGCTGACTGTTAAAATTACTTAGTTTTTAAAACAATCTGCAAGTCAGTCTGTGAATGGTATTTACATATTTAACATTTGTTTATAAGAAATATTTACCACTGCCCGGTACAGTGGCTCATGCCTGTAATTCCAGCATTTTGGGAGGCTGAGGCGGGTGGATCACGAGGTCAGGAGTTCAAGATCAGCCTGGCCAACATAGTGAAACCCCATCTCAACTAAAAATACAAAAATTAGCCAGGTGTGGTGGCACGCACCTGTAGTCCCAACTACTCGGGAGACTGAGGCAGGAGATTCACTTGAACCCGGGAGGCATAGGTTGCAGTGAGCCGAGACCACACCATTGCACTCCAGCCTGGGTGACAGAGTCTCCAGCCTCTGAGACTCTGTCTCAAAAAAAAACAAAAAAAAAAACAAAAAAAAAAAGACATGATTAACACTATCAGTTATAATCATGCTCTGGAGAACTTTTTTAGCACTTGTAGGACTTGGAACTTGTAATAATTTTCATAGTACCAATTCATGGTACCATGAATTGGCATTATTTTCTCCTCAGATGTTAATACCTACTGGTAGTTTGTAAGGTAGTACCTTTAATCAGCTAGGAAGCTCATCTTAACAGTATAAATTCTTTAAATATAAATTATGTATTTAAATACAAATTTAAATACAAATTATGATTAATTCATCATAAACAATGGAATCCTGTTCCTTTATTATGTTCCTCTTCAGTGGCTACCTTAACTGCAATTTATCTGAGTTATTTTTTTTTTTGTTCTCATCACAAAACAAGAAAAAAAAAAAAGGACTATACAGCAAAAAGGCCAAATGAATAAATTAGTAAATTAAGAACATTCATAGTTTTGGCCTTTGTTCTCTGATACAAAAGCAAAGATTTTAGCATTTGCCCTATTTCTTCTCATCTGTGAGATGCTATCTACACTAGAAAAAGAGTTAGTAGATTGGTTCCTAACTTGAGTCTTCAGTTCACAAATTGGCCTTAATAAAGAATATATGCCTTGCAGAGAACACACAGACCAAGTCAAGTAAATCCTAATGGCTGTATTCATCATCTCTGGTTTCATGCAGTAGAGACTTCAAATAACCGTGGAAGTTTAAATGCAGGAAATGCTGCAGCCCCATCTACTGGAGAGGTGCAGGTAACTGAGTCAATTTTTAATAAATTTATCCTTATGTGTGTAGGTAAGAACCTTACCTACATCTTTTCGTCCTGGTTTTTCAAAACGTCTGTCACCCCTGGAAAAGAAAAAATAAGTTTCAAACAAAGTCTCACAGTGATATAGATTTCCTATCTGTGACACTCACTTTCCCATTTTTCTAAAAGCATTTCTTCTTCAAATTACAAAACAAATAAATACATAGTTATTGCCTAATATTTCGAAAATATAGAAAAGCACAAAGATAAAAAGAAAAATATCCATCCCCTCACCTACCAAAAGCTGTTTCTATTGACCCAAAATATTATTTTTTAAATTAGATACATAGTATACAGTTTTATATACTGCTCTTAGAATGTGTTTTCCCACATCATTAAATATTTTCAAAAACACCTCTAATGCTCATATTAATATCCTACTTTGTGGATATACAATTATATAAGGCCAACATCAATCTGTTTGGCTTATTTCAAATTATTTTGTATTATAAATATCATCATAGTGAACATTCTTGTACAGATATCTTTGTGCAATTGCCCCCACTCATCTTGACAGACTTCATATAAAGCCACAAACAATATAGAGAGAAGATACTTTTACTAATACCAACAAACAATAACATGACAATTTGGTATTTGCTATCAAATACCAAATCAAATTAACTATGCTGGCACTCATATATTAACCTATCTATCTAGAATCCGTCTTCCTTTAAATAAGAATCATTTAAAAATTTCTAATGTACAACTTGATGTTCAATACTTAAGAGCATTTTTTAAAATGAAACCCTTTAACTGTACAAAAACATTTCTCCCCGCAGAAAGCAAAAAATATAAGTTTTATATGCCAAGAAATTTTTATGCCAATATGTGGATCCAGTTACCTTTCCTCCCAGCTCTGCGATCTATGCATTTCTCTGCCACCTCCTCGACCAAAAACACCCTCTACTTCATCAAAACTTCTTTGGTAGAAACCACATTCACCTCTGCCTCTGCCTGAAAATAAGAAAACAGAAAAAAATGATAGTCAGATGTCAACATGTGGCACACATTCACCACCATAAATTAATATCTAAAGTTCTATCTCTATACAAGGCAGGACATCTACATTTAAATACTGAACGAGGCCTGATGATCTTGACTTATGAGACCAACAATGGCATTGAAGTAGCTGGACCACAAGAGGCTGAAAGAAACAAGTTAAAAAAACTAACATAATATAATGCAATAGACCCAGTCCTGAACAAGAAAGTATCAACTTTAAGTTCTTTAACGAACAGTTGAATAGTGAAATTCTAAGAAGTTCAATAAAACACTACCGTAGATTAAATATTTTATTGTTTTATTTTCATAAAAATGGAAGAAATCTTGGTTTAGAGAGTTTAAGAAGACAGGGGCTAAAGTTAAAAAGTCAAGCATAAAAGTTAAAATAATTTATCTAATCCCAGAGAAAGGATAACTTAATAGCATCAATTCTAAAACCATCAAACCTCATGAATGCCATACAGGGTATATTACAGAGTAACCAAAGGTACAGTTTACTCTACACCCAAATCTTGAAGTTAAAAAGAAATGTATCAGGACTAAACTTGAACCAACAAAGCTGGTAGAGTGTCTGGGCATAGGGATTGAGAGGCTCTCTCTGGTGGTTCAAGCATAAACTGGCCTTTACTGAAGGCAATTTGGTTAGATCTATTGACATTTGATTCAACAATTCTACTTAGGATTTATCCTAATAGAAATAGTTGTACAAAAATGCAAATATATATGAAGATGTTCACTGTAATTAAAAAAAAAAACTAGAAATCTAATCAATAAAGGATTAGCTACATAAATTCTGATAAAATACAGTAGAACACTATGATGCCACAGCAGATTAAGCACGGACATTATTCTGTTCAATAACAAGAACATACTGAAGAATGATGCATATAAAAATTATTCCATTTATATAAATGATATAGCTGCACCGTTAGGGTCAAGAAGGCTATATATCCAATTGTTAGGTCTGGAGGCAGAAGACCGTATGCACTTTTAGCTTCATACTTTATGTACAGTTTTCCCAACAAACATTTGTATTCAATACACAGGTGAGAAAATGAGAGGAGGGGAGGAGGGGTGGGGGTCCAAGGATGTATTTGTAACTAGGTGAAATCTTAGCCATCGTCCCTAGCTCAATTTTTCTCACAGTGCACAATGACCCAAAGAAAAATGATGGATCTTGATGAATGCATCCCAAAGCTAAATATAATTGAGCTAATTACTTCAAATATCCATGCAGTATTTCTATTTCTTGTTTGTAATTTATCAAGAATTAACTCAGAATACACTTGTACTTTTATATGACTATATTATGAAGTATCAAAATAATGCACCAAATTATTTTGTGGGTAATCTTAGAAACAATGGATACCCTCTTGACGAGTGCAAGTATCCACTTCTTCATTTGTCAAACGGAAGTGAGAAGCACGGTGGAACTATAATAAAGTTACCCTTCCACTTGTGTCAACTTCACTTAAAGTCAACTCACAGTTTAAGTACTTCTCCCCTTCAGGAAATGTATACACTGTATTTAAGATCCTAAAATAATGTAATATAAATTGTCATATAACGCATGTCCTCTACAAGGAAGATTTTAGGATGGGGGCAAAAGTCTCCTCATCTTTTAGAGAAAGCCATTTGCTCAGGAAGGCCCTTACACTTGTATCACCTTGAAGAAAATGTTTTATTCCAGAAACATATAAATATAAAAAATAGCCTCCAGCTTACCAGAAAGACAAGCAAAACACATATAAAATATTTTCTCAGTTATAACTAGCACTGACACCGGTCCTGCTAATGATACTAAAACTTTAGGGTGGGACATACTACAACGATCAGGTTCTAAAGCTTTCCAACTTGGAAAAATTTTAATCTTCTATAAAGTGGTTCCCATACATGAATAAGGAAGTAAATATAACATGATGAACCTATCGTAAGGCTCAATTAAAGAACTGTTCTACTAAGAATTCACCCTATTCTTTTTGGGAATTAAAACATACTTCCTTTTAATAATGATGAAGACAATAGTTGAGAGCTCTGTCAATCTGCTTTATTTTTAAACAACCTAACCAAATAAAATGACAGTTTCATGTTGTTCTTACCACCTATTTAGTTTATTTAAATTTTACTAGTACATGATATTTAGCAGCCTGGAAATCAGTCAATTTCCACATCAAAGTTTCCTAAAGTTGCAAACAGCCAAGATAATCATCTAGTGTTAGCTCTGCCTATACAAAGAAAAGCCACAATAATCATTATTTAACCAGCAAGTTAAAATTAAGTAATGAGTGGAAAACACAAAACCACAGATTATAATTACAACCTTCTTTCAGAAAATGAGCTACTGAGATCATTAAGAAGAATCACGGGTGGTTGAGATAATGTTAAAAGTACTTTTCACACCAAGTCAGTTCAGTCACTTGACTAGTTTCGTGCCATTCTTCAACATTAATATGTAAATAAAGTCATGACTTCTTACATATGTCACATCTATCTTTTTTACATAGCCTGATTAAATTCTGAATGTAAGCTTTCTATCATATGTGATAACCCTTCATTTCAAAGAAACCAAAAAGCAAGGAGAAATTCAATCATAAACCAAAAAGCAAGGAGAAATTCAATCATTCACTTGTTTCTAGATTAAGTAATGGCGGGGGGCGGGGGGTGCTGTTCAGAGATTGGTTGGTATTTGCAGCACACAAAAGTCGGTGTTATTCACACTTCTTCACCAAGAAGATCTCTCCCTGGCTTGCCCTGAAAAGCACTGGAGGCAAAGCTGCCCAAGTACAACCTCTCCTTGCTACCAACCCACAGCAGAAAAACACAGGAAATGCCCAAGCAGCAGGCCAGAGCCATAAGTGGTCAGTCCCAACTCGAAACCACCACCATGCCACCAAGATGCATGGATCTCAAATTCTGGACCAATGGAACCTAACTCGGTGTATGAATCTGAACTGCCTGTGGAGCTTTTGAAGCACACACATGCCTAGATCCCACCACCCAAAATTTTGTTGCACAGGTATTTCCTTTAAGTTTTACAGATTAGTCTAACATCTCCTCAGGTTAAAAAAAAAAATATTCTCTAAAGATGGACAAATAAAGCCAGAGGGAAAAACACAACTATGTAATAGTACCTAGCAAAACAAGTGGAGACTTTTAATCAGACACTTCACACCTGGATTCCCACATTCTGAGTGGACTACTAAAAGAAATCTCTTCCCAGGAATGCACAATTGAATGCATTTTCTAGAGAGACTGTAGATAAATTACTCTATTTATAAAGAATTTAAATACTCTATACTCATGATCATGCCAATCTTGGTGGTACAATATGCAGAGACAATGGTCTCACTCATTGCAGACATCCAATTCTTCCATTTCTAAAGCATCTCTTACAGAAAATCACAAGGTGTATTTAGACCACTGTTATGATTTAGTCAACGTAAGAGCTACATGATTAAGCAAATATTCATATTACAAATATTTAAGAATGTCGTCATATAGGAGAAAATCAGCAAACCCAAAATAGGGGGCAGATATCAAAGAAACAAGTAATATCAAAATAAGAACTATTTTTCCAAGACAAAAATATGTAAAACTATAGGTTAAATAAATGAATGTGGCAGAATTATCTTTTTTTCTACCCCTAAATGTCCTAGTCCTGATGAGGCAGTTTTTGTTAAAGCCCCTCTCTGGCTGGAGAAGCTCTTGGCACACGCCCCTCACACAGAAACTGTCACAGAGGACTGCAGGTACTTCAGTGCTGCTTCCATAGTTAAGACACTTCAGGAGTCGTTGGCTCCCAGAGTGTAAGGCTCTCCAGGGATGAGGAACATGGATCTGTTGGAGTGAATTGGGACTGTCTAGACTCCCTCATGTTCAAATCTGTACAGCTAGAATTATACTCTTCTGCTCCAAATCAGGGATTATAGAGGAGATACCTCTAAAAAATGGTTCTGAATATAAATATTCAGGACATTTAGTATGCAGTTAATGTCAAAGAACAGTTTTTATTAAATCAGGCATTAAAATATTTTAAAAGTAAGTTCTCTATCCTCCTCCTCCTCCTCCATTATTACTTTTTTCATATGAAAGCTCACCTCGCCCTCTTGAAGAACTTCGACCTCTAGGAGCCCCCACCACTGTTCCTCCTCCTCCTCGTCCTGTCAATCGCAGGACAGCAGCACTATTTACAGACATGGAAAAGTTTCTCTGCCAAAAAAAAAAAAAAAAAAAAGAGAAAAAGGAAAAAAAGAAAGAAAAAAATGGATGAAACAGATAAAACTACATGTTGCTTCTCCCCACATTCCTACTGCATCTATAAAAAGGCATCTAATTACTACTAGCAATGGAAAACCATAACTGCACAACATACGAAATGATCCAAAACTTGATTTTACCTGATAATTGCAAATTAACATTTCAGATCAACAAAATTGACAACCAATGTCTTACACTATGCTAGGTTTGGTGAGGAAATAAGCAAACAAACTAAACACTCTATATATACACAAGTAGATAGGGAAAATACATAACAGAATAAATACAGAAAATTTTACAAAAGAGATCTGGTTTGAAAGGGTCCTGTAAGCCTTTAACTGGTGAAAAGTGGAAATGAAAGGGAGTTACCAAAAGGTCTGATGCGAGAGTAGGACATTCTGCACATCAATGTGAATTAGCAACTCCAAGTAGTATTCAACAGAATGACAGGAATCATAAGTGAATGGGAAAGGGCCAAGGATCTAAACAAGAGCAACCATCTAAATAACACATTAATGGGAAGACGAAGGGAATACTTAATAAGTTAAAGTAAAACCCAATCACTCAGTTATTAACCTGCATTTGCACCACAGCCAATCTGGAACAGGGTCAAGTAAAAAGAGATAGTGGAGTGCACCTTTGGTATGTCTGTAGCCAAGGGTTCTCCTGGCAGAGAGAAAACCTTAGGCTTAAGAGTCAAGGTAAAAGGCCAGGCGTGGTGGTTCATGCCTGTAATCCCAGCACTTTGGGAGGCCGAGGCAGGTGGACATGAGGTCAGGAGTTCGAGACTAGCCTGGCCAAGATGGTGAAACCCTGTCTCTACTGAAAATACAAAAATTAGCCGGGCGCGGTGGCAGGCACCTGTAATCCCAGCTACTTGGGAGGCTGAGGCAGGCGAATTGCTTGAGCCCAGGAGGCAGAGGCTGCAGTGAGCCGAGATCATGCCACTGCACTCTAGCCTGGGCGACAGAGCAAGACTCCGTCTCAAAAAAACAGAAAGAAAGAAGTAAGGTAAAAAAGAATCCTGCAATTCAACTAATATTTTAGTCCAAACTGGTTTCCACTAACTTTCTATTTTGATTCAAAATCCACTGAAATATGATGTCTATACCACCTTCTTTTGAAGAAGTCAACATCTAATCGTTAAAAAACTTCTACTTTCATTATTAAATGTGTTGTAATAAATAGGTCATTTTCTCCTAGCTAGTTTTTTCAGAATTTTATTCACAACAATTTGTTTGATAAGTTTTAGGAACTTTATCAGTGTAAATAAGATTTTTTTTTTTTTACTTTATAGGTATATAATCATATAATCAAGTAACATCAAAACTAAAGACTTAAGATATATTTGACAACTAAAAATAAAAGACACCAAACTCAAAAATTATATTTCTATTTCAAACTATAATAAAATGTACTTAATAAAAAAGAAAACTGATTGAAACATATATATTAACTTACCTTTTAGCACAGAGTAAGCAGTGGGGTACTAAATAATGTCTCTGGGTATTACTATAATTAAACAACAGTATGAGGTCCCAAAATACAGATTAATATATTCTAATATTGAAATAATTGTGGTCAGAGCTAACTGCATTATTATGCTAGGATCCCATGCAGTTGAACACCTGTCAACCAAACTATCACATATATAAAACTCAAATGCACCCATTTGTATGTGTGGGGACACACTCATATATTTTCACAAACTCTCATACATTGCTGATGAAAGTATAAACTAGTATAATCTCTATAGAAGGCAATTTCTAAAAATTATTTAAATGCCCATCCCCTTTGACACAACAATTCTACTTCTTACCCATGTAAAAAATTAACATAAACAGAAAGATCATTAACTGCAGTACTGCTCATAAAAGCAAAAATATGGAAGCCATCTATGTATTAGCCAATCCTAATTTAAAAATCATGGTCCTCTACATGTAAAATTCTGTACTGCTGATTAAAAAAAAAATGAAACAACTCTATTTCTTTTTTTTTTTTCTTTTTTTTGAGACGGGGTCTTGCTCTGTCATCCAGGCTGGAGTGCAGTGGCACGATCTCAGCTCACTGCAACCTCCGCCTTCCAGGTTCAAGCGATTCTCCTGGCTCAGCCTCCTGAGTAGCTGGGACTACAGGCGCATGCCACCATGCCTGGCTAATTTTTTCTATTTTTAGTAGAAATGGGGTTTCACAGTGTTGGCCAGGATGGTCTCAATCTCCTGACTTTGTGATCTGCCCGCCTCGGCCTCCCAAAGTGCTGGGATTACAGGTGTGAGCCACTGTGCCGGGCCACAAATCTATTTCTTAGGCAGAATCATGTGATAACAAAAACTGCAATGTCCTATGGTCAACCTAATATATAGAGACATGGAGCATACTTGTAATTAGGAACACGGAGAGGCCAAACTCCCTGGGACTGAATTCTGGCCTCTATACTCAACTTCTCTGAGCCTCATTTTCCTCATCTATATAATGTAGACAGGGATATTTTTATCTACCTCACGGGTGACTGCAAGCACGCAACACATTAAATGTTAAGTGCTTAGAACAGTGTCTAATACATACTAAAAGCTAGTATGCCATTATCTCTTAGATGCTTAGGTTAAAACTGTAAAGTGCCAGGCACGGTGGCTCACACCAGTAATCCCAGCACTTTGGGAGGTCAAGGCAGGCAGATCACTTGAGGCCAGGAGTTCGAGACTAGCCTGGCCAACACGGCAAAACACCATCTCCACTAAAATTACAAAAAATGGCCAAGGATGGTGGCAGATGCCTGTAATCCCATCACTTTGGGAGGCCAAGGCAGGCGGATCACTTGAGGTCAGGAGTTGGAGACCATCCTGGCCAACATGGTGAAACCCCATCTCTACTAAAAATACAAAAATTAGCCAGGCGTGGTGGCGGGCGTCTATAATCCCAGCTACTCAGGAGGCTGAGGCAGAAGAATTACTTGAACCCGAGAAGCGGAGGTTGCAGTGAGCCAAGATCACACCACTGCACTCTAGCCTGGGCAACAGAGTGAGATTCTGTCTCAATAAATAAATAAATAAATAAATAAATAAATAAATAAATAAATACTGTCAAGTGTAGAACTGTGTGCACAGCATGCTACCATTTATGTGTGTGTGTGTGAAATAGTGTTTAAGGGAATATACAGATAGTTGTAGACACCATAAGCACCCCTGAAGTGAATACAAAAAAAATGGAAATAGTGGTTATTTCTGAGGAAGAGTAATAAGTGGCAGAGTTTGGGTGAGTCACAGACTTGCTTTTCATTATGTGCTTTTTGAATTTTGTTAGGTATATATACAAGTATTATCAAGAATGAATAAATAGGCCAGGCGCGGTGGCTCATGCCTGTAATCCCAGCACTTTGGGAGGCCGAGGCAGGCAGATCACGAGGTCAGGAGATCGAGACCATCCTGGCTAACACGGTGAAACCCCGTCTCTACTAAAAATACAAAAAATTAGCCGGGTGCAGTGGTGGGCACCTATAGTCCCAGCTACTCGGGAGGCTGAGGCAGGAGAATGGCGTGAACCCGAGAAGCAGAGCTTGCAGTGAGCCGAGATCGCGCCACTGCACTCCAGCCTGGGCAAAAGAGTGAGACTCTGTCTCAAAAAAAAAGAATGAATAAAGTAACTTCTTTGATGTCAAATAAATAAAATACACCAGTCTTGTAACAGCTACCTAAATTGCAGGTGTAATGCATTTTTTTCTCACTATATTTGATACACAGATACATGGAGGGAGAAGGAGAATGAGTATGTCAGTATACTTTAAAAATACGTATTTCAGGTAACTTCAGCAAACAAGACATGCAGCAAGAAGCCTGCTTTAAGTTATTAAAGTATTTACCTCCCTAGAAGTACCAAAAGAAAAGGTATACAAAACTCTAGTCTAGGAAGATCTAGTCAATACTAATCTCTGAAGGGGTACCTGATCATTCAAAGGACAAACATCAAATTTTTTATGAATTTTTTGCCAGCTTTAAGCACTGTCCTATTCCAACATATTTGGTAAATGATAAAGGCTACCAAATATGCATCAGGAAATCCCAAATGGTGCATTTTAAATGCCTTCAAAACGGATCTGATGATCTTCTGTGGCCACAGTGAAAACCTCCCAATCCTTGCATCAAGACGCTGTGATCACAGAATACAGACCTTAAGATAAATATTTCTATCATAAGAACAAAATTAAACATATTCCTTTAGTTGTTCTAGAACTAATTTTGGTGTATAGGTGTAGTGCATACCTAATTTTACTCTTCTCTAAATTGTTAACCAACTATTACTGGTTAACTGCAGTTAACCAACAGATCCCAAGCAACATTTGCAAAATAATGTTTGATTTTCCAAACGATTTGTGTACTTACTACACACTAATTTCTTTAAAATGTTACAAGATGTTTCTGGGTAATTCAATTATTCATTCTGTTGAATAAAAGTCTACCACATTTTGGTAACTAGTAGCATGTCCTCTTCCCTCTTCTGATATATTTAGTCTCTAAGAAATCTAGGAAATCATTTAAAGAAACATAAAAAGGAATTTTTAAAAATAATATATAAATAGCTAAAAATTAAAAGAATAATCACAAAAGAATAAAACTGGTATATGAAGCTCATAAAATTAGCCTTTTTATTTAAAATCATAATGTGGCCAGGCATGGTGGTTCACGCCTGTAATCCCAGAACTTCGGGAGGCCAAGGCAGGAGGATTCACTTGAGCTCAGGAAGTTTGAGACCAGCCTGACCAACATGGTGAAACCCTGTCTCTACTAAAAATACAAAAATTAGCCAGGCGTGTTGGTATACGCCTGTAATCCCAGCTACTCAGGAGGCTGAAACACAAGAATCCCTTGAACCCAGGAGGCAGATGTTGCAGTGAGCCGAGACTGTGACACTGCACTACAGCCTGAGTGACTGAGCAAGACTCAGTCTCAAAGAGACAAAGAAAAAGAAATAAATAAAATCATAAATGCAATTTTAACATTTAGAAAACTTACTGGGCACAGCTATGGTCAATGACTTTAAAATATGAGGAGCCAGACCAGGCATGGTGGATCATGCCTGTAAGCCCAGCACTTTGAGAGGCTGAGGTAGGAGAATCGCTTGAGGCCAGGAGTTCAACACCAGCCTAGATAACAGAGCGAGATCCTGTCTCTACAAAAAACGAAACTAGCCAAATGCAGTGGCATGCACCTGTACTCCCAGCTATGCAGGAGGCTGAGACAGGAGAATCCCTTGAGCCCAGAAGTTCAAGGTTGTAGTGAGCTATGATCATGCCGCTGTACTACAGCCTGGGTGACAGAGTGAGACCCTCACTATACTCCAGCCTGGATGACAGAGTGAGAACCTAGCTCAAAATAGAAAATCTAAATAAGTAAACAAAAAATACACACACACACAAACATACACACACACACACACACACACACACACAGAGCTCATATAAATAGCATAAATCAACAAGGAAAAGATGAATATCCCAAAAGAAAAATTGGCAAAGGCAAGAAAAAAATTAACAGAAATATAAATGATGAATAAACATCTGAAAAACAACTGTTTACTGCTACAGGCAAAGAAATGCAAACAAAAACGATGGGAAAAAATTTTTCCAAATCTTCAGGGAAGTCTTTCAATAAAAATACTTGATGTTGGAAGTACAGAACCGTATCACTTGTATTAAAAGGCGGAAAATATATTTCCATATTTACTTGGAAAAATACATAAGAAATTGCTAACACTTGCGGCCTCTGGGAAAGGGAGCAGCTGGCATGGAAAGGATTAAAATATTAGTTGAATTGCAGGATTCTTTTTTACCCTAATTCCTAGGGCTCAGTTTTTACCCCTCTGCCAGGAAGACCTTTGGCTACAGCCATGTCCAAGGTGCATTTTCCTCTGTGTATCACACTTCTGCATTTTTGTACCAAGTGTACAGAAGGTATTCAAGTAAAGGACATATGCCAACATTTTGTTTCTTTTTTTTTTTTAATGGAGTCTCACTCTTTGCCCAGGCTGGAGTGCAGTGATGCAATCTCAGCTCACTGCAATCTCTGTCTCCCGAGTTCAAGCGATTCTCCTGCCTCAGCCTCCCAAGTAGCTGGGATTACAACCGTGTGTCACCATGCTCGGCTAATTTTTTTATTTTTAGTAGAGATAGGGTTTCACCATGTTGGCCAGGCTAGTCTCGAACTCCTGACCTCAGGTGATCCGCCCACCTCGGCCTCCCAAAGCGCTGGGATTACAGGTGTGAGTCATGCGTCTGGCCCCAACATTTTTGTCGTTCAAAATTTCATAGTTTAAAACCCTCTTGAAAAATTCTCTTTCCAATGCCCAGGATTTTAATATTTCATAGAGTATTTGAAAAGATTTTTATTACTTCTTGCTTTACCTTTTCCTTAAGAGTCAAAAAGATGTATTTTTGGCTCCCTGGATTCTCTTCTTCCCGTATGGATGCCCATAAAGTAACATTCAAGCTTTCCAACAAGGCTTATTTTTCCATTTTTCTACAGTTATCATAAGTTCCTTGAAATCAGAAACTCTTTTATTTTCTTTGCACAGAACAAAATACACTATAAACAGGAACAACACTAAATTCGCTACTTTCCAGCCCACAAGTTTTACTTTCTCACATCACTCTCTCTCTCACACACACACAGACACACACACACACACATTGGTGACAGAAGAGTTTTGAATGCATTTTGAACTGAAGATCTACATTTTTCCCTTAGTGGTAAAATGCACCGGTAAGAATTCAGGTTGGCAATTACTTCTGAAAATCTGTTTATTTGCAAAGATGATTTTCTCCCCTCCCCAAGAATCACTCTTCCTCTCTACTTGAGTAAGTTTTAAAGGATGGTTCCCAATGTCCTTAAGGATCTACAAACGTTTCCAAATAATACTCAAAAGCTACAGATACTACAGCAAAATCTAGTCAACTAATAAGCATCAACATACCAAGAAATAGAAGAAAGCAGACCTATGAGGATGCAGGATAATCCTTAGAGCATAAATAGTAACTTCCTATTTTCATGCCTTAGCAGGAAAAGAATAAGAGTTTGCTGGGGCTCAGAGCTAATCACAAACCTGTTCTTCTTCTGTAAAGGGTACCAGAGCCAATGGTGGAAGGGGTTCCTCCTGGAGGATAGGCAGAAATTCTTTATCCAGAAGGTCTGAAGGTATCTGTAGGACCAAACACATGATTATGAGATTAATGCTATTTCTGCAATAAGAAGAAATACAAGAAGATAAATCCAAGAAAGAATACTCTTCTATTTATTGTTGATTATTATAAATACAGATTAATGCTTATTCAGCCATAATTGACTTCTATAGTCCTTATACATTTTGAGAGAGTCAATATTAAAAACCCCAGTCAATACTCCCCAGCTTCTCAAGTGATTGCCACTTTTGGATTTAGCACTAACTCTGCTATACCAGAGCACAAAGTAGAGGAATAAAAGTCTCTACATTAAATGCAAAGCAGAAGATGATAAGGAGAGTTTTATAAGCAACTGTATGTGTCCTTAGCAACCATCATTAAAATCTGAAATTCTCGATCACTGAAAAACAAAGTATACTGGAGGTGGGGCATTGTGGCTCACGCCTGTAATCCCAGCACTTTTGGAGGCCAAGGCAGGCAGATCACTTGAGGGCAGAAGTTGGAGACCAGCCTGGCCAACATGGTGAAATCCCATCTCTACCAAAAATACAAAAAAATTAGCCAAGCGTGGGAACGCATATCTATAATCCCAGCTACTCAGGAGGCTGAGGCACAAGAATCACCTGAACCTGGGTTGCAGAGGTTGCAGTGAGATGAGATCACGCCACTGCACTCCAGCCTGGGTGACTGAGCCAGACTCTGTCTCAAAAAAAAAGTATATTGGGAAAAAATACAAAATATTATTTCTTACTAGTCAGTGAGTAAGATAAAAGTCATAACAAAAGTATATTTTACACTGTTTCAGTTTTGATCTAAGTGACACAAATGTAGTGTTACATTTTAAGGTTTTGTCTCCACTGAAAATTTTATATAGCCGAAGGTGCTCCTCCTGTTGGCTCTTTATTTTTAAGTGGCAAGTAGGATAAGAGGTACAATAAAGAGAAAGGAAAAATTCTTCATTTCTTAGCCACTGAACTAGGATACAAATAGACATGAAAGGGGGGTTAAGAGGAAGTTAGCTAGAGAAGGCAGTAAGTGCTGACTACTCTCCTGTTTCCATGAAGCTGCCTAAAATATAGTGTGTGATAACACTTAGAAGATCCTCTGTTAACTATTGCAGGCTTCAAAGCAGGGAAACAGTTAAGGTGGAAAGGCATGGGTCAATACATTAGTAAAATAAATCAGTTTTCATGTATCAGTACATCATGGTATATATCCCAAAGTCTCATTCACAATTTTGAACTCTTTTCCTACTTTCTTACCTTGTTGTCTTTAAGGAAAAGTGCTAACATTTCTTCTCTGCCGTAACGATAATCTGCTAATTTATACTTCGGCAATGCTGGAGAAAGAGGAGGGGATGTAATACTCCCACCACTGGACAGAGCTCGGAGCCTAGAATAGAAAAGACAGAGAATATGTCAAACATTCTGGTGCTACAGACTTTTTATACTATACACTGTCAAAAAAAATTCATTTTAGTTCTTTAGAAGAGCAAAAAGAAATCCTACTATCTCAAAGTATCAGACTTTAGCTTTAATACAATCTTTTGTCATGGCACGCTAAAAGGGCAGTTTATTGAGAGATAACTAGACAACCATGTGGCAATTCCTTAACTTAAAAGGCATCACGGCTATGTCCCCCAGAAGCTTAGAGAATGAAAAAGGGACACATTTTTCCAAATTTTAAAAGGCGCATATGATTAAAACAAAAGTGAGATACTACCTTACACTCACTAGATTCATAAAACTTAATAAGTCTGATAATACCAGGTGTTGGTAAGGATGTAAAACAATGGAAACTTTCAAGTAGTGTTTGTGGTATTATAAACTGAAATAATCACTTCAAAGAATGATTTGATAATAGCTAATTATTTAATTATCTATTTGGCAATTTGGTAATAGCTAAAATATTTAATAAAGTATGCTATACAAAAGAAAAATCAAAACACAGCCTATAGTAATGATAATTTTTATATAAAATGCATAAACCTGCAGCTAGGTTTATACTGTTTCAAGACATACAAACTGCAGCAAAAGCATAGAAACAAACATGAAATTGACAAATACAACATTTAGAATAAGGTTATATCTGCAAAAGATTAAGATTATAAAGGCAGCTTTAATTGTACCTACAATGTTTTATTTTTGTAGCTTGCCAATGAATACATGGGTGTTTATCACAATTTATATTTTTATATGCCTGAAATATTTCACAACGTTTTTAATAAAAGCAATTAATGGTCAGTGTAGAGAATCTGAAAATGCAGTAAAGTACAAAGAGAAATTGAAAACTACATGTACTGCTAAGAAGACAAATAAAAAATATACTCCAAACTGATAAGAAAAGTTGCCTCTAAAGAACAGAACTTGGGGAAAAGGGACTATTTTGTTTAATTTTAAAATAATATATTTTTATGGGGAAAAAGGGAAGAAAACTTCAGCAAAAAATGGCGAGTAAGATTCTACTGTAGCACTGTGTCAGACAGCAAGTGGAAAAACTAACATCAGGAGTAGCTGATATCAAGCATGAAAGGGACCAAGCTACTTTAATTCTAGTTTAGACTAAGGAAAAATTCAATAGAAGCATTGAAATATGTGCCCAAAACTGCTAAGCTTTATTCACAAAGCAAAAAAGAAGGGAATAATCTACTAAATTATGACACATTAAATATTAATATGAAGGCCAAGTAAAACACAGTAAATATGTGCACATTATTAAAAATAGCGTATGCATAGTAAACAGTAAAATGTGTTTACAAGAATAAAGTAATATTTAAAGAAAAAATATGCATTAGTAAAGTGAGACTGTTGGGGTGGGATTTTTTTTTTTTACTTATTGTGGAAAATTTTTTGTATTTTCATAAATGCACCAAAAAGCAGATGACAAACTCCCGTGTAATTTTTGTATTTTCTGTAGAGACAGGGTCTCACTATATTGCCCAACCTAGTCTCAAACTCTGGGCCTCAAGCAATCCTCCCACCTTGGCCTCTCGAAGTGCTGAGATTACAGGCATGAGCCACCATGCCTGACCCAAAACATTTTTTTAAAGTCTGGGTTTTGCTGATTTTATCCATGATATAATTAAACATTTTTCTGTCTTTTGCATTTCATGTAAACTGGTGACTGAGTATAGAGATTTTGAGATTTTCATCAATTTGGGTTCTTTTTTGGCAATACTTCGTATGTAGTGGTATGTTATTCCATCAAGAGGCACACATTGTGATGACGTGTTTGTGATACTTGCAGTAATTTATGATCAATGCTTGGTTCCCTAAGTTCACTAAGGTTGTAAGTGATTATATTCTTTCATTCCTCCCTTATGTATTAGCTGGAATACTTCTGCAAAGATAAATTTTCCTCTTATACTACCTGGTATAGTTACCAAATAATACTGCTTAATACAAGAAAGGAGGGAAAAAGCCTTAATTCTTATTTGTTTTCAAAATAACGACTAGGTTCACTTGCACCTTCCAACAGTGTCCAACAGTAACACATTATTTTATTAATATATTTCAATTCACAGCAATTATTAACAGTGTTCAAACTGTCTCATCTTTGAAGAGTGGGAGACTCTTCAGGTTGGCTCCTGGGTCCTTTTGACATGACCCTAGCAGTCTTCAACAGCTTCTTTTCTATCTGGTATGTCAGAATGTTCCAGGTTCATCTTGTATTTTTCTTGCCTCAGACCTGAAATCAATCATTTCCAGGGAGCCCTGGATTCACTTTCATTTATAGAAATACCACAACCTGGGTTCTGGGACTGCTCACTGCTACTCTGTTTCCTTTGCAAATATTCTTGGGCTTGGAGGTCATTTAGTTCAACCCCCATAAAACAAGTTAAACAACCAGGTAAGCAAACAACATACCCACAAAGGAATGGTCCAATCACTCCTTCCAAGAAGAAAGGAACTACCCCAGTACCTTCCAAGAAACTGCTTTTTATTAGATTCCTGTAAAGTTGGGCTCTTTACTGAAGAAGTGGAATTAATATCCACTGAACACTGAAGCTGAAAATTTCACACGTGAACTAGCTCATTTAATCTAATTTAACCTTCACAACAACCCAAACATAACAGATAAAAATAAAGCTGAAGGGTTAAACAACTTGTCCACAGTCACGGGCAGCAGAACAAAGATTCAAACCTAGGTTTTTATTACTAAAAAGACCACAATTGACCGGTTGCAGGTTAGCTCACACTTGTAATCCCAACACTTGGGAAGCTAAGGAGTGTGGATCACTTCAGTACAAGAGTTCAAGACCAGCCTGGGCAACACGATGAAACCCCATCTTGACAAAAAATACAAAAATTAGCCAGGTATGGTGGCTCATGCCTCTGGTCCCAGCTACTCAGGAGGCTGAGGTGGGAGGACTGCTCGAGCCTGGGAGGTCAAGGCTGCAGTGAACAGCCACTGCACTCCAGCCTAGGTGACAAAGCAAGACCCTGTCTCAAAAAAAAAAAGAAAGAAAGAAAGAAAGAAAAAAAAACACAATCTTTCCAACAATTAGGTCTCAAAATCCTATTTAAAATAGCCAGTTTAAAATATACATATATTTTATTAGAACTTGTTTTAAAATATCTTCCTTAACACCAAACCAACATGTTTCCCAACAGTTTCTACCACTGGAGTACACATCTAAGCACTCTTTCAAATGAAAATCATTCTGGTATTGGCAAATAATCACCATGTCTCCCCAAAGACTCCTTCTCATGGCCTAACATTCCTAATTTCTTCAATTGCTGCTCACAATAAGATTTCAAATGTATTCACCACCCTGTCCCTTCCAATGGATCACCAATGGTTTTCCAATGCCCAAGACTAAACATTTCTTATAGTCACCAGATTTATTAAGAGTAACACAGGCCAGGTGCAGTAGCCCATGCTTGTAATCCCAGCACTTTGGGAGGTTGAGGCAGGTGGATCACTTGAGACCAGGAGTTTGAGACCAGTCCAGGCAACACAG
Organism: Homo sapiens; assembly: GCF_000001405.40. Taxonomy (NCBI): domain Eukaryota; kingdom Metazoa; phylum Chordata; class Mammalia; order Primates; family Hominidae; genus Homo; species Homo sapiens. Next base: position 232,744,043 of record NC_000002.12, on the reverse strand, counting down.
TGAGATCCTGTCTCTCCAAAAATAAAAAAAATTAGCAGAGCATGGTGGTGCACGCCTGTAGTCCCAGCTATTTGGAAGGCTGAGGTGGGAAGATCGCTTGAGCCTCAGGAGGTAGAGGCTGCAGTGAGCCATGATCGCAACACTGCATTCCACCTTGGCTGAGAGTGAGACTCTGTCTCCAAAAAATAAAAAATACAAAAATAACACAATAACACAATCAGAGATTTCCTTCAGGTGCTATGAAAAGAAACTGAGGCAAACTGGCAGTAACTCAAACTAAAAGACAGTTGCCTGAGTTAGGATAATGGCTGTACTATGATTCAATAATCGACAAATTCAATTCCAAGTCCCTCTTCACCTGCAGATACTTAGAAAAGCTAAAACATATTTGGGTAATATTCTTCACTAAAAATCCACCTGAGAACTCATGAACACAAAGAAGGGAATGATAGACACTGGGGTCTACTTGGGGGTGGAAGGCAGGAGGAGGGAGAGGAGCACGAAAAACCACTGGGTACTCGGTGTAACACTTGGGTGATGAAATAATCTGTACAACAAACCCCCATTGACACAAGTTTACCTACATAACCTTCACATGTACCCCCGAACCTAAAAGTTAAAAAAATCCACATATGATCTTTATCTCCTCCATACAACCCTCTCTTCTAGAAATTTAATCCCTATGTGCTTTCGTCTGTCTCTAAACATATCTCCTCATTTGTTTAAAACTTTTGATACAGCCATTTCCCTTCTAGCTATGCACTGTTCATCTTTCCTCTTCATCTAGAAACATCTCTACTTCCTCGCTTCTCAGTCACTTCAAAACGCAGTGTGCCTGGTTTCTCCTGCCACTCCACTAGCTCCTGCACTGTTCATCAATAACCTCAACACTGCCAATTCTACCATGGGTAGTAAATAAGTGGCAGCAGCAGGCCCCCCAAAGCCCCATGATACTCCCAAAATCTTCGCTTGGTAAGTGTTGTCCAAAATCCAAACTTCAGCTTATGAAAGCAATTTGGATAGTCAATAAACAATGTGTGAAGGTGTGGGAGTCAAAAGGCACTTCTATGTAAGCTTGTGATTCTCAAGTCCAGCTGTGACCTCTCCTATAGTCAGGCTTTCATACACAACCATGTAAAGCCCATCAGGTTCAATATGCCCAAAACCCTAACCCTACTCATCAACTTATTCATCCAACCCATTCACTGCCCATATTCTCAAACATAGTTAAGGACATCCCAATCTAATCAGCCACTGGATTAAAAATCTGGGATTCATACTTTACTCCTCACCTTCTACCATCTCTCATACCCAATTACCATGTCCTATTAGTTTTAAATCCTCAGTCTCTCAAGTCTTCCCCTGATCCAACTAACCTAATTTTTATTCACACTTTTATTTCCCACCTGGACTGCTGCAAATGCATCCTGAACGATTTTACTAGTCTTAATCTCCTACGTTACTAAGAACTATTTATTTATTTATTTATTTTTGAGACAGAGGCTCACTCTGTTACCCAGGCTGGAGTGCAGTGGCACTATCTCAGCTCAGCTCAGCTCACTGCAACCTCCACCTCCCAGGTTTAAGCAGTTCTCCTGCCTCAGCCTCCTGCGTAGTTGGGATTACAGGCACACGCCACCACACCTGGCTAATTTTTGTATTTTTAGTAGAGATGGGGTTTCCCCATATTTGTCAGGCTGGTCTTGAACTCCTGACCTCAGGTGATCCACCCGCCTCAGTCTCCCAAAGTGTTGGGATTATAGGGGTGAGCCACTGCGCCCAGCCCCAATTCTTTTTTCACTGGCACACAATGACCAATAAAACCCAAGCCTTGTTAACAGAAGGGCTGCCTCCAAGCTCTTATCTCCCACACTTCACATAATAAAGGTAAACATTATGCATCATGAAGTTCCTCTCTTAAATCAGTTCCTTGCCTTATGTTCACACACGTCCTTTCTGCTATCAGGAATATTCTTCCTAATCTTTTTCACCAACAGGGTAGAGAGAGGTGCTAGGAAGGAGATGTTAAGTGGGAAGGAGAAAGGAAGAATAAGGAGAGCTGGAAAGAGAGTCGGAGGAAGGGAGGGAAAAAGAGAATTTGAGATCCTCAAGGCCTTGCTAAACACAAGTTCCTGTCCAGCCTTCATGAAACTAAGAGGCTAGTAGAAGAATATAATAAAGTCATATAAGTGGACATAGAGATATTGAAGGATTTTAGAGAAGTCTTGATCTAATTTACATTTTAAGATTACTCTGCCTGCTGTGAGGAAAACAAATAGAAGACAAAAATGGAAGCCAGGGGCCAGGCACAGTGGCTCACATCTGTAATCCCAACACTGTAGGAGGCCAAGGAGGGCAGATCACTTGAGGTCAGGAATTCAAGACCAGCCTGGCCAATATGGTAAAGCTCCATCTCTACTAAAAAATACAAGTATTAGTCAGGCGTGGTGATGCATGCCTATAGTCCCAGCTACTTGGGAGCCTGAAGCAGGAGAATCGCTTGAACTCAGGAAGCAGAAGTTGCAGTGAGCCGAGATCACACCACTGCACCGCAGCTTGGGTGACAGAGTGAGATTCCATTTCAAACAAAAAAAAAGAAAAAAAAAAAAGGAAGCCAGGAAACATCAGTAGGCCACTGGTGCAAAAATTTATGTTAGAAATGGTGGCAACTTTCACTAAGGTGATAGCAATAGAGATTCAGAGAAATGAACAGATTCCAGAGATACTGTAGAGATAAAATTGACATGTTGTGACAGACCCGATATAGGAACAGAGAAGTAAAAGGAATTATCAAAGATAACTCTGAGACTGCTAGCTTGAGCAAACAGGCACATATACTATTAAGATGAAATAAATATAAAGGCAAAACTAACGAGATCAGTTTTGGAAAAGTATAGAGTATGAGATGCTTATAAGACATCTAAGTGGAAAAATCAGATAGGCAGCTGAATATCCCGTGCTTGCATTATAATTCCTTTACAGCATTATGACAAAGTGAAATTATTTAGTGTCAGCTTCCCCATTAAAGAGTAGGTACCATGTATTTTTATCCTTATTGCCTTAGCACCTAACCCAAGACATAAAACACAGCAAGCATTTGATAAAATGTTTTCTGAACAAATATTTGCTTCCAAAATACACCCCTCAAAAACATCTAATTTACTACTCCTTCAGTTTACATAGAAATATTTTACCCTTTCTGAAAACTGGAAATATTAACACATCTCATCCTCCAGAACTTCTCTCCTTTTTCACATAATCCCATAATTATCGATAGGAAGCTATCAATCTCAGGTTTGCATTCTCTTACCCGTCTCCCATAAGACCCTAATGGCTTCATTCAACATTCATTTATTAACTAAATTAGTTAACTAAATATTAATGCCAATGTCCAGTACACTAAGCTCAACAATGGGCTTACCAAAAGAGAGAAATACAGTGCATTTCTTAATGGAATTAGCTCTTCTTGGGCAAGGCGCAAATATATATACAGATACACCACAAGGCCATAACTATTTTAACAAATGTATAAATAAAATACTTTGGGGAAGAAAACAAGTACTTCCCTCTTCTTTGCAAGGAAAGACCTGGGAAAACTTCCTTAAGACCAAGGAGATGAGACAGAGGAAACTCCCAAAGGAGCTTTCTTGGCTCCTTCCCAGAAAGCCAGGTAATGTCTATAATTATTCTCCCTATAATAAAGTCCTTATCTAGACTTATCTGGGTAGTCTTCTTTTTGTTTTTTGTTTCTAAAGACGGGTTCTCACTATGTTGTCCCAGGTTGGTCTCAAATGCCTAGGCCCGAGCAATCCTCCAGCCTCAGACTCTCAGTAGCTGGGACTACAGGTGCATGCCACCACACTCGACTGAATAGATTTTTGATCCTCAAAAGTGTTTTAAATCACCAAATATTCGTTCGTTTGCTTGAAACAGAGTAGCACTTTGTCACTCAGGATGGAGTGCAGTGACATGATCTCAGCTCACTGCAACCTCCACCTCCCGTGTTCAAGTAATTCTCCTGCCTCAGCCTCCCCAGTAGCCAAGATTACAGGCACACACCACCATGCCCAGCTAATTTTTGTAATTTTTTTTTTTTTTTTTTTTTTAGCAGAGATGGGGTTTCACCATGTTGGCCAGACTGGTCTCAAACTCTTGACCTCAAGTGATCCACCCGCCTCGGCCTCCCAAAGTGCTGGGATTACAGGCATGTGCCACCGCGCCCGGCCTAAATATTTGTTTTTTAAATATCTTGAAGATACATTTGCATATACGATAGAAACCAAAACGTTAGCAAAGCTACTTTGGGTGGTAGGATTAGGGTAACTTAGATCTTTCCCCTTTGGTGGTCTTTTTGTTTTCTTTTCCTTTTTGGGAGACAGGGTCTTGCTCTATCACCCAGGCTGGAGTGCAGCAGCGCAGTCATGGCAGCCTTGACCTCCCAGGCTCAAGTGATCCTCTCACTTCAGCCTTCCAAGTAGCTGACACCAAACATATGCACCACCACGCCCAGCTAATTTTTTTTTAATTTTTTTTGTAGAGAAGAGGATCTCACTGTGTTGCCGAGGCTTGTTTCGAACTTCTGGGCTCAAGTGATCCTCATGCCTCTGCCTCCCAAAGTGCTGGGAGCCTGGGGCCAGCCACCATGCCTAACCCTTTTCTTTTTTTTTGCGGGGGGGGGGGGGTTTGCTTTTGTTGCCCAGGCTTGTTGTCCAGACTGGAGCGCAATGGCACAATTTCGGCTCACTGCAACTTCCGCCTCCTGGGTTCAAACGATTCTCCTGTCTCAGCCTCTTGAGTAGCTAGAATTACAGGCACAATCCACCACGCCCGGCTAACTTTGTATTTTTAGTAGAGGTGGGGTTTCATCATGTTGGCCAGGCTGGTCTCAAACTCCTGACCTCAGGTGATCTGCCCACCTCGGCCTCCCAAAGTGCTGGGATTACAGGCATGAGCCACCACGCCCAGCCCATACCTAACCCTTTTCTTTTTCCTCTTGTACTGTTTCCTCCAGATTTTCTAGAATAAGTGTGTTTATTTTGTTAATGAAACTAACAACAAAAAAACTCTAAAAGACCTAAATCTAAGGAGTTTAGCACCAAAAAAATTATCAAGACGGTGCTTAGTGTTTTGTCAAGAGCAAACACACAGGAGATGACAATTCAATTCATAAAATCCTTCTAGTGGTCAAACTGTCCATATATCATCCAAAGCCTTAAAAATAAAACTTTTGATTTAATAATTCCACTTCCAAGAAATTAATCCAAATAAAATGATCAGTGATAAAAACAAAATTGTTCAAGGGTATATATACATATCATTTACAATAGCAAAACATTAAAAACAACTTTACTTTCCAACAATTCATTCATCCATTTAATAAATATTTATTCAGTACCTATGTGCCAGGCACTGGAGATACAGCAGTAAACAAACTGTACAAAAATCTATATCAAAGTACCTGCCCTCAATGGAGCTCACAGTCTAGTGGGGGTTGAAAGACAGGATATAGACAATAAAATAAATATGTAAAATATTTGTCATGTTACATTTTGATACACAACATGAAGAAAAATTAAGCAAGGAAGAGAGATAGGGAGTAAAGGGTGGAGGGTTATATAGATTGTCAGGAAAGGTCTAAGGTGGCAGCATTTGAGGAAAGGCTTAAAGAAAGACACTATTGCTTTATATGTAGACAGGATATACTTGGCATTGAATGTATCATACCCTTTTAAACTGCTCTGATGATAATGCAATATACTTTTTTATTCTAAGTAGAAAAATAATCTAAGACCTAATGATTCCACAGACCTTAAAAAGTTCAAGCCTTGGCCGGGCGCAGTGGCTCATGCTTGCACTCCCAGCACTTTGGGAGGACAAGGTAGACGGATCACCTGAGGTCAGGAGTTCGAGACCAGCCTGGCCAACATGGTGAAACCCCGTCTCTACTAAAATTATAAAAATCAGCTGGGCGTGGTGGTGGGTGCCTGTAATCTCAGCTACTCAGGAGGTTGAGGGAGAAGAATCACTTGAACCCTGGAGGCAGAGGTTGCAGTGAGCTGAGATCATGCCACTGCACTCCAGCCTGGGCGACAGAGCGAGGCTGACTCCATCTCAAAAAAAAAAAAAAAAAAAAAAAGTTAAAGCTTACAGCCACTCATGGTCTGTTCCTACCAAAATTTTCAATTTTCTCCCATCTTCACAATTGTCCCCAGATACAAATAAATTGCTTCATTTTTAAGTATCCCTTATTGAACATGTTTTACATTATTCACAAAAATGATGACCTTAATAAACACCGTATCACTTAGTGCTTCTGTCTCATTTAGAGTTAATTGCACACTGGTTCGATGTTAACAATCTAAATCCTGATTCTCAAGTACCCTGGGCACAGCTCTTTACCTCAAGTTTCACAAAGAACGTCATACGTGAAGAAAAATTAGGTAGTACTCTCTACTCCTACTGCAACTTTCCAGCTCAGGATTACTTGGGTTACTTAAGGGCCTCATATACTCCCTTTGCCAGAAGGAATTTTGACAGATGATACAAATAGGGCACTATGCCTACTTACACCTGCATTCCTCAGTGCATCAGCATTTCAGATGACTAAGGGAATGCTCCTAAGCTCTAATGTCTGCAATTGTACAGATGTACAATTAGGTGAGGCTACTGTTTAAGGATGGAAATGGTGATTGCCCTCTGTTTAAGGCTACCTCAATTCAAATTTTATACAAAACACTGAGCCAATCAAGTGAAATACCATCAAACAAAACTTCAGAGTATCAATAAAAAGGAGGATGTGTAAGATACTATTGAAAGATGCTCAATACTACACTGAGATGACCTTGAGAACTCATGGTGTAGGGCAGGGGCCAGCAAACTGTCTCTCCAAAGGGCCAGAGAATTAATGTTTAGGCTCTGTGAACCAAATGGCCTGTCAACCCTGCCACTGTAGCATGAAAGCAGTCAGAAAATATGGAAGCAAATGGACGTCTCTGTCTTTCAATGAAACTTTACTTACAAAAACTTTACAGTCCCACAGGCCATAGTTTGCCAACCCATAATATTAGGCATCAAGCTAAATGTGTATTGATTCTAAAATATCATCAGTTTTTCTTTTCTCTGTTGTTGTGTCTAAATTCCTGGTGTTCCCTTTCTGTTACCTATAAACAGCAGGATGCTGAAAAAAACAACTTCCTTAAATTAGCTGACAATTTAAACCATGTTTTTATAAAGAAACAGACATGAGGGTATGTAAATATAAAAGAGAAGCAGTTACAAATTCTAGATAAAGGCGGATGAGTTGCACAAAAAATGGCTAAGAAAGTAACTTATATGAATTTAAATCCACCTGATAAAAGGAATTAAGGTAGAAATAAAGATGTAACTATAAGAATGTTCATTAAAAATATTTTTATAATGAAAAATCAAGAACAGCTTCTATATGTCACATCTAGAAGACTAGTTGAATAAATGATGGTACATCCATACAATGCAACCATTTAATACAACAGAAAATATTTATTGATTAAAAAAAGATGTTTCTGATTTGGTTATTTCTTTAAGCAGGCTACAAAACTGAAGGTACAGTATGATCCCATTTTTGTAAAAAATAAGTGTATATATACACAAATAAGCATACATAAAACCACCTGGAAAGATACACCAAGGTATTTACAGTGTGTACCATGGATGTTGAAATTATTTCTGGCTTACTAGTTATTTCTAATTTTTTTAGAAACATATTAATTTGATACTAAGAAAATCATTTTAAAAATATAAAGGAATAACTAAAACAAGTACAGCATTACTTAGGTTAACATGTTCTAAATAAACTCTCAAAATACAGGAGTTCCATCGGTTCTTAGAACTTCAAATAGTGATTTCTCCTCAGTCTCCAAATGCTGGCTATAAAGGTTAAGAAAACTTCGAGATTACATATATTAATAAAAAGAAATATTTCTAATAGGATAAGTTAATAAGACTCCTCAAATAGAGTTACTACAGGAAGTCTGCATCATTTATTGAACCACTCCCACCTGAACAACCAAGAGTTTAAGACACAAATCCAATTTATCTATTTTAGATACTACTTCTGATATTACCAAAGGGGTTGCCCGAGGTTTGAATAGAAAAAGTAATTATTATTATTGATGCCACTGAAGAGAGGATCTTCAATCACCAACTTTGGGGAAAAAGGAAGGAGGGGAGGGGGGGAAGCCACACTACAATGTGATGGATCTCAAAATTCCATGAGAATTCCATATTCGGGGTCCAAACACATCTGTAAGAGACTCAAAGGTCAATTAATCGTTATTATGTCCAATGCTAACTGAATCCTAGATAGGCTACTGTTAACAGCCAGTATAATACTGAACTACCTGCCTAGCCCATCTTTCAAATAATACTTCAATGAAAACTATTTCTCAAATCAATCTATGAACAGCAATGATAAAACAATGTAGCAGAAAACATACAGACATAAAAATGTTATAATTATACTTACATAAAATTGTATGTGCACCTAGACAACGACTCAAATAAAAAGAAAATAATTTTCTAGGGCGGGTGGGACTCCCGCCATCATTACATATATAACCAGACAAAGAAAAAAAATTTTAATTAAGTATAGAATACACTCATTTACCAAATATAATTTATTCCTGAACTAACACATTGTTTTCAGCGAGGCACATAAAGCAAAAGTTTCAAAAACATGCACATTTATAAACCACCTAGCACCTGTCAAATACTTTACTACTGTATTAGTCATCCAATATCAAAGAAGATGAGATTTTGAAAACTCACCATTCAGGCCCAAAGTTCAGTGTCTGCGTTTCCGCTGCCATTCTTTTCCGTATTTTTACAATAGATTTTTATATGTGAAGAAACCTGTTAACGAGAAAAATATCTCCATACTATTAGTTGAGATTAAATGTGGAATTCCAGGCCAGAAAGTACAGTTAGAGAGTGTTTTATTTATGCTCCTCTCAACTAGAGTCACAAAAATGAGATTTTGAAATTCCTACTTAAAACAATAATATAGCAGGCAAAGTGAAATGAATAAATCAACCCTTATATTCTGACTCCCCACCTTTCTATGTTAATCTGGGGTAAGGAGGCACAGTTTAAGATGAAGCTAGTGAGAGAGGTAGGAACAGACCACACAGGGCATTGGAGACTAAGTTAAGGATTTTCTCCCTTTATCCCTGGAACAATGGGGAGTGAATGAAAGGTAATAGATTTACATTTTAGTTCATATTACTTCCTAGTAATGACTCCCCTATCACCATGAGGTACATCAAAGATTATTAAAATAAGGACCCTCCTTACCTATCACATAGCTTCTGCCACAACTCTCCTCACCTTCTGCTTATTAGCACTTTACACCCTAGTGATTTTTTTTTAACAGACAGTGTGTATCACTATGTTGCTCAAGCTGGTCTCGAACTCTTGGCCTGACCTCAAGTGATCTTCCTGTCTCAGCCTCTCGAGCCTACTGCTTCTTTTAAAAATTATCTTGGATCAGGCCAGGAACCACCAGGCAAGGTGGCTCATACCTGTAAATCCAGCGCTTTGGGAGGCCAAGATGGGAGAATCGTTGGAGCCCAGGAGGTGGAGACGTGGTCTCTAAAAAAAAGAAATGTTAAAGATCAACTGGGCATGGTGGTACATGCCTGTAGTCTTAGCTGCCTGGGAGGGTGAGGTGGAGGGATCACTTGAGCCCAGGAGTTTGGGGCTGCAGTGAGTTGTGGTCCTGCCACTGCACTCCAGCCTAGACGATGGAGTGAGACCCTGTCTCTACAAAATAAACAAATAAAAATAAATTTATAATTTGGGAGGCCAAGCCAGGCAGACGGCTTGGGCCCAGGAGTTCAAGACTGGATTGGGCAACATAGTGAGACTCCATCTCTTTAAAAAAAAAAAAAAAAAAAAAGTTTTAAAATAAATAAATAAAATATAAATTTTTTAAAAGTTGCTTCAGATTGTCAAGTTAAAATAATAAACTAATGAATTTCACAAGTGACATTTCAAAAGTAATCTTAAGATATGAGAGCTTAAAAAAATGGAAAATACTATAAAAATTGTAAATATAACTGGCCCTCCATATCCATGGGTTCTGGTTCATGGATTCAACCAACCTCGGATGGAAAAAAATTTTTTAATTGCGTCTGTACCAACATGTATAGACACTTCTTTTCCTTGTCATTGTTCCCTAAACAATACAGCAGAACAACTATTTACACAGCATTTATGTTGTATTAAGCATTATAAGTAATCTAGAGGTGTTAAAGTATATAGAAGTATGTACATAGGTTATACGCAAACACTATGCCATTTTACATTAGGGACTTGAGCATCCAAGGATTTTAACATCTGAAGGACATCCTAGAATGAATCCCCATGGATACTGAGGGACAACTGTATACTGTAAAATATCTCTAAGATACATCACACACGGCACTGGGGACCAAGTTAAGGATTCTCTCCCTTTATCACCCTGTTGCCTCTGTTTAAATGATCTAAAAAATAATAAACTACAAATATGTCTAAAGCTTAGAAACAGCAAAGTAAAAGTGTGTTAACCTTCATAATCAGCTATTCATTTATCTGCCTTCCTTCTGAAAGGTACTTCCAGCCCTGTGTCAACCAAGCAGACTCCAAGGGAGATTATCCTGTTCTTACTTGACCCTGACTCCCTGCTCCCCCACCACACAAAAGGTGCAAACCAGACTAAAACTGAGGTAAACTTAGTCCCCTCCTCATCACTTTTTTTTTTTTTTTTTTTGAGACAAGAGTCTCGCTCTGTCGCCCAGGCTGGAGTACAGTGGCGCGATCACGGCTCACTGTAAGCTCCGCCTCCCGGGTTCACACCATTCTCCTGCCTCAGCCTCCCGAGTAGCTGGGACTACAGGCACGTGCCACCACACCCGGCTAATATTTTTGTATTTTTAGTAGAGACAAGGTTTCACCATGTTAGCCAGGATGGTCTTGATCTCCTGACCTCGTGATCAGCCTGCCTAGGTCTCCCAAAGTGCTGGGATTACAGGCGTGAGCCACTGCGCCCCGCCCCTCCTCATCTCTTAAAACAACTAGTGATTCAAAGAAAACATAACTGCCGAGCATGGTGGCTCATACCTGTAATCCCAGCACTTTGGGAGGCCAAGGTGGGTGGATCGCTTGAGCCCGGAAGTTCAAGACCAGCCTGGGCAACATGGCAAAACCCTGTCTCCACAAAAATATATAAAAATTAGCTGGGCATGATGGTGCGAGCCTGTAGTCCCAGCTGAGGTGGGAGGATCACTTATGCTGTGGAGCTTGAGACTACAATGAGTCGTGATTGCACCACTGCACTCCAGCCTGGGCAACAGAGCAAGACCTTGTCTCAATTAAAAAAAAAAAAAATTAAAAAAATTAAAATAAAAAAGAAAACACTATTTTTAACATTTTAATTTCTCTGAAATTAGAATGCATCTTAAAACTGATGCCAAGTTACAACTGCTACTGGCTGGGTGCGAGTTGTGTTACAGCTGTCTGAACAAGGGCCAATTTTTTAAACCGCTGTTTTAAATGTCTTCAAAATAATATGATTCTGTATCAAAACTAAATTTATTGTATAACAGAAAAGAAGCAAATACAGCCATGGAGTATTAGTGAAGTAACTATTCATCATTCAAAGAATGATTCCAAGTGATTTACAGGACCTCAGAAAGAAAGGGGGGAAAAACACACAAGCCAATGGAGTCTGTTATGGTTTGCTACCGATACTGATGACACTGCACAACCCATATGACCACATGCAGCAGCCCTGAAGTACTAAAAGGGATTAAAAATTAAATAGCTTATATTGCTCTTAAAATCTTCACAAGCATCAAACGACTAAATTTTAAATTGATGACAGAGTAATAGAGAATTCCCTTAACTACTGCATCACCAATACTTTGCATGACTGGTGGGGAGAGGGAGGAAGAAAGCAGGAGACTTCTATGATGCCAAGTTGAAAAGTGATTTAGAAAAGTCAGACTCTAAATACCCAGAAATCTTACGACTATCTTAACAAATTTATTTTACTTCTATTTTCATTTTCATACATGCAATAGAAGGATACACTGTTTAATAAAAATCCATTCTTATTTGCTAAATAAGTTTAACAGAGCTTTTTTAAAAAATATAAAATAATTCTAACAAGAAAAGCCTGTGCCAGATGTGCCGGAGCCTTCTTGGCAGTATTCCTTTCTTTCTCAGTAATGCACAAAATGATTAATCTTATAGTTGACACATGTTAGATTCAATTAAAATTATGGTACATTCCAAATGAATGACTTGTCAAGGTAGCAATGATCAGACCCCAGGAAAGGTGCCCACTGTTAAACTAAAACAGGCATCACTGCTTACACAACAGTCTTATGACTTTTTGTAACATAAATCAATTCAGTGTGTTTTCTAAAAGTATGTGGACCTACTTGGATGACAAACAGAGATGAAGAGACTACATCAACTAGAGCTGTAGAGACCACATCAATTGTAAGGTTTTTCTTTAATACTAAACATCCTGAAGGAGCGGTTTTACCACCATTTTAAGCCCCATCTAGCCAAATGTTTTAAACTCAAACCCGTAGAGGATTTTAGAGCATTGAATAATGGCTCTGCATTTATAAAGCAAGTCAGGATTTAAATCAGACTGAATTTATAAAGCAGGTAAATCTCAACTAAAATTCAAAGTATTTGCTATTTGTGAAAATACTAAATTCATTGTTAGTGATTTAATTTTTTCCCCTTTAACTTACTACAAGGCCATCACATATGCTCACATAGGTTCTGGAAGTACAAAACTCCAGGGTCACTATTAACACAAATGATACAGATGGAGCTCCTACAGGCAGCAGTCTTGAAATATAAACGAAGCCCCAGATTCAAGCAGCATCTAAGGAACAACAACAAGCAAGGAAATTCTGTTTGGGTCCACTTTATCATTGCACCTATAAATCTTTGAGTACTACAAAACTACTACAATGTACAACCATTAAGAGCTCAGAAGATTTTTTAATGTCTTGAGCTGGGAACCCAACTACCATTTACAACATGGTTTCTGTAAGAAAATTATTTCCTAATGTAAAGATTTCTTTTTTTTTTTTTTTTTTTTTTTTTGAGACGGAGTCTCGCTCTGTCGCCCAGGCTGGAGTGCAGTGGCGGGATCTCGGCTCACTGCAAGCTCCGCCTCCCGGGTTCACGCCATTCTCCTGCCTCAGCCTCCCAAGTAGCTGGGACTACAGGCGCCCGCCACTACGCCCGGCTAATTTTTTGTATTTTTAGTAGAGACGGGGTTTCACCATTTTAGCCGGGATGGTCTCGATCTCCTGACCTCGTGATCCGCCCGCCTCGGCCTCCCAAAGTGCTGGGATTACAGGCGTGAGCCACCGCGCCCGGCCTTTTTTTTTTTTAAGACTGAGTCTCGCTCTACTGCCCAGGCTGGAGTGCAGTGGCATGATCTTGGCTCACTGCAACCTTCGTCTCCCAGGTTCAAGTGATTGTCCTGCCTCAGCCTCCTGAGTGGCTGGGATTACATGCATGCACCACCACACCCAGCTAATTGTTGTATTTTCAGTAGAGACGGGGTTTCACCATGTTGGCCAGGCTGGTCTCGAACTCCCAACCTTAAATGATCCACCTGCCTCGGCCTCCCAAAGTGCTGGGACTACAGGCGTGAGCCACTGCACCCGGCCCCTAAAGTAAAGATTTCTGAAGAACTCTTAAAAACCTAAGAATATTTTTTTCCTCTTTCAGCACAGGGTGCCCACAACTTGAGCTCTTTCTGCTGCTCCTCAGCTCTCAGGTACAGCTGATGCCATGGATTTCAGAGACCTGAAAAGCCCTGCCGGCCTCCAGGTGCTCAACAATTACCTGGCGGACAAGAGCTACATCGAGGGGTATGTGCCATCACAAGCAGATGTGGCAGTATTTGAAGCAGCATCTGGCCCACCGCCTGCTGACTTGTGTTATGCCCTTCGTTGGTATAATCACATCAAGTCTTACGAAAAAGAAAAGGCCAGCCTTCCAGGAGTGAAGAAGGCTTTGGTCAAGTATGGTCCTGTGGATATGGAAGACACTATAGGAAGAGGAGCTAAAGATAGTAAAGATGATGATGACATTGATCTCTTTGGAGCTGATGGGAGGAGAAAAGTGAAGAAACGAAGAGGCTAAGGGAAGAACACCTTCCACAATATGAATCGAAGAAAGCCAAAAAACCTGCACTCGTTGCCAAGTCTTCCATCTTATAGATGTGAAACCTTGGGATGATAAGACAGATATGGCAAAATTAGAGGAGTGCATCAGAGGCATTCAAGCAGATGGCTTAGTCTGGGGCTCATCTAAACTAGTTCAAGTGGGATACAGAATTAAGAAACTTCAAATACGTTGTGAAGTTGAAGATGATAAAGTTGGAACAGATAAGCTGGAGAAGCAGATCACTGCTTTTGAAGACTATGTGCAGTCCATGGATGTGGCTGCTTTCAACAAAATCTAAAATCCATCCTGGGTCATGGCATTTAAATAAAAGCTTGAGAGGTTAATTAAAAAAAAAAACCTAAAAATAATAAACCAAGTTATTTAATTATCAAATAAAGAGACCTGCATTACTCAGAACAGTGTTCTGCTCATTCTTCTTTATGATTCAAAGCAGCTTAGGGCAACATTTAAACCCCAGCTATCCAAATGTTTTCAGCTCAAACGCCTAGAAGACTTGTAACCTTTAGAAAACAGCTCTGGAGGCCGGATGCAGTGCCTCACACCTGTAATCTCAGCACTTTGGGAAGCTGAGGCATGCAGATCACTTGAGCTCAGAAGTTCAAGAACAGTCTGGACAACATGACAAAAACCTCATCTCTACACAAAATACAAAAGTTAGTCACGCGTGGTGGTATGCTCCTGCAGTCCAAGCTACTTGGGAGGCTGAGGTGGGAGGACTGCTTGAGCCCAGGAGGTCGAGACTGCAGTGAGCCTTGTTCACACCACTGCCCTCCAGCCTGGGCAACAGAGCCAGACCCAGTAAGGAAAATGAAAAGAAAAAGAGAAGGGAAAGGGAAAAGGAAAGAGAAAAGGAAAAGGAAAAGGAAAAGGAAAGGTCTCTGAGTTTATAAAGCAATTCAGGATTTGAACCAGACTCTGGACACTCTGCTCCATCATGCTATCCTGCCTCTGTAGACTGTTTTTTGTTGAAACTATGACCTCCCTTTTCCTCCATTACCAGCACTATCCTGGTATTTCTTTGCCCATCTTTATTTCCCTCTAAATTACGGAATGGCAAAGAGGGCATGCAGAGAGTAGGGGTGTCATTTTAACAACAGCAATTAAAACATCTGCCCACAAATTTGTAACCGGCCACTAGCTGGGAGAGATGATCCCACCCCTGCAATTAATTACAAATTTGATTTTTTTCTCCCATGACCAATGTGGCATGGGATCACTGACTGATCATATCATCAAGGCACTACTGTTTTCAGTTTACTGGTCAGCCAGTCTCAAAAGCCTAGATCATCTGAAACTCTCTCTACTCCATCCCTTATATCCATTCATTTTGTCTCAAATTTAGCCTACTTCTTCAAGATTCCTCTTTCATTATAGTCCAAACTCTATTAATGCATGTCTGGATTATTCTAACAAAAGTTCTTATTTGCTTCCCTGACTGGGCCTCAAGATCAATTTTCCTAAGGCACCTTTCTGATCATGGCCTACACTCCTCTAAAAAAGTCCAATCGAACCTACTATGTATCGTCAATCTGACAACCCATGCCTCCCTCCCCAACTCAATCTCCTATTGTTTCACCTCCCAACTCAAAGCCAAATGAGAACTTTCTACCGTCCACTGCATTTTCCTTCCTCTTTAGTTGTGCTATGACATACCCTTCCCCCAGAAGCCTGACCTCCCTCCCTTAGAATGGCTCATACAAAACCAAGGATCTATTCAAACACCTACTCCATAAAATAGTTCCCAAAGTAGTAAAAGCACTGCTCCCTCTGGAAGGGAAAATCTAAAACACAGGATACAGAAATGGAATGGAATCTATAGGACTCAATGTTGCGGGTATTTTTCAAATGTGTATTATAAAGCTTAAAAGGAAGCAGAAAACAGAAAAACGAATTTGGGGAGACAGATAACGAGGATGGTTTTGAACAAAGTAAGTGCAAGGTGCTTGACTGAGGAAGTATCCAAAAGACCTAGAGTTGAAGAGTAGTCAGAATAGAAAGACAGATTTAACGGAAGTGAATCCACAGAGTTACAATCAAAAATTGAATAAGGCTACCCCAAAGCAGAAATCTCAAGAAAGAACAGGAACAAAGCCTCAGCAATCACTGTACAGGCTGATACAGGAAGAAAGAGAAAGACCACAGAGGTAGAGATCTCTAGCCCAAACCCTTCACTAAACTCAAATTCACTGACTCTAGTTTTCTCCCCCTGAGGTACTATTCTCACCACATTCTCTGTAACTAAAATAGACCCATATTAACCTCCAAGTTCATAATTACTCTTGCCTCCCCGCTATTCCCATTTCCTGAGGTAAACATGTTAACAGCCTAGTGTGTATCCCTCCATACTTCACATTCAGACAAACATGTTCACATATATGTGGTGGGGAAAGGGGATTAGCTATTTGCTATTATAAAGCAAGAATCATACACTATACCTTATTCTGAGACAGGCAATTCTCTCAATATATTTGCATGGACAAACTTCTAATAAACAGATATAGAGTTAAGTTGCAGTTTTTAAAAGCTGTATGATGGGCCGGGCACAGTGGCTCATGTTGTAATCCCAGAACTTTGGGAGGCCAAGGAAGGTGAATCAAGTTGAGGCCAGGAGTTCAAGACCAGCCTGGCCAATATAGTGAAACCCTGTCTCTACTAAAAATACAAAAAATTAGCTGGGTGTGGTGGTGCACGCCTATAATCCCAGTTACTCAGGAAGCTGAGGCATGAGAATCATTTGATCCCTGGAGGCAGAGGCTACAGTGAGCTGACATCGTGCCACTGCACTCCAGCCTGGGCAACAGAGCAAGACTCTGCGCCCCCAAAAAAAAAGCAAGCTGTGTAACATTCCACAGAAATGGATGACCTTTACTTTTTTGCCTTTATGAACAATGCTGCAATAAACAACCTTTTATTCATATATTTATGCTTTTATCTCTACTAGACAGACTTGTAAAATCACAGTTGCTTAGTGCATAATGATTTCTTTATAGAAAATTGAAGTTCACCTAAGTGATAGTCCTCTAGAAAGAAGAACTAGAGGTATGGAGCGGGCAAGATCTATCTTCCACTGAGTTATCTTTTTGTACTTTCGAAATCTTGTCACGTATATTTTAAAATAAATTTTAACCTAGTAGAAATCTCAAATCCTCAAAAGCTATAGGACCTATTTAAAAACTAAAAAAACAAAAAACTCTCTTATTTATTTATTTTTTAACTTTTATATTTTTGAGACAGGGTCTCACTGTTACCCAGGCTGGACTTGAACTCCTCAGCTCAAGCAATCCTCCCACCTCAGCCTCCCCAGTGGCTGAAACTATAGGCATGCACCACTGTGGCTTATTTACTTTGCTCTTTTTAAAATTTTTAACAAAGGGTATTTGGCGGTGGGGAGAAGGGTGTGCTCCCATATGATTTTTTTTTTTTTTTTTTTTGAGACAGAGCCTTGCTCTGTCACTGGGGCTGGAGTGCAGTGGTGCGACAGCGGCTCACTGCAACCTCCGCCTCCCAGGTTCAAGCGAGTCTTCTGCCTCAGTCTCCCCAGTAGCTGGGATTACAGGCGCCGAACACCACACCCAGATAATTTTTGTATTTTTAGTAGAGGCAGGGTTTTGCATATTGGCCAGGCCAGTCCCAAACTCCTGACCTCAAGTGATCCACCCGCCTTGGCTTCCCAAAGTGGTGGATTACAGGTGGATTACAGGTGTGGGCCACGGCGCCCAGCCTCATCTTGCTTACCTTTTAAACTCCAAACTGCAAAAAGTTAAAAAGCCATTACTACTACTGGCCACCTGAAGGGCTGGCCAAAGGATCCATGTCCTGAGCTCTCCCGGTCTCCAAACTTTTACAAGTAGCCCCAACCTCTTCTACAGAATAACACACTTCATATACAGAAATATATAAATAAGGGTAGATTTTCTAAACAAAATCCCATGAAATATTTTCTTTGATCCAACATAACAATCTAATGGATACTGCTAATATTATCTGGTAACCCCTAACCAGATTACTTGGATGCATTATGAACAAGGAATACGATAACTCCTGCCCTCAAGGCGCCAGTCTAATAAAAAAACAATGAGTACCATGTGATAAGGACTACAATGAACTATGCGAAGTAAGCTCTGGGAATACTGGGAAGATTATCCTAAAATGAGAAGCATAACACTGAAGATCTGTTGAATTATAATATTTGCTAGCATTTATTGAGAGCTAACTATGTGCTTACTAAGAGTTCAAAGTGCTTCATATGTATTCGCTTAATTTGACATAGATTCTTTGGCCCAATTTTGTAGATGAGGAAATGAGGCACAGAGAAAAGTTAAGCAGCTCACACAAGGTCAAACCTGTATTATAAGGACTCCAAAAACCATATACTAAGAATGAGGCAGTCTTTAAGGATAAAGGGGGACAGGGGGAGGTGCAGGAAAGGGTAAAGAAGAAAGACCTAGGATCTTTTGGAAGATAATCAATTTGTTCAACAGGCTAAAAAACTAATGTGAAGATTGGTAAAGCAGTGGCTACATCACAAAAGTCTTTGCATTTCATATTCCAAGGGAAATGAAAGGTTATGAAAAGACTTGGGCAGGAAAGTTTCCAGGACAAAATTTGTACTTTAGAAAGATGACTGAGGATAGTTACCTGGAGGAGAATGAATTCAATCTAGTAGGGAAGAGTAAGATGATGAGTAACTAAACTTCACCGACATGAAAGGTTACCAACAACATATTAAGTGTTCAAGACAAGTTACAGAATACAGAGAATATGATTATATTTAAAATATTTTAAAATACACTGGATATATATAGATATGCCCCAAAATGTTAATACTTCTAAGTGGTAGGATTATGGATAATTCTCTTTTCCTATTAAGTTTCTAATTTGTGCATACAACAAAGATGGTAGTGGTACATTTTTTTTAAGGGAAGTATTTGAAAGTTTCAAATATTAGGCCAGGTGCCGTGGCTCACGCCTGTAATCCCAAAGCTTTAGGAGACTGAGGCAGGAGGATTACTCGAGGTCAGAAGTTTGAGATCAGCCTACGCAACATAGTGAGAGCTCATCTCTACAAAAAAATAAAATTTTAATTAGCCAGGTATGGTGGTACTTGCCTTAGTCCCAGCTACTTGGGAGGCTGAGGTGGGAGGATGGTTTGAGCCTAGATCAGGGCTCCAGTGAGTTACGATAGCACCACTGCACTCTAGCCTGGGTGACAGAGCGAGACAGTCTCTAAAAGGAAAAAAAAAATGTTTCAGATATTTAAGCCAAAAAAGAGAAAGACTGAAAATTCTTCATTGGCTTCGAAAACTAACTTATTGATGATCTGAAGAATGCAGTTAGGAGTGCCGTGGGGACAAAGCCAGATTTCAATGGAGTGAGGCATGACTGGGAGGTGAGAAGGGAAGACCACAAATGCAGTCAACTCTTTCAGGAATCTTACATGTGAGGCCAGCACAGTTGCTCACACCTGCAATCCCAGCACGTTAGGAGGCCAAGATGGGTGGATCACTTGAGGTCAGGTGTTCAAGACCAGCCTGGCCAACATGGTGAAACCCCGTCTCTACTAAAAATACAAAAAAAAAAAAAAAAAAAAAATAGCCAGGTGTGGCAGCGGGCGCCTGTTAATCTCAGCTACTCAGAAGGCTGAGGCAGGAGAATCACTTGAACCCGGAAGGCAGAGGTTGCTGTGAGCTGAGATCACACCACTGCACTCCAGCCTGGGTGACAGAGCAAGACTCCATCTCAAAAATAAGAATCTTAGCTGTGGAAGGCTGGGCGCAGTGGCTCATACCCGTAATCCCAGCACTTTCGGAGGCCGAGGCAGGCGTATCACCTGAGGTCGGGAATTCGAGACCAGCCTAACATGGAGAAACCCCGTCTCTACTGAAAATACAAAAAATTAGCCAGGCGTGGTGGCAAAAGCCTGCAAAAGCCTCCAGCTACTCAGGAGGCTGAGGCAGGAGAATCACTTGAACCCGGGAGGCGGAGGTTGCGGTGAGCCGAGATCGTGCTACTGCACTCCAGCCTGGGCAACAAGAGCGAAACTCCATCTCAAAAAAAAAAAAAAAAAAAAAAGGCCGGGCACAGTGGCTCACACCTGTAATCCCAGCACTTTGGAGGCCAAAGCAGGTGGATCACGAGGTCAGGCGTTCAAGACCAGCCTGGCCAATATGTTGAAACCCCCGTCTCTACTAAAAACACAAAAATTAGCTGGGCATGGTGGCGTGCACCTGTACTCCCAGCTACTCGGGAGGCTGAGGCAGAAGAATCGCTTGAACCCAGGGGGCGGGGTTGCAGTGAGCTGAGATCGTGCCACTGCACTCCAGCCTGGGTGACAGAGCGAGACTCTGTCTCAAAAAAAAAAAAAAAAGAAAAGAAAAGAATCTTAGCTGTGGAAGAGAGAAGAGAAAGAATGGAAAGAAAATTTCCATTTTTTTATTTTAGATATATTCCCAATGGAAAGTTACTAGCAGAGTCAAAAGGTGAATTTTAATAATTCAATAAAAATATTATGTAAATGAAATCTCTGAGAAGGCAGGAAGTATTAGGGTTTCACAGAACAAACAGAAACAAAAACTGCTCCTATCTACTTGTAACCAGAGGAAAGTAGATCCAAATGACTTAGAATGCTTCCAAGGTTATGTAGAGTTTTATTGAAGGGGGTAGGGGAATTTAAAAGGAAACTGAGGCCAAGCTAATGTCCATGCCAGGAATCCCAGCACTGACGCTGAGGTAGGCAGATTGCTTGAGCCCAGGAGTTTGAGACCAGGCTGGGAAACA
Source organism: Homo sapiens (assembly GCF_000001405.40). Taxonomy (NCBI): domain Eukaryota; kingdom Metazoa; phylum Chordata; class Mammalia; order Primates; family Hominidae; genus Homo; species Homo sapiens. Next base: position 232,723,022 of record NC_000002.12, on the reverse strand, counting down.
CAGCAAGATCCTGTCTCTACAAAACTTACATAAAAAATAATTTTAAAATAAACAAACCAACAAAAAAACAAAAATAAAGGAAACTGAGGGGAATTCATCAAACTGATGGCTTCAATCTTCTCAGAAAAGTAGGCAAATGACAGAGAAGATGATAAGGTAGGGTTTGAGGAAACTAAAGAAATTGATAGCTGCTGTGTTCTATGCTAGAGTTTGTTTGTTTTTTTTAAATAAACTTGAGAAATTATAGTTTAAAAAGCTACAAAGATAATACAGAAAGTACCGTCAGTTTCCCCTAATGTTAACAACTTACATTACACAATACTTTGTCAAAACTAAGAAACCAACATTGATACATCACTATTACCTATACTTCAGAGTTTATTCAGATTTCATCAGTTTTTCCAACAACATCCTTGTTCTGTGCCAGTCTCCAATTCAGGACACCTTGTTGCACTTAGCTACAGTATCTCTAAAGACCAATAAAGATAGAGAAGTGATATGGTTAGGGTTTGTGTCCCCACTCAAATCTCATCTTGAATTGTAATCCCTGTAAACCCCACGTGTCAAGGGAGAGACCAGGGGGAGGTAACTGAATCATGGGGGCGGTTTCCCCCATGCTGTTCTCATCAGATCTGATGGTTTTATAAGGGGCTCTTCCCGCTTCGGTTGGCACTTCTCTCTCCTGCTGCCTTGTGTAGAAGGTGCCTTGCTTCCCCTTCTCCTTCTGCCATGACTGTAACTTTCCTGCGGCCTCCCCAGCCATGAAAACCTGTGAGTCAATTAAACCTCTTTCTTTCATAAATTACCCAGTCTCAGGCAGTTCATTACAGCAATATGAAAATGGGCTAATACAAGAGGGAAGCTAATCTGCAAGGTGGTTGTGGGCTTCTTTCTCCAACTTAGCAGCCTGAGTATGGGGCAGAGAGCCCACAGGAAACCAGGGTTAGGGTTTTGTCAGCACGGTAAAGGGAAGAATAAGAAGGCAAAGTAGAGGGTGCTGGCAGAAGTGTGATTTAGACACTATGGGGAAGGGTGTAAAAACAGAAGAGAGTTGACAAATTTAAGATGTTGGTAATGCCAAAAAGCAAGTATAGTAGAAATAAAAATGAAAGCACTAGTAGAACTAGAGATGAAAGTAAAAGACAAGAAACCAGGAACATGGGAGGACCAGATGGATCAGCTACATAGACTCTAAAGTAACCTCAGGATAATGGCAGAGACAAAAATAGAAAAAACAATGAATCAAAGGGTAAGACCACAGGGTCCTTTTCTGATAATAAGGAAGGGAAGAGAGATGCATTGTCAAACAGCATGAACTTCAGAGGAAAGAGAGTTTTGCACAAAGATAGAGAAAAAATGGCTAACCTGACCGTGTATGATCTATCACCTAAACTAGAAAATGTGTGAAAGGATATTAAGGAACTGCATAAAGGAACAACAGCAAGCTAGGCAGAAGGGCCACCCTAATAAAGGAATAGAATGAGCCTGTGAATGGAGAAGGATGAAGACCCTGATTCTGCATCCTGACATACCATAGTGCAAGAAAACCTACTGCTAACCTCAGAGGGCTAAAGGAAAGGTAAGATTACCAGGGCAGATGGGCTTAAGTTACCACAAGAAAGCCAAAAAACATCTTATGAACACGAGGGAGAGGTTTAACACAAAAATAACATTTCAGAGAATTCAAGAGGAAAGCCTTAGGAATTAAACAAGAGATTTGGTCAAGGGAAGAAGAAACTCTGAGTGGTATGAAGATCAGATGGACTTTCATTCTGGACAATGACAGATGACAGGAATGCATGGCATAGTGGAATTGGCAGGTCTCAGGAATTCTGAGAGAACTTGTCCTCACATCTCTGAAAGACAGGGGCACTCAAACCTTTGAGGAAGGAGTCAGAAAAAGACAGTGCCTCTGAAGGAATGTGGGCAAAATATTGTTAGTTCTGAGACCACCCTATTAGCATATCTTTCTCATGCTGAAAGCAACTCTGACAGAGAAGATGATCGGGTTCTTCCCTCCCTCCTCTGGCCTTTTCTCTCTTTGGCTATTCCAACTCTAGGGATAAGGACTTCAAACAAGTAGGTCTATCACATATTTTAAAGACTTGACTTAAAAACAGCTGAGAGAGGCAGGGCACGGTGGCTCATGCCTGTAATCCCAGCACTTTGGGAGGCTGAGGTGGGCAGATCGATTGAGGCCAGGAGTTCGAAACCAGCCTGGCCAACATGGCAAAACCCCGTCTCTACTAAAAATACAAAAATTAGCTAGGCATGGTGGTTCATGCCTGTAATCCCAGCTATTCAGGAGGCTGAGGCAGGAGAACTGCTTGAACCTGAGAGGCAGAGGTTGCAGTAAGCTGAGATCACGCCATTGCACTCCAGCCTGGACAACAGAGTGAGCCTCCGTCTCAAACAAACAAACAAACAAACAAACAAAAATATATATATATATATATATTACACTGTTGGTAGGAGTGTAAACTAGTTTAACCATTGTGGAAGACAGTGTGGCAGTTCCTCAAGGATCTAGAACTAGAAATACTATTTGACCCAGCGATCCCATTACTGGGTATATACCCAAAGGATTATAAATCATGCTACTATAAAGACACATGCACACATATGTTTATTGTAGCACTATTCACAATAGCAAAGACTTGAAACCAACTCAAATGTCCATCATAGACTGGATTAAGAAAATGTGGCATATATACACCATGGAATACTATGCAGCCATAAAAAAGGATGAGTTCATGTCCTTTGCAGGGATACAGATGAAGCTGGAAACCACCATTCTGAGCAAACTATCACAAGGACAGAAAACCAAACACCACACATTCTCACTTACAGGTGGGAATTGAACAATGAGAACACTTGGACACAGGGTGGGGAACATCACACACTGGGGCCTGTCATAGGATGGGGGACTTGGGGAGGGATAGCATTAGGAGAAATACCTAATGTAAATGACAAGTTAATGGGTGCAGAAAACCAACATGGCACATGTACAACTATGTAACAAAACTGCAGGTTGTGCACATGTACAACTATGTAACAAAACTGCACGTTGTGCACATGTACCCTAGAACTTAATCTATAACAAAAAAAAAACAGCTGAGAGAATATTTCTACATAACTGCTTTTTCAGACTTTGTCCATTACTCAAAATTACACATAAGTGACTTCAAGTAATATATTCCTTATGCAATAATACCAATAAGCTGTCTTCTTCAATAAATTGTATCCTTGTACTTGACAGTGAATATTATATAAGCTAGACTTTTTGTCAACTTCTAAATAACTGAGCTAAATTTAGACCTCACTGTAAGTTATTTTATCTGATTATTAGTATAATTATTTTTCTTTTTCTCCCTATATTTTTCTATAATTTCCATGACTTCCTCTTTATTTTAACTATTCATCTCCTCTTTGGGACCTCATCTATCACTTTGTGGGCCTCTGAGTACATTTTCACAGGAGAAGAAAGAAAAGAAATCAACCTAGGTCCTTCTTATTGTTGAGTTTACAATAAAGAAAAGACAGACTCTGACCTCTCCCTCTTAGCCTACCATTTTCTTACAGCCTGGAACAGCCTAGAGGAACCAAGCAACTTCTGAGCTCAGGAAATCACTTTCAAAAAAAAGGTGACAAATCTACGTAGTAAGTCCCATGTGGGTAAAATCAGCAAGGAGAAGCCAAAGTAGGTGCTGAGTCAGATTCCAGCACAGTGTCTGATACTTAACTTTGACAGTGTTCCCGAATACTGCTTTCCAGAAGTCTTGAAGACAGATTAGCTACCACCACTATTCCACTAAGAACTCAAAACATACACATCTTTGAAAACCCCCTGGATCTTTGTTATAAAAATTATGTGGCCGGCACGGTGGCTCTCACCTGTAATCCCATCTACTCGGGAGGCTGAGGCAGAAGAATTGCTCGAAGGCAGAGTTTGCAGTGAGCCGAGATCACGCCACTGTGCTCCAGCCTGGGCAACAAAGCGAGACTCCGTCTCAAAAAAAAAAAAAAGTGCTACTACAAATCTCTATTTCCTAGCTATGCAAAACTTACCCAGAAAAAATATGGCAAAATTTGGGATGGAGTCCAGCCAGTACTATGTATAGTCTGCCACAAAACTAACACAGAATGAATACCAAGGAACCTGAATCTGCCCCCATTCCCACTGCCTACCTACGTTTTTCCAAAAGCAGAAAAAAGACCAACTCCTCTAGCACTCTCCACATATACTAAACGAATCAGTAGTTCTGTCCCCACCACAGCAGCCAGCAATTTTTAGTTTAGCCAGATCTGGATTAAGATAACACAAGATTAATAACTTTATTAGTGCAAATTAGTTCAACTACTTCAAAAAGAATTGGCAATATCCATTAAATCTAAACTGTATGCCTACCCTGTGATCCCATAACAAACTGCTACACATACATCCAAGGAAACTGAAGTTATATTTCTACCAAAAGACAAGAGATTCATAGTAGCTTTATTTATAATTGTCAAAAACTGACATTTGGGTATTATGTCCATCAATGTAAATGTACATCAACAGGCAAACCAATCTGCAGTATACTCATATAATGAAATATTACTCAGCAGTTTAAAAAAAGGAACTAGTCAGGTGCGGTGGCTCATGCCTATAATCCCAGCACTGTGGGAGGCTAAGGTGAGTGGATCGCGTGAGGTCAGGAGTTCGAGACCAGCCTGACCAACAACGGTGAAACCCTGTCTCTACTTAAATTACAAAAATTAGCTGGGCATGGTGGTGGGCGCCTGTAATCCTAGCTACTTGGGAGGCTGAGACAGGAGAACAGCTTGAACCTGGGAGGTGGAGGTTGCAGTGAGGCTGCAGTGAGCCAAGATCTTGCCACTGCACTGCAGCTTGGCAACAGAGTGAGAATTCGTCTCAAAAAACAAACAACAACAACAAAAAAAATTACTGATATTCACAATGATACTGCGAAATCACCCAGATATCATGTTTAGAAAAACAAGCTGGCTAGAAAAAAATATATACTGTATGATTCCTTTTATGTGATGTTCAAGAAGAGTACTATGGTTTGGGTATATGACCCCTGCAAATCTCATGTTGAAATCTGATCACAGATGCTGGAGGTGAGGTCTAATGGGAGGTGTCTGGATTATGGGCAGATCCCTCATGAATGCCTTGGTGCCACTCTCACAGTAATGAGTGAGTCCTTACTTGATTTGTTCCCAAGAGAGCTAGTTGTTAAAAACAGCCTGACACCTCCCTCCTCTCTCTCTCTCTTGCTCCCCTCACCATGAGATCTACACACACTGGCTCCCCTTTGCTTTCCACTATGAGTGTAAGCAGCCTGAAGCCCTCACCAGAAGCAGATGTTTCTTGTACCGCCTACAGAACCATGAGCCAAATAAACCTCTTTTCTTTATAAATCACCCAGTCTCAGGTATTCCTTTATAGCAACACAAACAGACTAAGACAAATAGATAATAAATGGTGATAGATGTCAGGAAAGTACTCATCATGGGAAGAGGAGACTACTAAACAGGAAGGAGAGGGAATTGGAGTGCTGGAAAAGTTCACTATCATGATCTAAGTGGTGACTACAAAAGTACATATACATGTATATGTACATGTAAAAATGTATTGAACTATAAACTTCACATTTGTGCATGTATTTACCATATTTTACCTATCAATTATTATTATTGTTTCTTAGAGACAGTGTCTCAACACTGTTGCCCAGGCTAGAGTGCAGGGCTGTGCCCATAGCCCACTGTAACCTCAAACTCCTGGGTTCAAATGATCCTCTTGCCTCAGCCTCCCAAAGCACTGGGATTACAGGTATGAGCTACTATGCCCAGCTCCAGTTGTGTTAAATAAATCATAAATGCTTTAGCAATTACAAATACTTCAAGGCCAAGTATGGTGGCTCACGCCTGTAATCCCAGGACTTTGGGAAGCCGAGGCAGCTGGATTGCTTGAGCCCAGGAGTTTGAGACCAGCCTGGGCAACATGGCAAAACCCCATCACTACAAAAAAAAAAAAACAACAAAAATTAGCTAGGTGTGGTGGTGCTAGCCTGTGGTCCCAGCTACTGGGGAGGCTGAAGTTGGAGGATCACCTGAGCCCAGGAGGTTGAGGCAGCAGTGAGCTGTGATCATGACACTGCACTCCAGCCTGGGCTACAAAGTGAGACCCTGTATCAAAAAAAAAACTTCAGTGAGCATGAAACAAAGCTATTTAAACTATTTTAAATGAATGTCTTCCGATAACATATTAAATTCATTCCCTGCTTAAATTTTTGCGATTAGAAAAGAAAAAACAAAACAAAACAAAAAAAACACTGGCCAGGCGCAGTGGCTCATGCCTGTAATCCCAGCACTTTGGGAGGCCAAGGCGGCAGATCACATGAGGCCAGGAGTTCAAGACCAGCTGAGCCAACATGGTGAAACCCCATTACTACTAAAAATGCAAAAAGAAATTAGCCAGGTGTGGTGGCACATGCCTGCAATCCCAGCTAGTAGGGATGACTGAGGCATGAGGATTGCTTGAACGCGGGAGGTGGAAGTTGCAGTGAGCCGAGATCGTGCCACTACACTCCAGCCAGAGTGACAGAGTGAGACTCTGTCTCAAAAAAAAAAAAAAAAAAAAAACAAATAACACCATTATCTTGATAAAATAATCTTCAAATCTGTCAGCTCCTAAGACCATAAAGAGGCCTACATTCAAATGAAGCAAGACTCATTTACTAGGCTAAAAGAATGTAGATCTTCAAATGCTTTTTTTCAAATGTCAGAAAACAGCTAAGTAAGATGAAAAGGAAAAGTCCAAACATGAGGGGGACCCACATTACTTATAATAGTAAAAGACTGGAAGCAATCTTGTAAAAGTGGCACATTCACTCAACAAAAGACAGCTATAGTAACATCTGCACACAGTATAGTTATACATATGTCCAAAAAAAGGCAAAAAGAACACAAGACAAAGGAATATTAGTGAGGTGAAATTAATGATTTGTCCTCTACTCTCATAACTTGCAATATTCTTTAATTACTTTATAACAAAATGTATTTTAATTATCACAAAAAGCATAGGCCTGGCCTGTTGAAATACTTTTACAGTCCCAACATAAATGTCATAAAAGTTATCACTCATTTCAACTTTAACTTGGTTTAAGACGAATTTTAAGGTTAAAAAAAAAAAAAAAGGAAATTCTTCTCCCATCTATTATAACAGAAAACACCTTTTCCTTCGGCATCCACCTCATCTGGCAATACTAAATCTCTTCACTAATAAATACACCAACATTTTTGAGTAACTTTTAAAATATGATCTGTTAACACATTTACTGATGACAAAACTTCATGAAGCAAACTTAGGCTTCAATATTCACTTTATTACTAAACATTTTACCTAAGGAATTAACAAAGAACTTTTTTTTTTTTTTCCCAGAAAGCCAACAAAAGTCCAAGGAATTGTCTACATCTACCTGGCCCGTACACTATACATGAAACCTTGCAAAACATTATTTCTATGTGAATTATTCTTTCTATGGCATGTCTTCAAAAAAATTACAGATACTGCTTATCTGTAATTACAATTACTGCTGGCTTTTCTCCTTCCTAACAGGAATTTAAATTTCTAATTTACAGTATTGTGATAAACACTGCAACCCAATACAATTCTGAATCATTACCTATGCCATGAAATTAAGGTCAGCTTTACGTCTAATAGCCCAAAACTGAGGACAATCCAAATGTTCATAAATAATGTTATGAACAAATACTGTAAAGTCATACCTTGGAAAATTCTTGGCATTAAAAAACAAACTATTTGCATGCAGCAATACGGATGAATCACAGATAATTATGTTAAGCAAAAGATACCAGACCCTGCAGCCATAAAAAAGAAAAAGATCATGTCCTTTGCAGGAACATGGATGGAACTGAAGACCATTATCCTTAGCAAACCAATGCAGGAACAGAAAACCAAATACCGCATGTTCTCACTTAAAAGTGGCAGCTAAATAATAAGAACACATGGACACACAGGGAAACCACACACACTGAGGCCTCTCAGAGGGTGGAGGGTGGAGAGTGGGAGAAGGGAGAGGATCGGGAAAAATAACTAATGGGTACTAATCTATACCACAAACCCCCATGACACACATTTACCTATGTAACAAATCTGCACATGTACCCCTGAACATAAAAGTATTAAAATAGGAAAAAAAAAAAGATGCCAGACCTAAATATGATTTCCATTTACATGAATTTCTAGAAGACGCAAATATTAATCAATAAGTCACAGAAAACAGAACAGTGGTGGAGGAGGAAAAATGACTACAAAACAGCTGGGGGAAACTTCTGGGGATAATGAAAATGTTACATATCTTGATTACAGTAACAGTTACATCAGTGTGTGCATTTCTGAAAACTCATCAAAATGTACACTTAATGAGTATACTTAAAATAAAGGTATTTTATTGTATGTAAATTTTACCTCAGAAAAGTTCTTTTTTAAAAAGACTAAACTTACTAAAAGTAAATAGACTGCACCCCCCAAAAAAGCAATGTATTCCAAGACTAAGCTTTAATATTTTTTATGTTAAATTACCTTCTTTAAAGGTATTAAAACAGATGTTAAAGTTTTAGCTAAAACTTAAAACTGAAGAACATTATCTACAAATGTACTGTTGACACAGCACCCATTAGCCACATACATGTGGCTATGTAAAGTTAAATTAAGATTAACCAAAATTTTAAAATCAGTTCCTCGGTCCGGCATGGTGGCTCACGCCTGTAATCCCAGCACTTTGGGAGGCCGAGACGGGCGGATCACGAGGTCAGGAGATCGAAACCATCCTGGCTAACATGGTGAAACCCTGTCTCTACTAAAAAATACAAAAAAATTAGCCATGCATGGTGGTGGGTGCCTGTAGTCCCAGCTACTCTGGAGGCTGAGGCAGGAGAATGGCATGAACCCGGGAAGCGTAGCTTGCAGTGAGCCGAGATCGCACCACTACACTCCAGCCTGGGTGACAGAGCGAGACTCCGTCTCAAAAAAAAAAAAAGAGAAAAAAAAAAAATCAGTTCCTCAAGGGCACCAGGGGGAATAACTAACTTCACAGTGGACAAACCTAGCAAAGTATGAAGGTCAACATCAAGGATGATAAATCATGCTGACATATATACTCTTAATATGATGAAAATGACACTTTGTCATCTTCCTCTAAAAATCCATAACCCCAGTCTAATCATGAAAAACATCAAATTCTAAAAGAGAGTCATTCTACAAAATAACTAGTACTCCTCAAACTTGTCAAGGTCATCAAAAACAAGGAAAGACAAGAGAAACTGTCATAGCTAAAGAAGCCTAAGGATGCATGACTAGGTATAACATGGTATCCTGGATGGAATTCTGAAACAGAAAAAGACACTAGGTACAATTAAGGAAATGTAAATAAATGAGGGACTTTAATTAATGACAATGTATCAACATTGGTTTATTAATTATAACAATGTACCATAGTAATGTAAGATGTTAATAACTGGAATTCCGCACTATCTTCTCAATTTTCTGTAAATCTACAATTGTTGTAAAAACTAAAGCCTATTATTAAAGAAAAAAAGTTAAAATTTAGAAGTTAAGGCTGGGCCCAGTGGCTCATGCCTGTAATCCCAGCACTTTGGGAGGCCAAAGTCAGCCGATCACTTGAGGTCAGGAGTTCAAGACCAGCTTGGCCAACATGGTGAAACCCTGTCTCTGCCAAAAAATACAAAAAATCAGTTGCACATGATGGCGGGTGCTTGTAATCCCAGCTATTCGGGAGGCTGAGGCTGGAGAATAGCTTGAACCCAAGAGGCGGTGGTTACAGTGAGCAGAGATCATGCCACTGCACTCCAGCCTGTGAAACAGAACAAGACTCCACTTCAAAAAAAAAAAAAGAAGTTTTTTCTACACTTTTTAAAAATGCAGTTCCTCAGTCACACCAGCTAGTAGCATCTCAAGCGCTCAACAGACACAACTGGCTAGTAGTTATAGTACTGGATGGTGGAGGTTCATAGAACATTTTCTTCATAGCAGAAAATTATAACTCATCCTAACTTATAAACAAACTCTTATCTACTTAGCACTAAAAACTCAGTAATATCTAAAAACCTTCAGTGATATGTTTATTCCAATTTCAAACACTTATGTTTTTAAATCGTTTTTTAAAAAATCAATGTAACATACATAAATGTAACATTGAAACGTGTTCCACTCCTCAAAGCAGCAGTTTACAAAGTACAATCTATGGACCTCCAAACTCTTTCAGGGCATCCATGATGTGTTTTTTTAATAATACTATTATAAAATACTATTGTGATCTCATTTGCTAGTTTGAGAATCTTCTATTGCAAAAACCAAAATATTATTTGCATTTTTCAATGTGTTGACACTTGCACAGACTGTGCAGTGATGGGGAAAACTGCTGGCACTATAGCATGACTGAAGTTAATTGCAACAAACTGTACCAGCAGTCACTATATTCTTCACTGCCATGTGGCATGTACTCATAAGAGAGAGGGGGGAAAAGCCACTTTTATTACGAATGCCCATGACGAGGGAATAAAAACTATTAATTGTATTAATCTTGATCCCTAGGAATACATCTTTTTAATATTCTACATGATGAAATGGGAAATATGCATTTCTACTGCATACAAAGTCATGTAGAAGGATACTTAATGCAATTGTTTTGGGTTACAAGCTCAACTAGCTGCTTTTTTTCACGGAACATAATTTTGACTTGAAAGAATAGCTGCACACAATATGGGTGTCCAGACTAGGATATGTAGCAGACTTTTTTTTTCAAAATGAATGAGACTTCAACAAAAACAATTCAGAGTACCTGTTGCCAATTATAAAATTTGACCTTTCAAGCAAAAATTGGAATTTTGGAAAGTTTCTATTCGTCACCATGAGTTAGAAAGTTTTCCAATATTTAAAGGCTTTTCTGATAAGTGCTGATTTCAATGAAAGTGATTTTTTGATACTGTATAATGTAAGATATCCATTCAACATCGAAGATAGACAAATGGATTTTATATTTACAGAAGACAAACTATTGATATAACTCGGATTTCATATTGCAACTAACCTTTAAAAAAAAAAACTACCTGGTGATGCAGTGTTAAAGTAAAGCGATAAAAATTAAAAATACAAAAAAAGAAAAAAAACACTGCTGGTTGAATTTTAGTGTAATATCAAAGAATATCTGCAATTATCTGTAAAAGCTATTGAAATTCTATTACAACTATATATATATATATATATATACATCATTGTGAGGATAATTTTCCTTCATATACTTCAACCAAAGTAATAAATAGCAACAGACTGAATGCAGAAGCAAATATAACCCAGTTGCCTTCTATAAAGCAAGACATAAAAGAAATCTGTAAAAAGGTAAAACAATGCCAATTTTATCAACAAATTTTTAGAAATGTTTTAGAAAATAGGTATGTCATATTAAAAATATATTTATGTTAGCATGTAATGAGTTTGTTATTTTTAAATAAACTAATACCTTTTAGATTTCTTGATATGATAGATACAACTAAAAAACCAAAAGCTCTTTGGGGCCCTCAATAACTTTTAAGAGGGTAAAGAGATCCTAAGATCAAAAAGTTGATTAACATCTACCTCAGAGAAAGAAGAAAAAATGACAAAGCCTGGGCAACATGGTGAAACCCTATCTCTATAAAAAAATACAAAAAAAAAAAAAAAAGATTAGCCAGGCATGGTGGCACGCCTGGAGTCCCAGCTACTCAGGAGGTACAGGTGGGAGGATAGGCAGAGGTTTCAGGGAGCCAAGACTACACCACCACACTTGAGTCTGGGTGACTGACCAAGACACTGTCTTTAAAAAAAAAAAAAATTAACAAATAAAAAACACATAAATAAACTTAAAACATACATACATACCCTAGAGAGCATATCAAAGGGCATACAATATCACTGACAATAAGAACACCAAGATCTGGCCAGGCGCAGTGGTTCACACCTGTAATCCCAACACTTTGGGAGGCTGAGGTGGGTGGATCACCTGAGGTCAGGAGTTCGAGACCAGCCTGGCCAACACAGTGAAACCCTGTCTCTACTAAAAATACAAAAAGTTAGCCGGACATGGTAATGGGTGCCTGTAATCCCACCTACCTGGGAGGCTGAGGCAGGAGAATCGCTTGAACCCAGGAGACGGAGGTTGCAGTGAGCCGAGAATCGCACCACTGCACTCCAGCCAGGGAAACAAGAGCGAAATTCCATCTCCAGAAAAAAAAAAAAAAAAAAAAGAACACCAAGATCCAAAATGTGACACTTATTCAAAAAGTATCTAGTGTTTTCAAACTGTACGTTTTCCAAGGACAGAAAGACTTTTCACATTTTGGATTTTACTTAAATGATTGTTTGACTGCCTCTCTCACTGGGCTGTAAAGCCTATGAAGACAGAACAATATGTGTTTTGCTCAACCACCAGGGCTAGTCCAGCACCTGGCACAAGGCAATCATTAAACATTTGCTGGGTTTAAATTTTTTTAAAGACAAAAGACCCACAGACAGAACTCACTGACATGTCTATTCAAAACGCACAAAGATGGCTGGTATGGTAGCTGATACCTGTAATCTCAAGCATTTTGGGAGGCCAAGGTGGGAGGATTGCTTGAGGCTAGGAGTTCTAAACCAGCCTAGGTAACATAGCGAGATCCCCTCTTAAAATAACTTTTTAGGCCAGGCGCGGTGGCTCACACCTGTAATCCCAGCACTTTGGGAGGCCGAGACAGACGGATCACAAGGTCAGGAGATCGAGACCATCCTGGCTAACATGGTAAAACCCCATCTCTACTAAAAATACAAAAAATTAGCTGGGCATGGTGGCGGGTGCCTGTAGTCCCAGCTACTCTGGAGGCTGAGGCAGAAGAATGGCATGAACCCGGGAGGCAGAGCTTGCATGGAGCTGAGATCACGCCACTGCACTCCAGCCTGGGCGACAAAGCAAGACTCCATCTCAAATAAATAAATAAATAAATATATAACTTTGTAAAAATCAGCTGGAGCCCAGGCACAGTGGCTCAGATCTCTAATCCCAGCACTTTGAGAAGCCAAGGCGGGAGGATCACTTGAGCCCAGGAGTTCAAGACCAGGCTTAAGGCTTCACCTCTACAATTTTTTTTCCTCCAAGACAGAGTCTTGCTCTGTTGCCCAGGCTGGAGTGCAGTGGTGCAATCTCGGCTCACTGAAACCTCTGCCTCCCGGGTTCAAGGGATTCTCCTGCCTCAGCCTCCCAAGTAGCTGGGATTATAGGCCCGCACCACCACACCCGGCTAATTTTTATATTTTTAGTAGAGACGGGGTTTCACCATGTTGGCCAGGCTGGTCTTGAACTCTTGACCTCGTGATCCACCTGCCTCAGCCTCCTAAAGTGTGGGGATTACAGGCAAGAGCCACCGCGCCCGGCCTCTATGAAAAAATTTTAAAAAGTAAAATGCAATAAAAATTGGCTTGGTGTGATGGGCCGCGCGTATAGCCCCAGTTACTTAGGAGGCTGAAGCCCGAGAATCACTTTAGCTCAGGAGTTCTAGGCTGCAGCAAGCTGCCTGCATGACAGAGCAAGACCCTGTATCTAAAAAGAAAACCCAATTTAAAAGATGAAATTTTGCAATCAAAATTTACCTACTTACATAGTAATAGCAATCATAAAAGCCACCATTCACTGAGAGCCTACTTAATGCATGCCAGGTATTATATTTAGATTTTTCATGGATACAATAACCACAGGACATACTTTACAGATAAGGATAGTTAGGCTCCAAAAGGCTAACCTGTCTAAAGTTACATGTAACAAGTAACTTTTTTTTCTTTTTTTGGAATGGAGTCTCACTCTGTCACCCAGACTGGAGTGCAGTGGTGCAACCTCAGCTCACTGCAACCTCCACCTCCCAGGTTCAAGAGATTCTGATGCCACAGCCTCCCGCGTAGCTGGGATTACAGGTGCCCACCACCAACATCCGGCTAATTTTGGTATTTTTGGTAGAGATGGAGATTCTCCATGTTGCCCAGGCTGGTCCTGACTCTTGACCTCAGGTGATCCACCCACCTCGGCTTCCCAAAGTGCTGGGATTACAGGTGTGAGCCACCACACCTGGCCAGAAAAAAAAATTTTTTTTTTTTGAGACAGAGTCTCATTCTGTCACCCAGGCTGGAGTGCAATGGGAGGATCACTTGAGCCTGGGAGGCAGAGGCTGCAGTGAGGCTGTAGTTAGGACTACAGGCCCATGCCACCATGCCCAGCTACTTTTTTTTTTTTTTTTTTTTTAAAGAAATGAGGTTTTGCCATGTTGCCCAGGCTGGTCTCCAACTCCTGGACTCAAGCAATTCACCTGCCTCAGCCTTTCAAGTGCTGGAATTACAGACGTTAGCCACTGCACCTGGCCAAGTGACAAAAGATCAAACCCACATCTCTCTGTTCAAAAGCCCTCAAGCTTTTCACTACATATTGATATGGTACTCAATATTGCTTTTTTTTTCCAGTTCCTTGCAATTTTCAGAGGAATTCATTTTGTACATTGTCACTTTTCTTTCCCTTTCTCAATCTCCCATTCTGTTCACTGTCCCCAAACTCCCAACCCGTTGCACCACACAATTAAACAACATAGTCTGCCCTCAATTAAGGAAGAGTGTATGTTCTTATAATACATTATGGGAAACTTCATTAATAAAGGTGCAAATACTGGACATGGAGGCTCACGCCTGTAATCCTAGCACTTTGGGAGACCAAGGCGGGAGGATAGCTTGAGTCCAGGAGTTCAAGACCAGCCTGGGCAACATGGCAAAAACCAGTCTCTACAAAAATAGAAAAATTAGCCATGTGCAATGGTGTATGCCTGTACTCCTATACTCAGGAGGCTGAGGTGGGAGGATCACCTGAGCCTGAGAAGGTCGAGGCTGCAGTGAGCTGTGACTACACCACTGCACTGCAGCCTGAGGGACAGAGCAAGACCTTGTCTCAAAAAAAATATTTTTTTTAATTAAAAAAAAGAAATGCAAAAAGGCTGGGAATGGTGGCTCACACCTATAATCCTAGCACTTTGGGAGGCCAAGACAGGTGGATCACCTGAGGTCAAGAGTTCGGGACCAGCCTGGCCAACATGGTGAAACCCAGTCTCTACTAAAAATACAAAAATTAGCCGGGCATGGTGGCACGCACCTGTAATCCCAGCTACTAGGGAGGCTGAGGCAGGAAAATCGCTTGAACCCAGGGGGTGGAGGTTGCAGTGAGCCAAGATGGCACCACTTCACTCCAGCCTGGATGAAAGAGCGAAACTCTGTCTCAAAAAAAAAAAAAAAAAATCCCAATGGTAGAAGTAATACAAAAAGCTAAGAAGAGGGTCAGATTCCAGATCTAAAGTAAGGCTCTCTGATTCACTGATCTTGCAGGACGGCTGCTAATCCAGTTACACTGAAGACATCTGGTCATGGTTTGAGCAGCACCACACATCAGTTCCCAAGAAACTGATCATGAGAGCCCGTGGATATGGCTACTCTTTAAGACCTAAGCCATGATTTATCAAGTAGAAAGTACCAAGACAATTCCTTGTCAGTCTGTACAACCAAATTCTTGTTGTACAGGAGGAATTTTAAACCTCACAAACTTCTGCCAATTCCTTGTCAGTCTGTATAACCAAAGGACCAATACTGAAGAGACCAGAGCTCCCAAGACTTCCTCCTGGCCCAGGAGAATTTGAATAAAAGGCGCTTTGTTCCCGAAGAAGATACTAGCCACAATATCACTACAGGAAGAAAACGTATTGCTTTTACTATCATTCTTCCTACTGTTTCTGAACAATATAAACATTTCTCCTTCTCCTTTCTTCCTCCTTTTAGTGAAAAGAATAAAATTAGCAAAACCAAAATATTTTAGGAAAAATTACAATGCCATCAACATTGCCACATCATTTGAGAATTTTACCATAAGCCATTTTTTCCACAGAGGGATTCCCTAGATCCTGTGAAAAAAAAAATTTTTTTTTTTTTTTTTTTTTGAGACAAGGTCTTGCTCTGTTACCCAGGTAGGGATGCAGTGGTGCAATCACGGCTCAGTACAGCCTCAAACTCCCAGGCCTAAGGGAGCCTCCCAAGTAACTGGGACCAAGGCATGCATTACCACACCGAGCTAATTATTTATTTTTATTTATTTATTTATTTTTTGAGACAGAGTCTTGCTCTGTCACTCAGGCTGGAGTGCAGTGGCTCAATCTCGGCTCACTGCAGCCTCCACCTCTCATGTTCAAGAGATTATGTTCTGTCTCAGCCTCCCAAGTAGCTGAGACTACAGGCACGTGCCACCACACCCGGCTAATTTTTGTATTTTTAGTAGAGACAGGGTTTCGCCGTGTTGGTCAGGCTGGTCTCAAACTCCTGACTTCAAGTGATCCGCCTGCCTCAGCCTCCCAAATGGATGGGATTACAGGCGTGAGCCACCACGCCCCAGCCAAACTTTTTTATTTTCATAGAGACATGATCTCCCTGTTTCCCAGACTAGTTTTGAACTCCTGGGCTCAAGTGATCCTCCAGCCTCAACCTCCCAACATGCTGGGATTACGGATGTAAGCCACGCTGTGCTCAGCCCATGACAATTTTACACAAATTATGCAGAAATCCTTTTAAACCTCACAAAGCTCTGCATATGTCTTATGTCAACACCCAGATTTAAGAAAATGTACAATATGAGAAAGAACTCTTCTACCTTAAAAATGAATTCAGCTACAATCTGCTAAAAACAACCCTGGCTGAAAAAAAGTAACATAAGTCACATCTGTGGGCTGTCATTAGACATATCACTCATTAATAAATCACTTTTATTAATTCCTAGCCTTTGCATCAAAAATCTAGACATACTAATATAGCAAAATGTAAGTAATGAAATATTAGTTAAGCAATTAGATGTCACCAAGTATATATGAGCTACAAACAATAATAAACGGGCTGGGTGTGGTGGCACATGCCTGTAATCCCAGCACTTTGGGAAGCCGAGGTAAGTGGATCACCTGAGGTCGGGAGTTCCAGACCAGCCTGGCCAACATGGTGAAACCCTGTCTCTACTAAAAATACAAAAAATTAGCCGGGTGTGGTAGCACACACCTGCAATCCCAGCTACTCGGGAGTCTGAGGCAGGAGAATCGCTTGAACCCAGGAAACGGAGGTTGCAGTGAGCCAAGATCGTGCCATTGCACTCCAGCCTGGGCAACAAGAGTGAAACTCCATCTCAAAAAATAAAAATAAAGGCCACACACGGTGGCTCACGCCTGTAATCCCAGTACTTTGGGAGGCCAAGGCGGGCGGATAACCTGAGGTCGGGAATTTGAGACCTGCCTGACCAACATGGAGAAACCCTGTCTCTACTACAAATACAAAATTAGCGGGGTGTGGTGGCGCATGCCTGTAATCCCAGCTACTCGGGAGGCTGAGGCAGAACTGCTTGAGCCCAGGAGGCAGAGGATGTGGTGAGCCGAGATCACGCCATTGTGCTCCAGCCTCGGCAGCAAGAGTGCAACTCTGTCTCAACAAAAATAAAAAAATAAAAATAAATACACAGGACTTCAAAATGTTCCATTAAAAAAGTTTGCTTTAGTATTATCTAATAATTCTGGAATACAAAAATGTATTATTTCAAAAGTTTATACTGTCTCACTGATCCTTTCCCAAAAGTAACGGTCCCCACTACTACTCTAATAATGTGAATAGAGTCTATGAAGTTGGACCCTGCGAATTCTATATGGCTTCCTAATACTCAAGTGTAGCTTAATACTATAAAAAATATCCAGAAGTTGGCCGGGCGCGGTGGCTCACGCCTGTAATCCCAGCACTTTGGGAGGCCGAGGCAGGCGGATCACGAGGTCAGGAGATCGAGACCATCCTGGCTAACACGGTGAAACCCCGTCTCTACTGAAAATACAAAAAATTGGCCGGGCGTGGTGGCGGGCACCTGTAATCCCAGCTACTTGGGAGGCTGAGGCAGGAGAATTGCGTGAACCCGGGAGGCGGAGCTTGCAGTGAGCAGAGATCGCGCCACTGCACTCCAGCCTGGGCGAAAGAGCGAGACTCTGTCTCAAAAAAAAAAAAAAAAAAAAATCCAGAAGTTAAAATTTATAAAAAACAATCAATGGAAATAACCAATGAAATTTTCCACATGAAACTTCTCCTTTGCTTATGTCTGCTTGCTAAACCTTTACCCAGCCACTCCTCTGAACCTCCAAAACCAAGAATTTTCGTTTAAAAACTGCACTAAGAAGTCCATATGTGGTGGCTCACACCTGTAATCCCAGCACTTTGGGAGGCAAAGGCAGGTGGATCACTTGGGCCCAGAAGTTCAACACCAGCCTGGCCAACACGGCAAAACCCCATTTCTACTAAAAATTAGCTGGGTGTGGTGGCGAATACCTGTAATCTCAGCTACTCAGGAGGCTGAGGCACAAGAATCACTTGAACCTGGGAGACAGAAGCTGCAGTGAGCTGACATCATGCCACTGCACTCCAGCCCAGGCGACAGAGCAAGACTCTGTCTAAAAAACAAACAAACAAACAAAAAACAGCACTAATAAATTTCAACAAGAATGCTTGGTGAGACCTACTGGCCTCGTTCACCAAAAGATAGATAGGCATGTACGTTAACTCTTTAGAACAGATAAATCGAAACTGCAGAGCTATACACAGGACATTTTCCTAGAATGCTAGAAAAGGAAAAATGTCCAGAAGCTTCTCTGGGAGTCCACCTAGAATAGTCACCATTCTACCTTCTCTGAGACCTGCCCCCACCATTAGGAGTGGGACCTTTCAGCTAACTGTGCTTGCACTTCTAGACTCCAACCCTATGTCCATAACTAATGTGATCAATGACAAAGAACCGAACCAAGTTCAACCAGCCAAATTTCCCCCTCCCAAGAATATGAAATGTGAACACTGTGCTAGCATCAATTGGCTACTGGCACTAGAGCCTAAGTTCATATGTGGCTCCAAGAATTAAGTGGCCATTTGCTACCATGAGTTTGTGTTTGTTAAAGCAGAAAAGGCCAGACTGCACAAATACAATTAAAGCAGGACAAAAAGAGACAAGAGAGGACACTGGCCAGCTGGTAAAAAAGTGCTATCTACAAGTACTATGGCTCCTGAAAGCTTCCCAGTTTCTGGTTCATGTCCCTCATGAAGTCAACTGCTCTTTGGTTCTTTACAGTACTCCTGCCTCCAAAGCATTCCTCCTTGTTTCTTGCCAACAAAAAATTATTATGACAGTTTAAGACACAAATTCACACCAGGGTCAATGCAGAAAGGGTATGTTACTCTTACTGTTCATAAAGGATCTGACAGGCACCAGGGAAGAAGTTTCTTCTCACTACCCAAAACCTCAGGAGAAATAATAGGGCAAAAATAACTAAAACCTAAAAGCAGAAATTACCTATTTGCAAAAGCCCTCAGGCTTTGTGCTTCCCTTCCACACTTACCTGTTCAAAAATTCTGCTGGTTCACAGCAGGAGATTTGAGCAGACTTTGTTCAGATCCTTTTAACGCTGTAAATAATAAAAATATTAATATAAATCACCCAGCAACCTCTTAGGAAACTTTAAAAGTACAATCTTTCATCATAAATATACTTTGCAGAAAATGGCTTCCAAACCTGGTTAAAAGAGTAGATCACCTGGTGTATTTATAAACTAGGTTCCCTAACATCTAGAAAGTCTCAGTAGTTCTACAGTGGGACTGAAAACTATATTTTTTAACAAAAGTCCTAAGTGATTCTTATGAAGCTGTCAAATGAAGACCACCATGGGGTTTCAGGGAAGTCATTATTTGGGGTTTTCATTCAAAACCCCATTATAGGGACTTGGTATTAACTTTTAAAACCTACTGCCAGGCACAGTGGGTCATGCCTGTAATCCTAACACTTTGGAAGGCCAAGGAAGGTGATCGATTGAGCCCACGAATTCAAGACCAGCCTGGGCAACATGGCAAAACCCCACCTCTACAAAAATTAGCCAGGCATGGTGGCACATGCCTGTAGTCCCAGCTACTCGGGAAGCTGAGGTAGGAGGATCACCTGAGCCCAGGGAGGTCAAAGCTGCAGTGAGCTGCAACTGTACCACTGCACTCCAGCCTGGGTGACAGAGTGAGACCTTATCTCAAAAAATATATATCTAACAGAAAAACAAAAGCCGCATCACAGCAATATGCATCCTATGCAAATAATCACTGAGCCCTCAGAAATATGATCATTGCCAAAATGTCCAGGGAGCAAAGCTCCAAGTGTGCAAAATCACAACCTGCCTTTAATGCTCTGTTGGGGCAATATCTTAAAAATCCATAAGTTGGTGATATTCCAAGTGACAAGAGTGAATTGAAGTATAGTATCTTCAAATAGTTTCTTGGCTAAAATCAAATGATGCTTTACTGCTACTAACAAGTCAAAGAACAATAATTAACAATTAAAGTTGACAATTTCATTAACTACAGGAAAGCAACTAGATAGAGACAGATAGAGTTTTTTTTCTTTTTTTGGAGACAGAGTCTCGTTCTGTTGCCCAGGCTGGAGTGCAGTGGCACGATCTGGGCTCAAGGCAACCTCCGCCTCCCAGGTTCAAGCAAGTCTCCTGCCTCAGCCTCCCGAGAAGCTAGGATTACAAGTGTGCACCACCATGCCCAGCTAATTTTTGTATTTTTAGTAGACACAGGGTTTTGCCATGTTGGCCAGGCTGGTCTCAAATTCCTGACTTCAAGTGATCCACCCACCTCAGCCTCCCAGAGTGCTGGGATTACAGGCATGAGCCACTGCACCCGGCCAGTTATTTTCAAAATGGGATCTTGCTTTGTTCCCTCAGCTGGAGTGTAGTGGTACAATCAGAGCTCACTGTAGCCTTGACCTCCTGGGCTCAGCCTCCTGAGTAGCTGTGACTACAGGCGTGCACCACCATACTCAGCTAATTTTTTAAAAATCTTTTTTAGAGATGGGGGTCTCTCTCTGTTGCCCCGGCTGGTCTCATGGCTCAAGTGATCCTCCTACCTCAGCCTCCCAAAGTGCCGGGATTATAGGTGTAAACTACTGCACCCAGCCAAAGAAGAGTTTATTATCCATTTCTTCTTCCCTTTCCTCCTGCCCTTAAAAAATTACACAGTTCAGTGGGTAAAGTTGGATGACCTTTGGACATTATAACATGGCTACTTTTTTTGCAAAATTAAATCAGAAGTGGATGTGACTTTCTCAAATTGCATTCTTGGTGGGGCACAGTGGCTCATGCCTATAATCTCAACACTTTGGGAAGCTGAAGCGGGAGTATCACTTGAGACCAGAGGTTTAAGACCAGCCTAGGCAACATAGTGAGACCCCATCTCTACAAAAAATATTGGCCAGATGTGGTGGCATGGACCTATAATCCCAGTTACTTAGGAGGCTGAGGTGGGAGGATGGCTTGAGCCTGGGAGATTGAGGTTACAGTCAGTGGTGATTGCACCGCTGCCCTCCAGCCTAGGTGACAGAGCAAGACCCTGTCTTTTTTGGAGAAAGTCTTGCTCTATCACCTAGGCTGGAGCGCAGCGGTGCAATCACGGCTCACTGCAACCCCAAACCCCCAGGAGACAGGGTCTTGCTCTATCACAGGCTGTAGTGAGCCAAGATCAGGCCGCTGCACTGTAGCCTGAGCAACACAGTGAGATTCCATCTCAAATAATAATAATAATTAAGCTTAATGAAACCCCATAGTTAACAAGAAAATATAAAATTGTGTTCCTTATTTACTTAAAGTAGGGAAGTATGTAATACTTTGAAATACCTTTATAAAATGAAGTTTGGTCAATTAAGAGAACATTCTTTGTTTTTCAAACCTCTTTCTGCTTTCAACCTCACACAAAACTATAGGCAATTCAATAAAGGTATCACTTTACATTCCTACATAATTAATTTAGTATATTTCTCATTCATCTGAGAGCATGAATAAAATGTAAAAACAATATTTGGTCAAGAAACACTGCAATGCTAACTATAAGCAAGTTTATACATGAAATAAAAATCTCTAGTTTTAAAGAGATGTAATTTTTCAAAGTATTAAAAATGAATGGAAACTCTAGGACTTTTTTATCTTATTTTAAACTTCTATTTCTTTTTCATTTTATATATTTTTCCTTTTATTCTTAAATACTCTCCCATGCAAAAACCATAGGACTTTATCACCACAAAACCCTAGTGGGAATCAAGCAGTGAAAAAAAGCTTGAGTTCAGACTGTTACAACAATGACCAAACAATATGCCATGGTAATTTAAACTGAAGGAAAATGGACATTTAACTTGCCTCTAAGAGACCTGGGTTAACACCAACATAGGCTGTAGATTCAACCTAATGAGACTGGTCCCACTATAATCTATAAGAAATAGAATAAAACAGAAAGTATGGGAAATTTAATCAGCAGGAGCTAATGGAGAACTGCAAACAAAGTCAAAATTTGAAAATGGCACAAGTCAAAGATCCTACAGAAGGGCAATCATAAAAGCGACAGTAGTAATCTTTTTACCCAAAAAGGTTCTCCCAGATAGCAATCACTATCAACAGTGTCATCTTCCAATGTGAAGGTCAACAAAAAGAGAAGAGACAATATGGAGTATTAAAATGCAGAGTCATGAAAACAAATGAGCTGATATGACATCAAAGACATAATTTGGAAATGTCATTTCAAAAACACAATAGAAAAACAAGAGGAAGAAAGGCAATTAGTTAAAACACTACCTCATCACTACCATCACTATGCCTCCCTTTTAGCCAAGGAGTTGCATTCACACACTGACCTTGTAATTTCCATCTTCTCATGATTTTGAGGCAAACCTACTCCAAAGTGTTTTTCACATATGCATCTCACCAGCAAAAGCATTTCAAAACCAAAATATTAAAATTCCTCAGCTGAACTAAAATGAAAGAGGACATTTATGAAAGCTCAGTAAAAAGAATATGGAGATAAACTGGAAGGAAATCAGAAAATGTTTTTTGCAAAAAAATATGTCTATTAAGTATCAGACTAGACAACTAGTCTGAAAGGTAAAAGTGGAGGAATAAAAAACTCAGCACAAAAAGTTCTACACGTGTAAAATGTGAAGGATATACACATGAATTAGAGGAAGAGTCTCCGGGCTGGACAGCACAGTATTAAGAAAAATTCTTTACTAACCAGATTAAGGATAATTTGAGTTAATACATTGTTTCCACCTTTCTTCCTGGTATGTTCCTTAATCATGTGTCTAAATGTGAAAGGAAAATTTCTAATTTCCCTACATTTTCAAATATCCTGAAATCTCCAAAGAGCCTCCTTCTTGTAAAGCAATTGCTTTTGAAAAGTACTTTCAAGCAGTTTATCATCAATCTCATTTTAAAACGTTTACTTTTGAGAAAGATAATTCATTATAATTTCCTGAAATACTGAGCATCCTAAATTTTTCCAAATTAGCGGATGGGGATGGGAGTTAAGGGGGTTGGGGAGGCTGGCTGCTGGCCCAAATTTCCAGAATCTGATTTCCCTTTCCAAGAATCACAAGAGATAAGAAAAAAGAATTCAGGATAGCAAATAATCCATCTCATCTTAGTACCAAACAGTAAGTACACACATCTCCCACCAGTCTCCCACTCACCCTAGCCTCTCAGCCTAGGCTAGCCTCCATGCTTTTCCCAGTCTACTCCTGAATCGCTCCTAAGCTTTTGTCTCCGGGTCTTTGCTCTTGCTGCTCCCTAGCCTAGAGCACTTTTACCCCAGTATAGCTAAAGAAACAGCACCTTCACCTCTGTTGGGTTTTTCCTCCAGTGTTAGCTTCTCCATGAGGCCTTCTCAGGGCACTTAAAATTAACCCCTCCCCAAACCCCTATTATTCTATCTCCCTGACTCATTTTTTTCTTTCACATCGCTTACCACTACATCAAGTATTTTACCTATTTATCTGTCTAGAAATGAATTCCATACAGACAGGAATTGTTTGGTCTGTTTTGCTCCCAGTACTTAACAGTGTAGTAAGTGCTCAACAGGGTATCTGTCAAATAAATGAATGTATGAATGAATAAACAAATGAATGGAAGCACATGGTTCCTTCTCCCTCCCAAACCTCAAGAGTCTCAAATGCTGTCAGGTACCAAAAAGTCATGAAGCCCTCTCCTTTCTGGTGAAGCACTACCATCACCAGTGTATTCCTTGATGTTAAATTTCGAAAGAAACATCATGTGACATTTTTCCAGTTACGTGCCACTTTTAAATACTTTTCTAGTGTCCTCTTCTGTTGTCAACATCTGATGTAAAAGCCAAGTACATATTCCAGTTTGAGCACATCAGAAACTGCTACACCAACTAGTAAAACACGTAAAACCATCAATGAATAAGAGAAAGTATTTGTGTTCTAGGCAAAATGGACAAAATAAGGCCAAAGCTACAAATATTAGAAGGAGCAAAATTAATGTACAGAAAGAATGACAGAATTTTTTTTTCTAATCTAGGAAGTCATTTGATTCTAAAAAGGACATACTATATAAAGAAAGAATACCTTCCCCAGGCACAACATTGGGAATCAAAACTGCCTTAATTCAATGTATGTAGCTCTAGAAAGGAAGCTGTTCACAGCTTCTAGCCCCATACTCAATTTCTTGCAAGTTAAACTGGAATACTTACCTTTCTTACAGAGAGACTACGTGTGTTTAAGTGCTTTGACTTGCAGGAAAACGAAAACAACAAAATAAAAAACACAGTACTAAATAATTAACTGCAAAACAACGTTATTGCTTCCCAAACACGGTCATACGCTCCGCTTCTTTCATGCCCCCATTCCCTGTTCGCTTGATTTATGTTTCAGTCGCAAAACAAGTATTCAGAGTGCTTTTGGAAACTGACACTTAAGGATAATGCCCATTTCAACCTGATGTGAACATTTGGGTCCCCAAGGCTGCCATGGGCTCTAGTTTCCCAGCCTCGGTCCCAAGGTTCCGATCATGGTGGCTGCACCTCGCCTCAGGCCTGGTCCAGACCCAGTACTCTCGCCACGGAAGGAGTCTCCTCCGTCCAGATGCTCTGTGGGGAAGGCAGGAGCGCACCTCCCAGGGACCAGGTGTGGACAGGAGAGCCGGCAGGAGCAGCTGTCTGGCCGCAGCAGCTGTTACCGGGCCACCCCGAGACTGGGCGGGTGTCTGGCGCGGAGAAGCAAGCAGAGGAAGGCGAGCCCTCCAGCTCCGAGCAAGCCGGCCTGACACTGCCCACCCCACAACCCTCCTGCCTTGTTCGGCTCCCCTCGCAATGCCAAGAGGCCCTGGCCTAGGGGCTTCTCGGCTCCTCGCGGCCGTGACGCGCCAGGGCCCTCAGCGCCCCTCGCCCAGGAGGAGGCTCCCTCCGGCCCTGCACCTGACCTGTCCCGTCGCCTGACGGCCCAAGCCGGCCGGAGCGGCCTGTGGGTGTCCATGCGGCCGGGCCAGCTCGGGCAGGAGGAGCAGGGGCGCGAACGCGGACCGGAGACACAGGCGGCCCGGGACGCGGCGGCGGGGCCGGGGCGCGGAGCAGAGCCGGGCAGGGGAGCGACACGGAACGGCTGGTTACCTGCGGTCCGGGACAGGGAGTCTCAGAACCCCAGTCAGTCCTCAGCCTCAACAACACAAGATGGCCGACACGTCGCCACGCACGTCACGTGACCGCGCTCCCGCTCCGCCACGCCCCCTGCTCCGCCCCCGCCCCTTCCCGCTTCCCTCCCCACTCTCCAGTCTCCCACGACATCCTTCCTTTCCGCCACCACCCGCCCCTCTGCCCAGACACGCCCCTGCCCGAGACCCGGATGAAAGGTTGGAAGAGGGCGGGGCCGTGGCAGTGCGCAGGCTCCCGCTGACCCCTTGGCAGCAGCCGGGTACCTGCCCTTGAGTTGAGTGGTGTTGGTGTCCAGGGTTGGGCCCGGACCAGGCACCGTGTGACTCACTGTCCTGTACGCCCAGAGCTCTTTTGCAGTTCAAAAGCCTCTGCATCACTTGCGGGCTGGTTTTCCAAATTAGAACTTTTCCACAGCTTTTAGTCCGGCATTTTTCTTCGCAGTTGCCATCCTAGAGCGAATGGGAAAGCCGCAAAAGCTGAAATTCAAAGCAGTTTCTCTACTTGTTAACAGTTCTGGTAGAACTGGGAATTCATTTCAGAGTGTTGTACTGGGACAGCTGGAAAGGACTTGAGAGCTCTGATTCCTTCCTAGGACATCTGGGGCTATAACCCTTTTACCTAGAGATGAACTATTTTGGAATTGACAGATAAAATACAAGACACCCAGCAATATTTGGGGCACACACTGAAAAATTGTTCGTTGTTTTTCTGAAATTCAAATTTAATTGGGCGTCCTGTGTTTGCTAAATCTAGCAACTCTATCCTTAGGCATCCCATTCTTGCCTGTGTCTCCAACTTCTTCCTTCCTACAGGATCCTTCCTGTCAGCTTTAAAGATTACTTGTGTCTCCCATCTTAAAATGGAATGTTAAAAACTCCAATTCTCATGCCGGGCGCAGTGGCTCACACCTGTAATCTCAGCACTTTGGGAGGCGGAGGTGGGCGGATCACGAGGTCAGGAGATCGAGACCAGACCATCCTGGCTAACACGGTGAAATCCCGTCTCTACTAAAAATACAAAAAAAAATGTAGCCGGGCGTGGTGGCACGCACCTGCAGTCGCAGCTAGTCGGGAGGCTGAGGCAGGAGAATCGCTTGAACTGGGGAGGCAGACGTTGCAGTGAGCCGATATCGCGCCACTGCACTCCAGCCTGGCGACAGAGCAAGACTCCGTCTAAAACAAAAACAAAAACCTCCAATTCTCGGCCGGGCAGTGGCTCACGCCTGTAATCCCAGCACTTTGGGAGGCCGAGGCGGCGGATCACCTGAGGTTGGGAGTTTGAGACCAGCCTGACCAACATGGAGAAACCCCGTCTCTACTAAAAATACAAAATTAGCCGAGCGTGGTGGCGCATGCCTGTAATCCCAGCTACTTGGGTAGCTGAGGCAGGAGAATCGCTTGAACCCGGGATGCTGAGATTGCGGTGAGCCAAGATCGCGCCACTGCACGCCAGCCTGGGCAACAAGAGTGAAAATCCGTCTCGAAAAAAACAAATAAACAAACAAACAATCAAAAACACCAATTCTCCCTCCTGCGACCCTGTTCCCTTTCAAAGCCAAGCTGCACCAAAGAATTGTTTATATGCACTTTCTCCATTTCCACACCTGGCATGCAATCATCAACCACACCGATGTGGCTTCTGTCCTTTCCTATCTGCCTATTGCTTGCCCTAAGAACACCCCATCCTACAGGTTGATAACTGGAGTCTTTCAGTCCTCATCTTGACTTCGTGTTTCCCTGTCTTCAATATGATTGGCCTCTTCCTACTTTCTGAAACACTTTATTTATTTATTTATTTATTTTTGAGACAGTTTCGCTCTTGTTGCCCAGGCTGGAGTGCAATGGCGTGATCTCCGCTCACCGCAACCTCCGCCTCCCAGGTTCAAGCGATTCTCCTGCCTCACCCTCCCAAGTAACTGAGATTACAGGCATATGCCACCACGCCCGGCTAATTTTGTATTTTTAGTAGAGACGGGGTTTCTCCATATTGATCAGGCTGGTCTTGAACTCCCGACCTCAGGTGATCCGCCCACCTCGGCCTCCCAAAGTGCTGGGATTACAGACATGAGCCACCGCTCCCGGCCTTCTGAAACACTTTCTTCCCTTGACTTTTATACCCTTACCGCTCAAAGTGGTACAGTAGCATCAACATCACGTGGAGACTTGTTAGAAATACAGAAACTCAAAGGAGCCCTTCACAGTCCCATTCTGCAGAATTCTACCCCCATAGCTTGGGAAAACATAGAGAGATCCCATTTCTAAAAAAAAATAAATACATAATAATTAGCCAGGCGTGGTGGCGTGCACCTGCAGTCCTAGCTACTTGGGAGGCTGAGGATCACCAGCCCAGGAATACAAAGCTACAATGAGCTATGA
This sequence comes from Homo sapiens, assembly GCF_000001405.40. Lineage (NCBI taxonomy): Eukaryota > Metazoa > Chordata > Mammalia > Primates > Hominidae > Homo > Homo sapiens. Next base: position 232,694,975 of record NC_000002.12, on the reverse strand, counting down.
TCATGCCACTGCACTCCAGCCTGGGCAAAAGAGCAAGACCCTGTATCTAAAACAAACAATCAAAAAGAACTCTACCCATCATCCATGTTGTTCTCTTCTCCTTGATCTTCCCCCTGAACTAAGTGCTCCAGATAGGCCCATGTTAAAAGATTCGTAAACATGACATTATGTTTTAGCCTTTGCACATGCTGTTCCATCCTGCTGCAATGCCGTTCCCAACACTTACCCACTTCTCCCCAACCTGCAACTCCTGCCAGTCCATGTGTTACTGCCTCTGTGCCTCCATTAGACCAAAGAATTTACCCCTTGAGCTGTTATTTTTAAGGAAAAAAGTAATACTAATACTTGTTATGTACTGACCACCCCATTAAAAACTTTCCTTGCACTGTCTCATGTGATCCTAGTAAGAGCGCTATGGAGCAATCCAACCAGGCTTCTGAGAGAAGTGCTTACCATATCCAAATCTCAACCAGGATTTCCAAGCCCAGGCTGGCAAATTGTAGAACCCATGTCCCTAACCAACTTGTCATGCCACCTCTCTGATGCCATGCCACCTGTACATTGCCTATACATATATTTTTTAAATTAAGATATAATTTGCACACAATAAAATTTAGCACTTTTAGTGCACAGTTCTGCAACTTGAGACAAATATATACAAGTGGCCAGGCACGATGGCTCACGCCTGTAATACCAGCACTTTGGGAGGCTGAGGCAGTCAGATCACCTGAGTTCAGGAGTTCAAGACCAGCCTGGCCAACATGGTGAAACCCCATCTCTACTAAAAATACAAAAAAAAGTAGCTGAGCATGATAATGTAGAACTGTAGTTCCAGCTACTTGGGAGGCTGAGGTGGGAGGATCACTCGAGCCTGGGAAGCAGAGGTTACAGTGAACTGAGATTGTGTGCCACTGCACTCCAGCCTGGGTGATAGAGTGAGACCCTGTCTCAAAAAAAAAAAAAAAAAAAAAAGCTGGAGAAAATCCCAGCTTTTAACCATTGTGAGTGCTGCATTATTCCATCCAGCAACCTCTGCAGCTGGTATTGCCCTGACACACAGTAAATGCTCAACAAACACCAATAAAACCCAATCGATTCTTGATTATCTACTCTTCAGGAAGGGTGCTTTCCTTTTCTCCTTTTAGTAACTCTGTCTTTCCAGTGTTTCACTAAATAGTGGTATTAAATTACAACGTAGACTGATGCATGCTTTTGTCAGGGATAATAAAGTTTTAGCCGTAGTACACCACTGATAGAAACAGAAGTTGAGAATAATAGATCATTTGAGGATGGGAGGAGGGTAAGGAGTTTAATCCAAAACAAGTTTAATTTGTTATGAGCACATAGCTAGGCGAGGTGGCTCACACCTGTAATCCCAGCACGTTGGGAGGCTGAGGCGGGAGGATTGCTTGAGCCTGGGAGGTCAGGGCTGCAGTGAGCTGGGATCACACCACTGCACTCCACCCTGGGCAGCACAGCAAGATCCTGTCTCAAAAAAAAAATTGCCAGGGGTCATCACCTGTGACAGATTGTATTTTTCTAAAGATGGCTGCAACAATATCTTCCATTTGACTTACTTTTCTAGCACCTTCACTATCCTTTCTAGAGGTAGAGTCTAATTCCCAGTCCCTTGGACCCTATCACCAATAGAAAGTGGTAGAAGTAAAATGACATGACTTCAGTGCTAGATCATGAGGTGATATGCCTTTCACCTTGCTTCCTGAAACAGTCTTGTTTGAAGCAAAAACAGTTTGGCAGTCCCTGAAGCTGCCTGAAGCGTAAACCACATGGAGAGGCCCACATTGTTGTCCCATCACTAACCCCAACTGAGGTCCCAGCTGACAGCATCAACAACCAGACGTCTGAGTGAAAAATCTCACCAGGTGATCCCAGCCCTGAGCTGTCTAGTCACCCTCAGACATCAAAGCCTAAGACATCATGAAGCAGGGACAAGCATCCTTACTGTGCCTTCTCTGAATTCCTGATCCACCAAATCCATCAGCATCATAAAATGGGTGTTTTAAGCCACTATGTTTTGGGGTAATTTGTTAATAGCAACAGTAGCTGGAACATCATTGTTATGGATTGAACTGTGTTCCCCATGCTTGGTGCAGATGGCTCGCACCTCTAATGCCAGCTACTTGAGAGGCTGAGGCAGGAGGATTGCTTGAGGCCAGGAGTTCCCGACCAGTGTGGGCAACATAGTAAGACCTCATCTCTAAAAAAAAAAAATGTTTTTAGGCCAGGCACAGTGGCTTACGCCTGTAATCCCAGCACTTAGTGAGGCCAGGAGTTTGAGACCAGCCTGGCCAACATGGGGAAACCCCGTCTCTCCTAAAAATACAAAAATTAGCCAGGCGTGGTGGTGCGAGCCTGTAATCCCAGCTACTTGGGGGCTGAGGCGTAAGAATCGCTTGAACGTGGGAGGCGAAGGTTGCAGTGAGCCGAGATCGTGCCACTGCACTCCAGCCTGGGCAACAGAGCAAGACTGTCTCTAAATAAATAAAGAGAATGTTTTTAAATTAGCCGGGTGTGGTGGAACACACCTGTAGTTTCAGCTACTTGGGAGTCTGAGGTGGAAGGATCTTTTGAGTCCAGGAGTTTGATGATGTCGTGAGCTATGATTATGCCACTGTACTCCAGCCTGGGTGGAAAAAAAAAAAAAGATAATTGTACCAGAGAACTGAACAAACAAGAAAGGCTATGCAGACAATAACTATGAAAAGAAATCCATTTTCTATGTTTGAAAAACGTTTTTATTATAAAAGTAATTGCATATTTTTAATTCTTTTCTCATTTCCAACTTCTGAATGTATGAGACATTAAATCATTTTTTTAAAAAACCTTGGAATACAATAAATGTATCATTTCACCTGATGTCCCATGATGCATCCCAAAATGTTATTAATTTTTATCTGAGTATTTTCCATCTTTAGGGTTTCATAGTTCTGCTGTCCCAGAGGGTTCCCACATGAATGTTCAACTGCTCTTCTTGTTTTCTTTGTGGCCAGACATTCCCCTCTCTTTTTAATTTATTATTTATTTATTTATTTATTTTTGAGATGGAGTCTCACTCTGTTGCCCAGGCTGGAGTGCAGTGGCATGATCTTGGCTCACTGCAACCTCCACCTCCAGGGTTCAAGCAATTCTCCTGCCTCAGCTTCCCTAGTAGCTGGGATTACAGGCGTGTGCCACCATGCCTGGATAATTTTTGTATTTTTAGTAGAGACAGGGTTTCACCATGTTGGCCAGGCTGGTCTCAAACTCTTGACCTCAGGTGATTCACCCACCTTGGCCTCCCAAAGTGCTGGGGTTACAGGCGTGAGCCACCACACCCAGCCCCCTCTCTTTTTTATTAATAGTTATTAACAATTGTGGTGGTGGTGGTGGTGGTGGTAGTAGTAGTCATTGTAGTACTGAAGCAATACATGTTTATGGTTTTATAGTTTTTAGAGTTCAAAAACGTATAAAGGAAAAAATTTAAATCCTCCCTGCCGCAAGACCTATCTAGCACCCTCAGGTTCTCCTTCCATCAATTTCTTGTGTGGTCTCCCCAAAAATGTTGCATGCATTAACAAGTACGGCATTTTCCAGCCAGGCGCGGTGGCTCACACTTTTAATCCCAGCACTTTGGGAGGCCAAGGCGGGTGGCTCACCTGAGGTCAGGAGTTCGAGACCAGCCTGACCAATATGATGAAACCCCGTCTCTACTAAAATCACAAAAATTAGTTGAGCGTGGTGGCAGGCACCTGTAATCCCAGCTATTCGGGAGGCTGAGGCAGGAGAATCACTTGAACCTGGGAGGCAGAGGTTGCGGTAAGCCGAGATCGTGCCACTGCACTCCAGCCAGGGCAACAGAGTGAAAAAAAAAAAAAAAGGGCTCTGCGCAGTGGCTCATGCCTGCTGAGGCGGGTGGATCACCTGAGGTTGGGAGTTCAAGACCAGCCTGACCAACATGGAGAAACTCTGTCTCTACTAAAAATACAACAAAAAAAATACCTAGCTGGGCATGGTGGTGCATGCCTGTAATCCCAGCTACTCGGGAGGCTGAGGCAGGATAATCGCTTGAACCCAGGAGGCGGGGGTTGTGGTGAGCCAAGATCATGCCACTGCACTCCAGCCTGGGCAACAAGAGCAAAACTCTGTCTCAAAAACAAACAAACAATCAAAAAAACAAGTATGGCATTTTCCTTCATTCTCAGTACCACTAAGTGTTGGAGATTCAATGGTTGCCCCCAAATCCACCTGATCACCCACCTCATAAAGCTTACAGTCTACTTGGGTAGAGACATAGTGATATGGTTTGGCTCTGTGTCCCCACCCAAATCTTATGTTGAATTGTAGTTCCTAATATTGGAGGAGGGGCCTGGTGGGAGGTGATTGAATCATGGAGACGGACTTCCACCTTGCTATTCTCATGATAGAGTCCTCAGGAGACCTGGTTGTTTGAAAGTCTGTAGCACTTCCTGCTTTGTGCTGGCGTCCCCTTCACCTTCTTCCATGATTGTAAGTTTCCTGAGGCCTGCCCCAGCCATAATTCCTATATAGCCTGTGGAACCATGAGCCAATTAAACCTCTTTTGTTTATAACTTACCCAACCTCAGGTAGTTCTTTATAGCAATGTGAGAACGGACAAATACACATGGCTTTATTCCTCCCAACTAAAAAACAAAACAAAACAAAACACCTGAGCATTACTATGTGTGCTGTTCTGCTCCTGGCCTGTTTCCAAGAAACAAGATGTCTTGGTGGCATCCATGTTTTTTTAGTGGCTGCCTAGCAGTGCACGCTTACGTGGATGTACCTAATATACTGAACCGATCCCCTGCTGATGGATATGCTGATTGTTTCCAGTATTTTTGCTATTACAAACAACACTGTAATGACTATTCCCTTAAATGCATCCTTGTTCATTTTTTTTCTTACTTATAGGATAAATTTCTGGGCCAAAGCTCATGAGTATCTCCGCAGTGGACACCTGCCATTCTTTATGACAGTTCTGCTGAACTGAAATAGTGAATTACTTTCAGTTGAAATACTGAAATTCTTTCCCATGTTTGTAGAAAATGAGAATCTTGGTGGCTGGCAGAGCTTGCCTCCCCTTACAGAACACAAAAAGCCCAGATACTCCCCTGTCCCACCCCTGACAAGTGGGCATGTGACTAGGCTCAGCCTCAGACTCTGATATGGAGTAAATGACCTGAAGAAGCAGGACACCACGGCATGCTTGTCAGCCAGGACAGCAGCTGGTTCCCATGGTGTGCTTTTGGCTGCTGTCCCAGCCTCCTGGCCTCCTGCCTGCTTCCTTAGCCTGCACCCCCCAGCCCTGCTGGTGCTTCTGGGGACTCCTCCATGTCTTTTCAATCAATTCCTTTTCTGCTTAAATCAGTCTGGCTTAGATTCTATTACTTGCAATTAAGAACTCTGATTCCAAAGTAGCCAGCATCCAAGATGGCTCCTAATGACTTTTGCCAATAGGGCTGACCTATGTGACTAGTAGATAGCAGAGTGTGATTCAGGAAGCTAGGTCTTAAAAGGCTTGCCCTTTACTCTCTCGTATCACTTGCTCTGGGGGAAGCCAGCTGCCATGTTGTGAGGACACTCAAGCAGCCTCATGGAGAGGTTCACACGGCAGGCAACTGAGGCCTCCTGCCAATAGCCAGCATCAATCACAGGAGTAAGTCATGTTGGAAGCAGGTCTCCCAGGCTCAGTCAAGCCTTCAGATGACTGTAGCCCCAGCTGACATTTTGACTGCAGCCTCATGAGAGACCCTGAGCCCAAACCAACTACCCAGCCAATTTGCTTCTAAATTCCTGGCCCCAAACTGTGTGAGATAATAAATATTAATCATCGTTTTAAGCCACTAAGTCCTGGTGTGATTTGTTAACATAAACATAAATAACTAATACAAATACAATTTTTAATTTTAACAGTCTACCAAATTGCCCTTCAAAAAGGCAACAGCTAGCCAAGCATGGTGGCCTGTGCCTATAGTTCCAGCTAGTCGGGAGGCTGAAGTGGGAGGATCGCTTGAGTCCAGGAATTTGAGGCTGCAGTGAGTTATAATCACGTCACTGTACTCCAGCCTGAGTGACAGAGCAAGATTCTGTCTCTACAAAAATAAAAATAAGTAAAAAACCAACAAGGCAACAGCTTTAACTTGATTACCTCTATAAAGAAAAATAGAGGCCAGGTGCAGTGGCTCACACCTGTAATCCCAGCACTTTGGGAGGCCAAGGTGGGCAGATAGCTTGAGCTCAGGAGTTCGAGACCAGGCTGGCCAACATGATAAAACCCCACTTCTACCAAAAATACAAAAAGTAGCTGGACATGGTGGCATGTGCCTGTAATTCCAGCTATTCAGGAGGCTGAAGCATGAGAATCGCTTGAGCCTGGGAGACGAAGGTTGCAGTGAGCTGAGATTGTGCCACTGCACTCCAACCTGGGCGACAGAGCAACACCCTGTCTCAAAAAAAAAAAAAAAAAAAGAAAAGAAAAAGAAAAAATACTACTAATAACAAGATGGCAACAGCAATATACATGCTCAACACCCCATGGCAGAATGCCAAAAGCCACTGGTTTTGGGAAGGAGTGGAGGAAAACAAAAAATTGACCCCTGCTGAGGTCTCATCCTTAATGCCTCGCTAAGTTGTAGAATTTTGCTTTGTCGCCCAGGCTGGAGTGCGGTGGTGTGATCTCAGCTCACTGCAGTCTTGACTTCCCAGGCTCAAGTAACCCTCCTGCCTCGGCCTTCCTTGTAGCTGGGACTACAGGTGCCCATCACCATGCCTGACTAAATTTTTTTGTATTTGTTTGTAGAAATGAGGCTTTGCCGTGTTGGCCAGGCTGGTCTTGAAGTCGTGGGCTCAAGCAGTCCTCCTGCCTTGGCCTCCCAAAGTGTTGGGATTACAGGACCCAGAAGGCATCATTCTTGTATAGTACTGTCAGTCCAAGTGGGCAGTGATGTGCCAGCATCTGGCCTCGTGGACAGGCAGAGTCAGCAAGGAGAAATCTGAGCAGCGACAAAACCACAGCTGTCAGACCACATTCAGTAACTGGCAGCCGCCAGGAGCATGCAAGTGAGCCAGCAGATGGGCAGAAATTCCCCTGGGCTGGTCAGAAAAGGGGTCTCAAAATAACAGAGAACATGGGTCCGTGGGCATCTGCACTTGTGGCCAAGACAGCAGCCAGGACTGAGCACTTCTGGGCTACCCTGGCCTGAGACTCTTGGACCTAACTGTAGAGACTCAGGGCGCAGGAGGAGACAGAGTTACAGTAGTGGAGGGAGGGAGGGGAGAGAGAGGAACCCGTGTGTCCTGAGCACTAAATATATGGCAGGCGTGGAATCTGCCAGGTAGGTCACCATCATGCCCATTTTACAGGTGAGAAAATGGAGGCTCAGTGAGGTTCAGTTACTTGCCTAGTGTTCGAGTCCAAATTTCGTTAGATCACACAGCCTCCAGGGCCTAGGCAAGACTAATTGGTGTGTTGTTTTTCCTATTGCTCAGTCAAAGGAGGGCCCTGGGGAGTGACCTCTCTCTCTTCCAGTGAGAAAGATATTCTCACAAGCTCTGCTGTCTCCACTTTCCTGTCTTTTCTTTTCTTTTCTTTTCTTTTCTTTTTTTTTTTTTTTTTTTTTTTGAGGTGGAATTTCGCTCTTATTGCCCAAGCTGGAGTGCAAGTGGCACAATCTCGGCTCACTGCAATCTCCACCTCCCGGTTTCAAGCAATTCTCCTGCCTCAGCCTCCCAAATAGCTGGGATTACAGGCATGCACCACCATGTCCAGCTAATTTTGTATTTTTAGTAGAGACGAGGTTTCTCCATGTTGGTCAGGCTGGTCTCGAACTCCCGACCTCAGGTGATCCACCCGCCTCGGTCCCCCAAAGTGCTGGGATTACAGGGGTGAGCCATCACACCCAGCCAGTCTCCACTTTCAGAGCTGGCCCCTCAGGCTCTCATGGTGGAGTACTCAGAAGTCTCTGACATCAGTGGTAATGATCCTGCCTTGCCCATCTGTCTGCTTTAACAAACCTGGCATGTCCTTGTGAAACCAACATGCAAGGTTGCCTGCTACATGCCACGCAGCATGCTGGGCCTATAGCAATAGGCAAGGCAAACTTCCTGCCCTGCAAAGAGTACACAGTCCAAACAGCGGGGCTGAGAAGTAAGGAGATGGCTACTGCCTCAAGCTGTCAGGATTACAGTAGAGAGAAACTCAGGGAAATGGGAGCCCTGAGAAGGGACACCTTACCTGGCCTGGAAGCATCAAGGAAGCTTCCTGAAGATAATCTCTGAGCTGAGTCTTCAACAGTGAGAAGTAATCCACCTGTGGAAGGGAGGGAGGGAGTGCCAGGCAGAGGAAACCACATATGCAAAAGCCTGGAGGTGTGGAATTTTCTAGGAACAGTTAGGCATCGCATATACCAGGAGTGTAGAGTTTGGAAGGAGACAGGGCAGGGAGGAGGGACAAAAGATGGAGTTGGAGGGATGAGTTGGGGCCAGCTCCTGCAAGTGGGGAATCAAAAATTGAAGGAGAGATGTTAAGAACTGGTTTGCATTTTCTAAGAATTACTCCAGCTGCAAAGCGGACAATCAGGTATAATGAGGGCAGAGAAACCAATGAGGAGCTCACGGTAGAGACCCAGGAAGGAACCTATGAAGGTCTGAGCTGTGACCATGGCGCTGGAGATGGAGGGTGGGAGGCACAAGGGAGCGGCCTCCCGGGGACTCTGTGGCCAAGAGGGAGGAACGACATCCTCTACCTGGCCTTTGTAGTGACATGGCCCCACGTGTCCTGTTTTGTCTGAAGTCCTTTCGTGTTGGATTTTCTATTGCTTGCAATCAGAAGTTGTTTCTATTGCTTGCAATCAAAAGTTTTATTTATTTATTGTTCATTTTTATTTTTTGAGACAGTGTCACCCAGGCTGGAATGCAGTGGTGTGATCTCGGCTCACTGCAACCTCCGCCTCTTGGGTTCAAGGGATTCTCCTGCCTCAGCCTCTCGAGTCGCTGGGACTACAGGCACACGCCACCACGCTCGGTTAATTTTTTTGTATTTTTAGCAGAGATGAGGTTTTGCCATGTTGGCCAGGCTAGTCTCAAACTCCTGACCTCAAGTGATCCACCTGCATTAGCCTCCCAAGGTGCTGGGATTACAGGCATGAGTCACTGCGCCCAGCCTTATTTATTTATTTTTATTTTCACAATTTGTGACAAGCAATCGAGAGTTTTAGCTCTTATGTGGGCCCACTTGTCCAGAAAGGCAAACGGATGCTTCAAGTAAATGACACTGCTATCTCCATTCTCTTCCTTCTTTTTAAATGAATAGCCTTTTTTTCTCGTCTCCTTCACCATTAGACTTTATTATTTATTTATTTATTTATTTATTTATTTATTTATTTATCTTTTTGAGATGGAGTCTTGCTCTGTCATCCAGGCTGGAGTACAGTGGCACCATCTCACCTCACTGCAACCTCCGCCTTCCAGTTTTCAAGCAATTCTCCTGCTTCAGCCTCCCGGGTAGCTGGGATTACAGGCGTGCACCACCACTCCCAGCTAATTTTTTGTATTTTTAGTAGAAACAGGGTTTCACCATGTTGGCCAGGCTGGTCTCGAACTCCTGACCTCAGGTGATCCACCCACCTAGGCCTCCCAAAGTGCTGGGATTACAGGCATGAGCCGCCACCACGCCCACCCTAGACTTTATTTTTTAGAGAAGTTTTAGGTTTACAGAAAAACTGAGCCAAAAGTACATGTTCCCATGTACCCCTCTCACCCTAACTCCCCATTCCCTATTATTATGTTATATTAATGTGGTATATTTGTTACAATTGATATGCCCATATTGATGCATTATTAAACTCCATAGTTAATATTAGGATGCATTCTTTTTTTTTCCTTTTTGAGACAGGCTCTCAATCAGTCATCCAGGCTGGAGTGCAGTGGCATGATCCTGGCTCACTGCAACCTTCTCCTCCTGGGCTCAATCCATCCTCCCACCTCAGCCTCCTGGGTAGCTGAGAGCACAGGCGCATGCCACCACACTTGGCCTTTTTTTTTTTTTTTTTTGAGACAGGGTCTCATTCTGTCACCCAGGTTGATGTGCAGTGGCACGATCTCAGTTCACTGCAACCTCCACTTCCTGGGCTCAAGCTATCCTCCCACCTCAGCCTCAGCCTCCCAAGTAGCTGGGACCACAGATGCCTGCCACCATGCCCAGCTAATTTTTTTGTATTTTTGATAGAAATGGGGTTTCACTATATTGCCCCAGCTGGTCTCAAATTCTTGAGCTCAAGCAATCCCTCTGCCTCAGCCTCCCAAAGTGCTGGGATTACAGGCATGAGCCACCGCTCCCGGCCAAGCTTGGCGTTTTAAAAGTTTTTTGGTAGACACAGGATCTAACTATATTGCCCAGGCTGGTCTCAAACCCCTGAGCTTGAGTGATCTTCCTGCCTCCACCTCCCAAAGTGCTGGGATTCCAGGCATGAGCCACTGCACTCAGCCTAGGGTGCATTCTTTGTGTTGCACATTCTATAGGTTTTGACAAATGTATAAGACATTCATCCACCAGCATCGATAGCATCATGGAGAATAAGTTTCATTGCCCTAAAAGTCCTCTGTGCTGCGTTTATTCATCCCTCCCTCTCTCCTCGCTGACAACCATTGATCTTTTCAATGTCTTCACACTTTTACCTTTCCTAGGATGTCATACCATAGTTGGTATCAAATAGCATATAGCCTTTTCAGATTAGTTTTTTTTTTTGAGATGGGGTCTCACTGTGTTACTCAGGGTGCACTCAAACTCCGAGGCTCAAGTTATCCTTCCTCCTCAGCCGTGAGCAGCTAGAACTATGAGCAAGCGTCCTGCACCAAGCTTAGGACTGGCTTTTCACTTAGCAGTATGCATGTAAGTTTCCTCCATGTCTTCTCATTACTTGATAGCTCATTTCTTTCTATTGGTAAATACTTCTCATCACTGAATAATATTCCATTGTGCGGACGTATCATAGTTTATGCACTCACCTATTGAGGAACATTTTGATTGTTTCCAAGTCTATGCAATTATGAATAAAGCTGCTATAAAAATTCATGTGCAGGCCGGCCACAGTGGCCTATGCTTGTAATCCCAGCACTTTCGGAGGCTGAGACAAGAGGATCACTTGAGCCTAGGAGGTTGAGGCTGCAGTGAGCCATCTTCGTACCACAGCACTCCAGCCTGGGTGACAGTGCTAGACCTTGTCTCAAAAAAATCAGAAACAAAAGCAAAAGCTTCATGTGCAGGTTTTTGCATGGACATAAGCTCTCATGTAATCTGAAGAAATAGGAAGGAGCAGGATTGCTGGATCGTATGGTAAGAATCTCTCCACTCCTTTTTCATGTCCCTCCCCTCTGGTGGGGAGACTAGAGGATGACACCAGCTAGAAAAATGATGACTGCAAAGCATAGGTCTTGGGTCTGTATGAAACAGAATGATCCTTCCTGAGGAGCAAAGGGTATTCTCTTGGGACAGAGGTCATTGCATGGGTAGCCCAAATATCCTGGATTATACATAGGAGGGAGGGGCATTGGCTCTCATCACAGTTTCAAGGGATCTAGGATGCAAAAGAAATGAAGCTATGGTTTTTCCCTGCAGCTGAAGGCATCCTCACAGAAGGGAAGAGGAGTGCAACTGATAAGCTGAGTACTCTGAATCATATAGAGTGAAAACCAGCCCTCTAGTTCTCATTTCTTTCCTTTTTTTTTTTTTTTTGAGATAGAGTCTTGCTCTGTTGTCTATGCTGGAGTGCAGTGGCAACATCTCTGCTCACTGCAAACTCTGCCTCCCTGGTTCAAGGGATTCTCCCACCTCAGCCTCCTGAGCAGCTGGGATTACAGGCATGCACCACCATGCCTGGCTATATTTTTACTAGAAATGGGGTTTTACCATGTTGACCAGGCTGTTCTTGAACTCCTGACCTCGAGTGATCTGCCCACTTCGGCCTCCCAAAGTGCTGTGACTACAGATGTGAGCTACCGTGCCTGGCCTCTAGTTCCCATTTCTAACTGTACTTCAGGACTCAATGTCAAACAGAAGCCCTGGATGGGACTTGGCTCCTATAGAAAATACTCTACTCTCTCCTTTAATTCAAGAAAATTCCAGGCACATTGATGTGATGGCCACGTTATTTGTACAATGTAAAAAGAAATAGCTGTAAGATAGAAAGGCAGATGATTTCTTTATTGTAAAGACAGCAGTTACAAAAGAGAATAAATATGACATTAGGATATATTTGTTAAAAATACAACAAAAACCCCTAGTATTTGTGAGCAACCCCAAGAACTCACAAGTATGGGGGATAAGAACATCTACAGCTGGATACCCTGAAACAGATGTTAGAAACTGGCTAATGGTGAGTATGGCCATGACTTTGGGGATGTTTGAAAGGCCCTGGATCTGTCACTTGGGAACGTCAGCGGTCTACTGTAATACAATTTGCACAGAGTCAGAGTGAACAGGAACCCTTTTACTCATTGGTATCCTAACTATTCTTTCGTTCTTACAGTGAAGTAGTACAGTATTTAAGAGTGGGGAAAAGGCTGAGCTGGGAAGACATAGACGGAGCAAGGTGAAGAGGGAGGGACTGGGGGAATGCTAAGGGGCCAGGAGAAAGGTGGCAGGAAGGAGCAGACCTCTGTCCTTTCTCTAATGTGTGTTACTATGGTGGCATGCTGTTCCTCCTGTTGAAGAGTGGACGGGCAGTGGTCCACCCAGCCTCCATTAAGACCCACCATTACCCAGGAACAGAAGATGCAAAAGCAACTGGCAGAATCCTACCAAAGATGAGAACAGGGAAGTTGAATGTGAAGCAGAGAGGAGTGCAGAGAATTCTCCGAGAAAATGGGCATTTTCTCTGAGGACCCAAAAAGACAGACATATCTACACAAATTGATATAGCAGACTACTCTTTGATGGGGAATGGTAAAGGGACAAGGACAAAGTGAAGGTTGCTGAGAAGATACAAGTTCTGGCTATAAGAAGGGCAGAGGAGCAGAGGCAGGAGACAGAGGTGGGCAGGCATCTGGCCCACCCCAGGACCCTCCTGGAGGGGCTTGGACACTGGGAGGAATGAAGGCTGGCACGGGAGCTGGCACGGGGTGGTGGATGGAGATGCTGGCTCAGGGAGGGGACCGACAGCAGTGATGAAGATGCCTAGTCATCTCTTCTCGGGGCATCTGTGAGGCACAGCTGTGGGCAGAGGGCAAGGTCAGCAGGACTATGTATTGAAGTTGGCCTTGAGTTTCTGGAAGGCTGCCTGGCGGAGCCGCCTCTCCTCCTCCTCCCGCTTCCGCTCATCTTGCTCAGCTTTCAACTCTGCTTCAAACTTACTGGCCGATGACAAGGCTTGGACCTGCAGAGAAATAGCAGACATAGACCAAACGAGTAAGGGAGGGCAGAGGACCCTGGAGCTGCTGACACCTGAGCCAACAGCCCATTCAGCAGACCTAGAGACAAGGGAATGTGGGCCCACGGAGGGCAGGACCCCAGCAAGCACTCTTTCCGTGTGGCCTTCAGAAGTTGCTTTCTGTTGGCGCAGACACCATCTCTAACACATCACTGTATTTGTTGCTGTGCCCCCATGTGCTTCTTTTGCTGGGGTTGGTCATTCTACTTGACTTTTTTTTTCAGGATACAGTTTAACATCCCAGTTTATTAACCATTTTTACATTATTTTAATTTCACACTAATATTGTTCAATTCTAGGGAAAAAGGCAAACCAAAATGAATCCCCTGATGGGATTTATTTTTTTTATTTTTTATTTATTTATTTATTTATTTTGAGATGGAGTCTCGCTCTGTCGCTCAGGCTGGAGTGCAGTGGTGTGATCTTGGCTCACTGCAATCTCCATCTCCCAGGTTCAAGCAGTTCTTCTGTCTCAGCCTCCCGAGTAGCTGGGACTACAGGTGCACGCCACCATGCCTGGTTAATTTTTGTATTTTTACAAAATTTACAGGCTGGAGGCTGGTCTCGAACTCCTGACTTCAGGTGATCCACCAGTCTTGGCCTCCCAAAGTGCTGGGATTACAGGCGTGAGCCACTGCACCCAGTCCCCTCATGGGATTTTTATTGGAATTGCATCCATCTGTCTATGGCAAAGGGGTACCTTTAAAATACATTTCTCCCTGGGCTGGGCGCGGTGACTCAAGCCTGTAATCCCAGCACTTTGGGAGGCTGAAGCGGGCGGATCACCTGAGGCCAGGAGCTTGAGACCAGCCTGGCCAACATGGTGAAATCCTGTCCCTACTAAAAACACAAAAATTAGCCAGGTATGGTGACGTGTGCCTTTAATTCCAGCTACTCAGGGGCTGAGGCAGGAGAATCGCTTGAGCCTTGGAGGTCGAGGCTGCAGTGAGACTCCATCTCAAAATAATAATAATTTTTAAAAATACAGTTTTCCCTGAATGCCTCAGTTTTCATTCAATTATGCCTTTATGTTGCTCACTAAATCAATTGTTCTATATTTACTTCTAGATATTACATGTTTTTGTTGGTATTGTGAATGGAATTTGGTGCCATCTGAGTATTTTAAATCTAACAACTTGTCTTCAATAATATCAGATAAACCCATCTAAAAATCCTCTATTCTAGAACTGATTCTGTGAGTGTGTGTCTCAATTTATAAAATTTCCAAACACGCTGAGTATGTACTTTTTTTTTTTTAGACAGAGTCTCACTCTGTTGTCCAGGCTGGAGTACAATGGCGCAATCTCAGCTCATTGCCATCTCTGCCTCCAGGGCTCAACCGATCCTCCTGCCTCAGCCTCTCAAGTAGCTGGGATTACAGGCACACGTCATCACACGTCTGGCTAATTTTTGTATTTTTAGTAGAGACAGGGTTTTACCACGTTGCCCGGGCTGGTCTTGAACTCCTAAACTCAAGCAATTCACCTGCCTCAGCCTCCCAAAGTGCTAGAATTACAGGCATAAGCCACCACACCCAGCCTTATGTACGTTATTTAAATAGACTATTAAATTGCTCTCCAAAGTAGCTGCTCCGATTTACACACCCACAATCATGAACTGGAAGCTCTCATTTCCCCACAACCTTGCCAAGGTTATCATTAATGTTTTTACTTTTTGCCAATCAGATAGCCAAAAAATTGGCACCTTCTTTTATTTCCTCTTTTGTAAATTGCCCATTTATATCCTTTGCCCACGTTTCTATTCAGTTATTATATTATCTTTAAATTTGCAGTTCCTTTTTTTTTTTTTTTTTAGAAACGTCTTGCTCCATCCCCCAGGTTGAGGTTGAAGTGCAGTGGCACAATCATAGTTCACTGCAGCCTCGAACTCCCGAGCTCAAGCGATCCTCCTACCTCAGCATCCTGAGCAGCTAGGCCTATAGGTGCATGCCACCTATAGGCTAATTTTTTCAATTTTTTGTAGAGATGGGGTTGCTCTATGTTGCCCAGGCTGGTGTCAAACTCCTGGGCTCAAGCAATTCTCCCACCTCAGCCTCTTAAAGCACTGGGATTATGGGCATGTACCACTGAGCTCAGCCCCAATTTGCATTTATTTACATAAGGTAAAAAAAAAAGATAAAAGAATATTTGCTTTCCTCATAAATACTAGGTATTAGTCTCTGGTTATACATATTTTAGTTCCTTTCTCCCAGTTTTTTGCTCGTCTTTTAACTTTAAGGCATTTGGGACGATATACATATTTAAAATTTTGATGTAATCAAATTGATCAACCATTTCCGTTCTGCCATTTGCATTTTATGTCATGTTTAAGGAGGTCTTCTAAACCCCCGAGGTTCTAAACCCATTTTCCTGAATTTCCTTTTAATACCTTTATGGTTTTGTGTTCCCATTTGGCCCCTTAAGCCACAAAAATAAGCTCATTTATTTCACTTTTTTTTTCTTTCCTGTCAGAAGGCAAATGTGCTGACATCTTAACAGGATTGGAGGAAGGCGCACTTCACACATGGACATGAAAACCTAGTCATCACATTATGAACCGCAAAAGGATCTAAGTGCACTTCTTTTAGTGCAGAGTATAAAGTAGGGACTTGACTTTATCTTCACAAGTGCATAGCTAATTGTCTCAACACCTTTTATTGCTAGCCCATTATTCTCCCAATCTTCTTATATCCTAAGTTCCCACGTGAAAGAGATGTTTCTTTTTCTTTTTTGTTTGTTTGTTTGTTTGAAGCAGAGTTTGGCTCTCTTTGCCCAGGCTAGAGTGCAATGGTGCGATCACAGCTCACTGCAACCTCCGCCTCCCAGGTTCAAGCAATTCTCCTGCCTCAGTCTCCCGAGTAGCTGGGATTACAGGTATGCGGCAACACGCCCAGCTAATTTTGTTTTTTAGTAGAGACGAGGTTTCTCCATGTTGGTCAGGCTGGTTTCGAACTCTCCACCTCAGGTGATCCAACCGCCTCGGCCTCCCAAAGTCCTAGGATTACAGGCATGAGCCACCGCGCCCGGCCAATATTCTTTTATCGTGCTAAAGAAGCATTGTTTTCTTATTTTAAAATGTTTTATTATGAATGGGTATTAAACTTTACCAAATACCTTTGAGATATTTAATTTAAATGACTTTTTTCTTGATAACCTATGATCGCAACATTTTCAAATTATTCTTACAGTTTTAACATCTATCTCCTTAAATGTAATCACTGCATTCCATTTTTTGAAGTTTTAAGATTCTTTTTTTTTTTCTTTTTGAGATGGAGTCTTACTCTGTCACCCAGGCTGGAGCTCAATGGCGTGATCTCAGCTCCACTTCCCAGGTTCAAGTGATTCTCCTGCCTCCCGAGTAGCTGGGATGACAGGTACACGCCACCACGCCCAGCTAATTTTTGTTTTTTTTAGTGAGACAGGGTTTCACCATGTTGGCCAGGCTGGTCTCAAACTCCTAAACTCAAGTGAGGTGCCCACCTTGGCCTCCCAAAGTTCTGGGATTATAGGCATAAGCCACTGCTCCTGGCCCCTGAAGTTTTAAGATCCTTAGAGCTACATTCATTGATATAATTCTTTTTTCTAATTGATATAATTCTTTTTTCTTTATTCTAATAAAGTCATTTTTATCTGACTTTATCAGAATCAATAGCTTCAGAGAATGAATATGATATTATCTTTTTCAATATGTTTGCATTCTTTTTATAACATTGGAGGACAAGGGAAGAAGTAATCCTTACATTTCCCAACATTTAACTGTGTTGGGGGAGTTGGAGCAGAGTTCTCAACTTTCTAAATGTCTTTTTTTTGAGACAAGGTCTTACTCTGTCACCCAGACTGGAGTGCAGTGGTGCAGTCATGGCTCATTGCAGCCTCAATCTCCCAGGCTCAAGTGTTCCTCCCAATTCAGCCTCCTGAGTAGCTGGGACTACAGACATGCACCGCCATACCCAGCTAATATTTTTGTTTGTTTTTGTAATGAGAGGGTCTCACTATGTTGCCCAGGCTGGTCTCAAACTCCTGGGCTTAAGCAATCCTCCCACCTCAGCCTCCCAAAGTGCTGAGATTATAGGCATGAGCCACTGCACCAGGCCTGGATGCTCCCATTTCAATGAAAAATCAGTGTCCATTTTCTAAATTCCCCCTGCATTTCACAGGGGTCCATTTCTGAAGACAGGTAACTCTGATAATATTAACAGCAAGAGTTATGCTTATATAGAAAGATGTGTGTGTGTACGTGTGTGTGTGTGTGTGTGTATGTGTGTGTTATAGAAAGATGTGTGTGTGTACGTGTGTGTGTGTGTGTGTGTGTGTGTGTGTGTGTAGAGATGGGGTCTTGCCATGTTGCCCAGGCTGGTCTCAAACTCCTGGACTTAAGCAATCCTCCCACCTTGGCCTCCCAATGTGCTGGGATTGCAGATGTGAGCCACTGCACCAGGTCACTTTTACTTTTATGGAATTATAATCCCTAGAGGCAGGGACTAAAAACTCTCTTTTATTGTTTGCTTTTTGTTTTGTTTTGTTTTGTTTTAGAGGCAGGGTCTTGCTCTGTTGCCCAGGCTGTGGTCCAGTGGTATGATCATAGCTCACTGCAACCTTGAACTCCTGGGTTTGAGGAGTTCTCCTGCCTCAGCTTCCCAAAGTGTCCAGGTGTGAGCCACTGCACCCAGCCTAATCTCTTCTAAAAACTGCTCCTGTACTCCAAAATAGCATTTCCCCAGGGTTTCCTTATACCTCTGATTACACCTTCTTCTCCAAAGGCCTAAATGCCAGCCTTCCCCACAGTCCTGGCACCAGTCTGTTCTACCATAGGTCAATCTCTAATCCTTGGTTTCAACTTGTATCTTGTGAAGTTAGCTCCTGTGGTCTATGTTGTGAGGTGCCCAGAAGCACCCACTTCCTGCCTTATTTCTTGCTATGAGGCCTGCAACATGGCCCAGGGGCCTAAGGGAGACTGACTCCACCCCCGGCTCCAGGAGAGCCCAGCTGAGATAATGATATTCCAGCGTTTTCCAATGGCAGGTTCAGAATTGGGCATGTGTGGAAGAAATTACTCCATGACCCTCAACACATAGGATCCTCATCTTCCCTAGTGGCATAATTACAGCCGGGCAGACAGATCCCGGAAAAAAAGACATTCCCTAACCTCCCATGCAGCCAGGAGTCACCAGGTTCGGTCAAACAGGATGTGATCAGAAACTATTTGCAACCAACATGATGGCCTTCAAATGAAAGGGCACGCCTTTCCCGTGCCTGAAGTCACCTCACACTTGAAACCAAACCCAGTTCATAACTTTTCCTCCTCAAACCACAGCCATTCTGGGAATAGGGGGAGGCCAGGCTTTTTTTTTTCCTTTGAGACATGGTCTTGCTCTGTCGCCCAGGCTGGAGTGCAATGGCCTGATCTCGGCTCACTGCAACCTCTGCCTCTGGGTTCAAGCGATTCTCATGCCTCAGCCTCCTGAGTAGCTGGGATTACAGGCGCATGCCACCATGCCCGGCTAATTTTTGTATTTTTAGTAGAGATGGGGTTTCACCATGTTGGCCAGGCTGGTCTCAAACTCCTAACCTCAAGTAATCCTCCCACCTCACCCTCCTAAAGTGCTGCGATTACAGATGTGAGCCACCGCAATTGGCCTGGGAGGCTGGTCTTGATGAAAAATATCATCAACTCCCCTCCTTACAAACCTCATGGCACTTATCTCCCTCCTCCAATGGAGTGATGAACACTGAGACTTCCAGAGAATTCTCAATTTGTCTCCTCCTCCTCTCTAGTCTGGTTGTCCCTACCCTTATTGGACCCACAATTCTTCTCAGGACATCTGTGAAAACTTCCCTGAGTCTAAACTGTCCCCAGGCAAGTGTGTCCTGGTAGTGCCCACCCCGATCACGTCAAGGCCCTGCTCAAACACTCAACGGCTCCCCTGCACCTGCGGCTGTGCATCGGAATCATGTCACAGCTCCATCGACTACACGTTTCCTGAAACCCACCTTGGAGAAATCCCAGGTGGATGTGGGTGGGCCTGGGAAGCCGGTGTGCAGGTGGTTCTAACACTCAGCAGTCGGGGGAAGGCCTGACCTTCCCAACCAGGTGCCCAGAGAGGAACTCCTCTCAGCCTCAGGGAGGCTGGAGCTCTCTGTCCAATAGCGTCTAGTGTAGCTGGGAGCCATCCTATCTCAGAGTCATAGACCACATGTGCCATGGTGTGCCAAAGGGTGGCAAGTGCTGGCCCAGTTTCCTGATCACCATATTCTTTCTTTCTTTTCTTTTCTTTTCTTTTCTTTCTTTTCTTTCTCTCTTTCTTTCTCCTTCCTTCCTTCCTTCCTTTCTTTTCTCTCTCTCTTTTTTTTCTTTTGAGGTGGAGTCGTGCTCTGTCACCCAGGCTGGAGTGCAGTGACACGATCTCGGCTCACTGCAGCCTCCGCCTCCCGGGTTCAAGCAATTCTCCTGCCTCAGCTTTCCAAGTAGCTGGGATTACAGGTGTGCACCACCACACCCAGCTAATTTTTGTATTTTTAGTGGAGATGGGTTTCACCATGTTGGCCAGGCTGGGGTCACCATATTTGCATCTTGGCTTTCACCTCCGGCCATGTCACCAGCCCTGCTCCCTCACACATCCTGTATCCTCACATTGGGACGCCTCTCCAGCCTCCAAACACGTCTCACCCTCTATGCCTTGGAGCCTTCCACTTGGTGTTCCCACGATCACAACGCCCTCCCTTCCTTGATTACAAGGTGAATCCCCATTCATCTTGGAACATCTGTCACAAATGGCGGCTCCTTTATGGCCCTCTCCCAAATCCAGTGACGATGCCCTCCATTTGTCATCCATGCAAATGTTTATTGAGGGCCATTATATACCAAGCACTGTAATTACAAAGATATCATACCTACTCTGCCTTTGATTCTGGGTGAGGAGGCAGACCTATAAACATAACGAGCTGTAAGAATTTTTATTGTCATTCTTTTCATCTTTTCTCCAGTTATAAAAATAATGCACACTCATTGTAAAACATTACAAAAATATAAAATAAGTCCCTCTGACAAAACTATTACTGATACTTTGGCATATAATGATCCAGGTTGGATTTCATGTTTACAAAATTAGGTTTCCAGCATATTGTCTTGCTTCATTTATTCTGGACATCTGTCCACACGGACACGCAGCTGCATCTCATTTTTTGACAGCTGCAGAGTGTGCAAATGTGTGGGTATATCACAATGAACTCACTTCCCTGATAATGGAAGTTTTGGTTATTTCTAATTTTTCTCTATCACTAACACTATTGTATGAAAATCCTTGTCCATACATGTATGTGCATTTGCATGGGTGCGGTGGCTCACGCCTGTTATCCCAGCATTTTGGGAGGTGGAGGCAGGCAGATCACGAGGTCAGGAGTTTGACACCAGCATGGCCAATATCGTGAAACCCTGTCTCTACTAAAAATACAAAAATTAGCTGGGCGTGGTGGTGGGCGCCTGTAGGCCCAGCTACTCAGGATGCTAAGGCAGGAGAATTGCTTGAACCTGGGAGGCAGAGGTGCCAGTGAGCCAAGATCGTGCCACTGTACTGCAGCCTGGGAGACAGAGTGAGACTCAATCTCAAAAAAAAAAAAAAAAAAAGAAGAAGTCTTAAGAGGTAGAATTCTGGAAGGGAAAAATATAAAATGTGCATAGTTAGTTTCAAACTGCTTTACAAAAAGTTGGGTCAAAGTTGCAGTGAGCCAAGATTCTGCCACTGCACTCCAGCCTGGGTGGCAGAGCGACACTCCATCTCAAAAAATAAAATAAAATAAAAAGCTGGGTTAATTTATACTTTTACCAAAAGCATGTAAGGGTGCCTTGAAACGATAAATTATAACACCACTTCCATGTGTACTAGAGGCACACAGAAGAGGATGGACAGTCAGGGAAAGCAGCCCAGGGGAGGGAACTCTTCAATGTGGGTCTGGATGAAGCAGAGTTTTCTAGGCAGAGGCATTTGGGTAGGGCGTTCAGGCAGAGGGGACAGGAGATCCAGTTGGGAAAGGCGTGGCAGCATTTGCAGGGGGTGGATGAGGCTGAAGCAGGGATCAGAGCCAGATCATAACAGGTCTTGAATACCCAGATAAGACATTCCCAGACACTCAAACCTACTTCAACTAGAGCACGTATCACCTTGCACTGGAGCAGTGGAGTGAAAACTGTCCTGCTAAGCTCGGGCTCTCAACCCTAGCACCTCTCCCAAAGCATCATAAGACATCTGCATGTTATATACTCAATGGATGGAGAAGACCCATCCCTGCAAAATAGCCCTTCCCTCCTCTCTACCCTCTCTGTGTCATTGTGGCACTTGCTTTCTTCACTGGACTATGTGTGTGCCCTGGGAAGGGCAACAGTTATGACCACTTCGCCTTTAGAAAGGAGTTGTATCTTAGAGCTCAATGCGGTGCCCAGCTTTGCTGGAGATGGGCTGAATCAATGTTAAGTCAGGAAGGAAGGACCAAACCACTTTCATTATTGGACACATGGTGCCAGTGTTTAAGGCGCAATGAGTGGTTGGCTTGTCCCTGACACTGTCAGATGAGAGCACTGGGCTTTCAGCATGGCAGAGAGATGATGAAATCTGTCTCCAAGCAGCCTCAAAGAGAAGTAAGAATTTAGAGTCCTGCTTAGGGGACTGGGCAGGCCAGGATATGTCACCAAGGCACTCTGTCTCTGGGCAAGCTTCCAGAATAAACTAAAACAAAACTCCACAAGAGTCCCAACAGCCCATACCACCTATGAAGGGCTCACAGTGAGCCAGGCACTTCCTAAATGCTTTCATGTACATGAACTCATTTAATCATTCAGGCAATTCTATTGTCACCCCTCCATCATACAGATGAAGACACCGAGGCTCAGAGTGGACAGGGTAGGGAGATGGAGGAGGCAGAGTCTGAACTCAGGTGGACTGGCACCCACTTGCTGGTTGGCAGAGCACTGGGAGGACCCTCCTGGTCTGTTTCTGCAGGTGTGCTCTGCTGAGATGAAAATGACAGCTGCAGTCTGGTGGGCAGCGTGAAGGCTGGGAGTGGTTGCTCCTCACAGAAGGAACTAAGCACCTACCTTGGCTTCAAAGAAGTTCTTGGCACCTTTGACACCCTCCAGGGCCACATCGATCTCAGAAAGCTTTGCCAGCGCCATCAGCCCACTGTCCTCCTGCAGCTCCCCTGCCGCGGCCTTGTGGAAAATGAGCAGGAACTACAGGGGAAAGAAAGTAGGGAACCAGAGTCAGTCTCACTGACAGATTCATAACCAGCCCTCTGGTCCAAGCTGAAGTCACTCTGCCAATCACTTAAGAAAGATGTTTATGTATGCATGTGGCAAATTACTTTTTTCCCTCATCAGATTGTCAAAAATGAAAACATGCCGATTTTTCCCAAGGCTATAGGGAAATGGGCACCTTCATATTTATTTGAGAGTGTAAACCGATTCAAACTTTTTTTTTTTTTTTGAGGCAGAGTCTCGCTCTGTTGCCCAGGCTGGAGTGCAATGGCATGATCTCGGCTCACTGCAACCTCTGCCTCTGGGCTCAAGCGATTCTCATGTCTCAGCCTCCCGAGTAGCTGGGATTACAGGTGTGTGCCACCATGCGCGGCTAATTTTTATATTTTTAGTAGGGATGGGGTTTTGCCATGTTGGCCAGGTTGGTCTCAAACTCCTGACCTCAAGTGATCTGTCCGCCTCGGCCTCCCAAAGTGCTGGGATTACAGGCGTGAGCCACTGCCTCCCACCCTCAAACTTTTATTTATTTATTTTCTTTTTTATTTATTTAATTTTTTGAGATGGAGTTTCACTCTTGTTGCCCAGGCTGGAGTGCAGTGGTGCGATCTCGGCTCACTGCAACCTCTGCCTCCCAGGTTCAAGCGATTCTCCTGCCTCAGCCTCTCGAGTAGCTGGGATTACAGGGATGCACCATCATGCCTCGCTAATTTTTTTGTATTTTAGTAGAGACGGGGTTTCTCCATGTTGGTCAGGCTGGTCTCAAACTTCTGACCTCAGGTAATCCGCCCGCCTCGGCCTCCCAAAGTGCTGGGATTACAGGTGTGAGCCACTGCACCCAGCCTATTTATTTATTTTCTTGAGACAGGGTCTCGCTCTGGAGTGCTGTGGTGTGTTCATAGCTCACTGCAACCTTGACCTCCTGGGCTCAGGTGGTCCTATGCCCTCTGATTCCTGAGTAGCTGGGACCACAGGCGTGTGCCACCACACCTGGCTAATTTTTTTTTTTTTTAATTTGTAGAGACAGGGTCTTCTACGTTGCCCAGGCTGGTCTCAAACTCCTGGTCTCAAGTGATCCTCCTGCCTCAGTCTCCTAAAGTGCTGAAATTACAGGTGTGAGGCACTGTGCCTGGCCTTGATGGGCACTTTGGAAATGTTTACTGAAAATAAGATGCTTTTTGCCTTCCAACCATTAATTCCACTGGTGGGAATTTATCCTTCAGAAACATTCCTACAATGGTTTAAACATTATCTATGAAAGTAAAAAATTAGCAGCATCCTAGTTTACAGTGATGAAAGAAAAATCAAATAAACCTGTATATACTATTTTTTAAAAACTAAATAATATTTCCAATGGTTTTTTAACAACTTGTACTTTTCTTGTGTGTCTCATTTTTGCATTAGATTGTTTGCCTTTCTTACCATTTGCTAAAGATCTTCATAGAACCTGGTATGTTTCAAATATTTTAGCTCTATCACTTGCCTTTTAAGTATGTTTATGCTAATTTTCAACTTTCAAAAATTTTACATATAGTGTTATGCTTAGAAAAACCTTCCTCAGCACCAAGGTTATATAAACAACCACCTATGTTTTGTCTACAACTTTTATGGCTTCTTTTTTTTTTTAACCATGTAAATATTTAATCTCTGAAATTTATTTTTATTTATCATGTGAGGTTAATCATTAACCTTATTTTCTTCCAAATGGTTGGTTAGTAATCCTTGCATCATTTGTTGAATAATCCACCCTCCTCCTCCAGATTCAAAATGTGACCTGAATTAATTAATCTTCAGGCTTCCAAAGAACAAACTTTTAAATAAATAAATTGGCCAACCTTTTTTTTTTTGAGATGCAGTCTTGCTCTGTTGCTCAGGCTGGAGTGCAATGGCTCGATCTCGGCTCACTGCAACCTCTGCCTCCCGGGTTCAAGTGATCCTCCCGCCTCAGCCTCCCAAGTAGCTTGGATTACAGGAGCGTGACATCACACCTGGTTAATTTTTGTATTTTTAGTAGAAATGGGGTTTCACCATGTTGACCAAGCTGGTCTTGAACTCCTAGCCTCAGGCCTCCCAAAGTGCTGGGATTGCAGGCATGAGCCACCATGCCCAGCTATAAATTGGCCAAACTTAAATGGCAATTTCCCCATCTTCCTGTCCTCTCCCAAGGCAATTTTGTGGCTTTTTTAGTTCTCTTCTTTAAACAACTGCTATCTAAGCTTCATGACTTATTTTTCCATATGGAAAGAATATAAACTGATACGTTCCAAGCTATCATCGAAAGAGGCTCTCTCCAGGTTTTCAGGTGCTACCTAAAATGTATGCACCCACAGGAAAATTGCAGGTTTCCAGGTCTTTTTTCATAACCCTCTTCCCTAAAAGAATGCCTTCTCGCCAGGTGCAGTGGCTCACGCCTGTAATCCCAGCACTTTGGGAGGCCAAGGCAGGTGGATCACGAGGTCAGGAGTTCGAGACCAGCCTGACCAACATGGTGAAACCCCGTCTCCACTAAAAATACAAAGATTAGCCGGGCGTGGTGGTGCCTGCCTATAATCCCAGCTACTCAGGAGCCTGAAGCAGGAGAATCGCTTGAACCCAGGAGGTGGAGGTTGCAGTGAGCCGAGGTCGTACCATTGCACTCCAGCCTGGGCTACAGAGCAAGACTCTGTCTAAAAAAAAAAAAAAAAAGCCTTCTCAAAAGGGAAAAGAACACTACTTAAAGTAGAGTGATAGGTTAAGCAACTTCTACAGGCCTTCCAAATCCTCACTTGAGTATCATTACTGCCGAGGCTCTCAATCCCCAGAGGGAAGTGTGTTTCATGCCGGTGAGAGGCTCAACCACCGCATCCCCGAAATGCCTTGTAAGACACCCTCTTCCTATTGCTCCCTTCAGGGTCCTAACGCTACCGTGGATATTGTCAAATACAAAGCAAGAGACACAGCAAGATGCCCACGGAGAGGCCGACGGTCAGCCATGTTCAACCACCTGCAGCTTCAAACTCTCTCACTAGAGGCCGGCAGAGACTCAGTTTGCTGTGGATTATCAGAACCTGAACATTGACTTGAAAGAAGACAGGCCCCTTGGAGGAGGCCAGGCCCCCCAAGAATAGGTTGGAGGTCAAGGGGATGGTGACACAGGGGTGGAAAAGATCGAAGCAGCAGACTTCAGGGCTGCGGATGAGAGGCATGTGGAGAGAGGGACTGACATACTGGTCGCTCCGTGCCCTGCTATCCTTAAATCATTTCCTTCACAGAAGGCCCCACCTCCTTGCTCCACGAGGCAAAGAGAACAGGCAGCCCCACCAGGCCAGTGCTCTCTGGGACCCAGACAGGCAGCTGTGAAAAGATGGGAGCACTGGCTGGGCGTGGTGGCTCACACCTGTAATCTCAGCATTTTGGGAGGCTGAGTCGAGCGGATCACCTGAGGTCCGGAGTTCGAGACCAGCATGACCAACATGGTGAAACCCCATCTCTACTAAAAATACCAAAATTAGCCGGGCATGGTGGTACACAACTGTAATCCCAGCTACTCGGGAGGCTGAGGCACGAGAATCGCTTGAATCTGAGGGGTGGAGGTTGCAGTGAGCCGAGATCGCGCCATTGCACTCCAGCCTGGGTGACAGAGTGAAACTGTGTCTCAAATAAATAAATAAATAATAAAATAATAAAACAAAATATTTTTTAAGAGAAGACAGAGCACCACCCCCAGCCAGTGCCCACCCAGGTGACCTCAGGGACTCTCGCCATCCCCGAGGCTTGGCCTTCTCAAATCCAGAGTGGAGATGACAGTTTACGGACGGGCTTCATGAACTGGAAACATGAGGGAAAGCTCTCCTCACGGGTCCCTTCCCCAGAGCTGTTTCCTCTGAACCCTCAGGTCTGGGGCAGATCCAGACGTATCCACTCACTGTGCCAGGTCAGCAGGTGACCAGCAGCATCCCTGTCACACCTCAGGGGTACCCCCTACCCCAGCCAGTTAAAGAAGGGAAAAAACTCAGCTCAAGCTGAAAGCGCCCAGACTTCCATGAAGCATGCCAGACATTTCCATTTAATTTTGTTACAATCACCAACCGCCCTAAATGACAATTTATCCAACTGCCCAGCCTTGTTTGTCTTCCTATTTATAGTCCACAAAGCCGGGCATGTGGTAGAAGAATTGGAAACTGTCCTAGCTGTGACTGTGAAGAAAGAGGGGGAGGGAAGGAGAGGTAGAAAACAAAGAGACAGCAAGAGAACTAACAAAGCTAAAAAGCCCTTTCACACGCAAGCTATGGATGCTTCTGATACACTCAGGGAATTTTTAACTTCATGGCTTCGGCCGATGATGCAAACACTCCCACGGTATTAGTTAGAACTCTTAGGTTGCAAGTGACAGAAATAAACTTGTTCACTTAAGCAAAAAGGAGGTATTCATTATTTAAAATAGATGTCTCCGCCAGACACAGTGGCTCACACCCGTAATCCCAGCACTTTGGGAGGCCAAGGCGGGTGGATCGCCTGAGGTCAGGAGTTTGAGACCAGCCTGGCCAACATGGTGAAACCCTGTCTCTACTAAAAAGAAAAATACAAAATTAGCCGGGTGTGGTGCCGCATGCTTGTAATCCCAGCTACTTGGGAGGCTGAGGCAGGAGAATCGTTTGAACCCGGGAGGCGGAGGTTGCAGTGAGGTGAGATTGCACCATTGCACTCCAGCCTGGGCAGCAAGAGCAAAACTCCGTCTCAAAATAAATAAATAAATAAATAAATAAATTAATTAATTAATTAAAATAAAATAAGATGTCTCAAAAACCCAAGGACGAGACACAGTGGCCTGGAGGAGGACTGGAACTGGGAGAGGCAAAGCTCTTAGGACTGGAGGCAAGATTCCCCCTCCATCTCTCATGCCGGTCCGCATGGTAGAAAGTGGGCACCCCACATTGCATTATCCTTCCAAGAACAGCCATCTGCAGAGCCAATCCGGAGCACTTCAGCCCCAATTTCAAAATCCCGAGAGAGAGAATTCGATTGGCCTGGTCAGACCAGCGGTCCATCCATGGTCTGATCAACCATGACCAGGCAGGCGGGCGGCCCAGCACAGCCAGGCTCCAGGGGCCACTGTATTCGTCTGCTTGGGCTGCCCTAACAAAATTGTGCAGTCTGGGTGGCTCACACAACAGAAATTTATTTTCTCACAGTTTCAGAAGCTGGAAGTGCAAGAACAAGGTGGCAGCAAATATGGTTTCCAGTTAGGAATGTCTTCCTAGCTTGTAAAAGGCACAGAAAGAAAACTTAGTTTTCACAATGGTCACAATAGCGGGGAAAGCTATTCACACAGCTATTTTAAGGACACAAACACTGAGGCTCAGAAGTAAAAGATCTCACTCTGGGGACCTAGCTTTGTGTAGTAGACTGAGCCCATGCTCTTTTCAGTCTGTGAACACAGCCCTGGTCCACTAGGGCCTTAAGCAGAGGTGGAAACCAGCACGGTGAAATAATGGAACAGGAAAGTATGAGTGGCAGCATGTCCTTATACTCCCAAGGCCTGCATGCCTGGTGCAGCTACTAGAGATGGGACTGGGCTTGGAACTGACAAAGGGTAGACTGTGAATGTCCCTGAAGCTTTGGAACGGGGGTGCAAACCAATCACAGGAACCCTTTGGAGATTTCCAAGACTCTGATGTCTACCATCTGCTGGCCAAACCAGCAGCTAGCCAAAAGCTAACCAAGCATCATGGATTCAGGGAGGAGCACCTGCAGTTGGCCGCTGAGTACAACAGGGCAGAAGGCGGAATGCATCTTAATTCATTTGGCAATTGCAAGCCACGAAACACCCTCTCAGCTCCTGTTCCCAGAGCTCACCACAGCTCTCTCCCCAGAATCTACTCCAAAGCTTCACCAAAGCAAAAGTCTCTGCCTTCTATACTCCAGGGGTATTCGGGCTGGAAAGAGCCAGTACCCCAGCAGGAGCCAAACAGGGCAGCTGTGAAGACAAGTGTGGTGGTGATAGGGCAGGCCAAGTGGCACGGAGGCCACAGCCCACATCCAGCAAATCCAGATCTCTGTGGCCCTTCAGCTCCTTGGCTCTGGCATGCAAAGCTGGATGAGATCATCCAGAGGGTCATGCCCAGCCCTGTGAATCGTATCTCAGGTTCAGCAAAGGTGGAAGATTCTGGAGCTGATTTATAGAAGCAAGGGACAAGCCCAGTTCATCATGGCTGAGGGAGGGGCTTGTGGCTGCCAGTTCTGCTGCAGACCTCCAGGAAGAACTTCTAGCCTAGACAGACCAACGCTTGACCCAAAGTCTCACATCAGAAACCAGGGCGCTAGTTGGGTGTGGGGGCTCATGCCTGTAATCCCAACACTTTGGGAGGCTGATGTGGGAGGATTGTTTGAGCCCAGAAGTGAGAGGCTGCAGTGAACTGTGAAAAAACCAGGGTGCCAGTACTCCAACATTTCTGGAATAACATTAAACACCAGGAAGCAGGGACAGTCCTCTACTCCCAGCTCCTAAGGGCTGAAGGTGAGACATGACTGAGACTTCAGATGCTCTGAGCCTTTAATCTGATATTATCATCAAAATTATTATAATAGGCCAGGTGCAGTGGCTCACGCCTATATTCCCAGCACTTTGGGAGGCCAAAGCAGGTGGACTGCCTGAGGCCAGGAGTTCAAGACCAGCCTGGGCAACACAGTGAAACCCTATCTTTACTAAAATTACAGAAGTTAGCCAGGCATGATGGCATGCGCCTGTAGTCCCAGCTACTCAGGAGGCTGAGGCAGGGGAATCGCTTGAACCCAGGAGGTGGAGGTTGCACTGAGCCGAGATTGCACCACTGTACTCCAGTCTGGGCAACAGAGTGAGACTCTGTCTCAAAAAAAAAAAAGTTAATATAATACAGGTGCCAAATGACACATCTAGAGGTCTTCTGATAAAACTCATAAAGACACATCTAACACATGAAATTCCCTTCCCTGTGGGGTGGCATCCTTGCCATGGAAGACACCTGATAGTCTTGAGACATTGCCCCTAAAATAGAAATGGCTTTCTCAGACGTTCTTAGCCATTTGGGGATCAGCTGTGAATGCCATATGCACTCTTCCTGGTGGGATGCCAGTATCTCAAAATTTTGCCTGCAATTTCAGAGGTTCAAAGACCAAGTCCATTCTTGGACTATTGGTGAGGGGGCTCCACAGGCACAGAATAAGACCCTTTATAAAATTACTTTTGAAAAAATTAGCCAGGTGTAGTGGTACGTGCCTGTGGTCCAGCTACTCAGGAGGCTGAGGTTGGGGGATCACTTGAGCCTGGGAGATAAGGGTTGCAGTGAGGTAAGACTATACCACTGCACTCTAGCCTAGGCAACAGAGTGAGACTCTTGTCTCAAAAAATTAAAAAATAGGCCGGGCGTGGTGGCTCACACCTGTAATCCCAGCACTTTGGGAGGCCGAGGCAGGCGGATCACGAGGTCAGGAGATCGAGACCATCCTGACTAACATGGTGAAACCCCGTCTCTACTAAAAATACGAAAAATTAGCCAGGCGTGGTGGCAGGCGCCTGTAGTCCCAGCTACTCGGGAGGCTGAGGCAGGAGAATGGCGTGAACCCGGGAGGCGGAGCTTGTAGTGAGCCGAGATCACACCACTGCACTCCAGCCTGGGTGACAGAGCGAGTCTCCATCTCAAAAAAAAAAAAAAAAAAAAAAAAACTATTTTGGGGATGGCCACAGTGGCTCACACTGTAATCCCAACACTTTGGGAGGCCAAGACAGGAAGATTGCTTGAACCCAGGAGTTTGAGACCAGCCTGGGCAACAAAGTGAGTCCCTGTTTCTATAAACAACCACAAAATTTTTTTTAATAAAAAATAAACAATTTTTGCATGCTATAAAAATAAAAAGTAGCTAGGCAAGGTGGCTCATGCCTATAATCCCAGCACTTTGGGAGGCTGAGTCGGAGACCAGCCTGGGCAACATAGCAAGACCCTATCTCTACAAAAAAATTTTTTCAATTAGCCGGGCATGGTGGTACATTTCTGTAGTCCCAGCTACTCAAGAGGCTGAAGTGGGAGGATGGGTTGATACTGGGAGTTTGAGGCTGCAGTGAGCTGTGATCATGCCACTGCATTCTAGCCTGGGCAACAGAGCAACCCTGTTTCAAGTAAATAAATAAATAAATGAATAAACAATGAAAACGAAAATATAAAGAAGTATTATTCTCAAAATTACTGGGCAAGGTGGCTCACGACTGTAATCCCAGCACTTTGGGAGTCAGAGGCAGGAGAATCGCTTGAGGCTGAGTTGGAGACCAGCCTGGACAACACAGTGAGACCTCATCTCTACAAAAATTTTAAAAAATTAGCCAGGTGTGGTGGTATGTGCCTATAGTCCAAGCTACTCAGGAGGCTGAGGTGGGAGGATCAATGGAGACTAGAAGGTCAAGGCTGCAGTGAGCCATGATTGAGGATTGAGCCACTGCACTCCAGCCTGGGTGATAAGCAAAGAAGACGCATTATTGTATATTTCAAAATAACTAAAAGGAATAGAATGTTTCAAACACAAAGAAATGATAAATGCTGGAGGTGATGGGTACCCAGATTACCCTGACTTGGTCGTTACACATTGTACGCTTATATCGAGATATCACATGTAGGCCGGGCTTGGTGGCTCACGCCTGTAATCTCAGCAATTTGGAAGGCCAAGGCAGAGGATCACTTGAAGCCAGGAGTTTGAGACCAGCATGGTCAACAAGGCAAAACCCCATCTCTACTAAAAATACCAAAATTAGCCAGGCCTGGTGGCACACTGTAATCCCAGCTACTTGGGAGGCTAAGGCACAAATCGCCTGAACTCAGGAGGTGGAGGTTGCGGTGGGCTGAGATCACACCATTGCACTCCAGCCTGGGCAACAGAGTGAGACTGTCTCAAAAAATAATAATAAAAATAAATAAAATATATCACATGTCCCCCATAAATATGTACAACTATTATGTATCCATAACAATTAAAAATAAAAAATTTTAAAAATACGTTAAAAAATGAAAAGCTTTAATATATAAAAAAGCATAACATTATAAAAGCACCAACATTTTGCCCCCATAAATATCCACTATGAATATTTTGGTGAACATCGCCAAATTTCTTATTATTTTACTCAAATGAGGTTATACTACTACCCATGCTGCTTTTTCCAGGCCAGCACTGGGGTTAGCTGTCACCTAAAAGGTATTTTTGAAAGCGGAATTGCAGGTTAGATACGCAAACAGCGCTCTGGAGAGGCCAAACCCATTTGTGCTCCAGTGGGCTGTACACCTGAAGGTCCTCTCAGGGGCACCCCACAGGGGCTCAGGGCCACAGCAGGCAGGTACCTCCCGGAAGCTGAGCTTGCCATCGAAGTCCTCATCCACCTCCTTGATCATGCTCTTCAGGCCCAGGTGGGTCTGGGGGGCCCCCAGCTTCTCCATCATCAGCTTCAGCTCCATCAGGTCGATGAAGCCATCCCGCCCAGCGTCATACCTGCAGGGTCAAAGGAATGCATGACCGGGATGAAAGGACA
Source organism: Homo sapiens (assembly GCF_000001405.40). Taxonomy (NCBI): domain Eukaryota; kingdom Metazoa; phylum Chordata; class Mammalia; order Primates; family Hominidae; genus Homo; species Homo sapiens. The sequence goes on along the minus strand of NC_000002.12, from coordinate 232,662,761 downwards.
CTCGTTAGTCTCCGAAACATGTAATTCCTTTGGCTTCATTCATCGAAAAATGACTCAAATACCTCCCGCTCTGCGAGGCCAATGTGGGTCACCTGCTCCAGAGGAACCCCTCTCTCCTCAGAGCGCTTCAGGGCTTTGTATGACTCAAAGCAGATCTTGTACTACCTGTTGGTTTTCATGTCTTTTATCTCCTCAACTAAACCATAATTTCTGGAGGGTGAGAAACATGCTTTGTTTACCTTTATTTCCCCCAGTTTCAGTCAACAAACATCAAGCGAGCACCTCCTCCTAATGCTGGACACTGGAGGGGTTGCAGGAGCTGGCCCCTGACGCCCAGCACGTTCACAGGGAAGGGCTGGCAATTCCAGGAGCCTCCTCCTGGTCACTGCCCCTGGTTCTCTCCCACAGCCATTCCCAACAGCCCGCCTTTCCGTCCCAGGTCTAGGGAAGTTGCTTCCCACCCCTGTGTGCGGAATCATGACTCTGGCTCATGATTCCCCTCTGGTTCGCTCGTCTTGTCTCCAGCTCTGAACGGCCGTGTCTACCAAGAGGGCTCTGACTCTGTCCTCTAACAGGGCCACCCCTCTGCTGACTGGCCCCCCAGCCCCCAGCCAGGAAACAAACCCAGCTTCACCAGGTGGGACTGGGCCTGTCCCCTCCTGGCCCAGCCATCTTCAGCCCTGTGTGCTCTGCTTCCTCCAAGCCACTTCCCCCATTACAGGATTTCTCCACAGACCCCCTGGCTCTCCTCCCTTCAAGCATTTCCCGCCACCCAGAGACCCCTTGTTGCTCAGGTATGAATACCTTGCTCTAAAAACAAATCAGTTTACAACAGCCAAAAGGTGGAAACAACGCGGGTGTCTGCGGACAGATGAAAGGAGAAACGAAACGGGGTATATCCAGCCAGGCGTGGTGGCTCATGCCTGTAATTCCAGCACTTCAGGAGGCCGAGGCGGGCGGATCACCTGAGGTCAAGAGTTCGTAGACCAGCCTGGCAAACATGGTGAAACCCTGTTTCTACTAAAAATACAAAAATTAGCTGGGCATGGTGGTGCACGCCTGTAATCCCAGCTACTCGAGAGGCTGAGGTGGGAGAGCTACTGGGAGGCGGAGGTGGCAGTGAGCTGAGATTGCACCACTGCACTCCAGGCTGGGTGACAGAGCGAGACTGTCTCAAAAAAAAAAAAAAAAAAGGGGTGGTGGTGGGGGTATAGCCGTATATCCATACAATGAAATATAGTATGTTTATACAAGGGAATATTATTTGGCAATAAAAAGGAAGGGAAGGCTTATACACGGGTGAACCTTGAGGGCATTCTGCTAAGTGAAACAAGCCAGCCACAGAAAGGCAAATGCTGTATGGTGCCACTTCTGCGATGTTCTTACAGTAGTCAAATTCATAGAGACAGAAAGTGGATGATTGGTTGCCAGGGGCTGGGAGAGAGGGGCATGGGAGTTAGTGTTCAATGGATAGAGATTCAACTTGAGATGAGAAAAAGGTTCTGGCGATGGATGGTGGTGATGGCAGCACGATAATGTGAATGTACTTAATGATGTCCACTTACTTGGTTAAAGTGGTCAGAGGTTTTGTTTTTTTGTTTTTGTTTTTTTTTTGAGACAGAGTCATGTTCTTTCACTCAGGCTGGAGTGAAGCTGCACGATCTCTGCTCACTGCAACCTCCGCCTCTCAGGTTCAAGCGTTTCTAGTGCCTCAGCCTCCCAAGTAGCTGGAATTACAGGTGTGCGCCACCACACCCAGCTAATTTTTGTTTTGTTTTGTTTTTGAGACGGAGTCTGGCTCTGTCACCCAGGCTGGAGTGCAGTGGCACAATCTCGGCTCACTGCGACCTCTGCCTCCTGGGTTTAAGCGATTCTCCTGCCTCAGTCTCCCAAGTAGCTGGGATTACAAGTGTGTGCCACCACACACAGCTAATTTTTGTATTTTTAGTAGAGACGGGGTTTCACCATGTTGGCCAGGCTGGTCTCGAACACCTGACCTCACATGATCCGCCCGCCTTGGCCTCCTAGAGTCTTGGGATTACAGACATGAGCCACTACACCTGGCCTGGTCAATTTTATGTTAAGTGCATTTTACCACAATTTGTAAAAAATTAAATAAATAAGGCTGGGTATAGTATCATATGCCCACCCGTAGTCCCAGCTACTTGGGAGACTGGGGTGGGATGGTCACTTGAGCCCAGGAGTTTGATTGCATTCAGCCTGGGCAATGTAGTGAGACCCCATCTCTTAAAAAAATAAAGAGGCCTGGCGCAGTGGCTCACACCTGTAATCCCAATACTTTGGGAGGCCAAGGCGGGTGGATCACGAGGTCAGGAGAACAAGATCGAGACCATCCTGGCTAACACGGTGAAATCCCATCTCTACTAAAAATACAAAAAATGAGCCGGGCGTGGTGGCAGGCACCTGTAGTCCCAGCTACTTGGGAGGCTGAGGCAGGAGAATGGCATGAACCCAGGAGGCGGAGCTTGCAGTAAGCCGAGGTCGTGCCACTGCACTCCAGCCTGGGTGACAGAGCAAGATTCCGCCTCAAAAAAAAAATAAATAAATAAATAAAATAAAATAAAATAAATAAATAACACAAATTTAAAAATTAAAATAAGTAAATCAGGCTTCCTCACTGATCTGGTTTGGATCTGCATCCCCACCAAATCTCATGTCGAACTGTAGTCCCCAGTGTTGGAGGTGGGACTTAGTGGGAGGCGGTTGGATCATGGGGGTGGATTTCTCACAAATGGTTCTGCACCATCCCCTTGGTGCCATTCTTGTGATAGTGAGTGAGTTCTTGCAAGACCTGGTTGTTCAAAAGTGTGCAGCACTTCCCCGCTTGCTCTGTCTTGCTCCTGTTCCGGCCATGTGAAGTACTGCTCCCCCTTCACCTTCTGCCATGGTTGTAAGTTTCCTGAGGCCTCCCCAGAAGCCAAGCACACGCTGCCATGCTTCCGGTACAGCCTGCAGAACTGTGCATGAGCCAATTAAGCCACTTTTCTTATAAATTAGTTAGTCTCAGGTTTTTCTTTATTGCTGTTTGAGAACTGACTCATCCACTCATTACCCGTCTGCATTCTCCCCAACACAGCCTCAGTAACAAAAACCCACCATTATTGAGAACAACCACTACCTGCCAAGAAATGTAGCCTGTGGGCACCTAGGAATCTAGTGCTGTGGACTGGCAGTAGTTAAGGCTCCCAAGGTCAGGCTGGAGAGGAGGCCCAGGAATCCCTGACAGGCTCCCTTCCAGCCACAGTGGCCAACTTGTGCCATTCCTCTCACCCAGCCACCCCCTCCCTGCCCTCCTCTATGGTCCTCCTGTGCCCAGGAGCTCAGGGAGCCACCTGCTTCCCCCACAGCTCTCCAATAGCACCCACTGTCCATCCTTCTCCGGGACTTAGCATTCACCACCTTCCTCTGGTGGGTGCTTCTATTTTTATTTCTTGTGTTTTTTTTTTTCTCAGTGCCCTCACTTTAACAGTATGCTGGCTACTTCTTACTCAAGCAGCTCTGTGCTCAGTGCAGCCTCCTTGCTGGCAGAGCTACATTGCAAAGCACTAAAGGACACAGACAAGATCGCTGGGTGGCTGTTGGTGAGCTTTGAGGAACCGTGAAGGATGAGACAGGTGTTCCAGATCTGGAAACAAGCAAGGTGCTTCTGGGTTTCCCAGAAGTGGGCAGAGTATGTGAATCACAGATGCACCAGCCCAGGATCTAGTGTTGCCAGAGGACGGTTTGTGAGCACTTTAAGAAGGGAAGCAACAATTTCCATGGGTTCACTGAAAATGACTTGAGGATGGACCTCACTTCCCTGTTTTCTAAGTTTTTTTTAAAAAACAGCTTTACTGAGATATAATTAACATACCATAAAATTCACTGTACAGTGCATTAATTTTTAGTATATTCAGGTTGTGCCAACATCATTACCATGTAATTCCAGAACGTTTGCCTCACCCTAAAAAGAAACTGATACCCATTAGCAGTCATTCCCCACTCTCCCCTTGCCACCCCTATCCCCCAGCAACTACTAGCCTTTCTGTCTGTATGGATTTGCCTCTTGTGGACATTTTGTAGCCCAACAATATTCCACTGTATCAATATACCACACTTCGTTTCTTCACTCATCAGGTGATGGACATTTTGTTGTTTCCACCTTTTGGCTCTTATGAATAGTGTTGCTTTGAACGTTCATATACAAGTGTTTGGACATATATTTCCATTTTTTCGTGTATATACCCAAGATTGGATGCTGGGTCACATGCTTATTTAGTTGTGAAACGTTACTGTCAAGTTGATCTAACAGAAAACCACAGCTGACCTGATGTTACCACTCAGGGTGAGCAACGCCCTCTAGCAGGCAGGCTCTTATGGGGAAGAGAAGTATGGATACAATTAGGCGGACTGGCTGTTAGTTAAAGCCACCTGGAAAGGGTGCTGACTCTCAGATTCGCTGGTGACACAAAGTTGGGGCAGAATCTAGGCCCAAAAGATCTCAGCAAGCTGGTGTGATGTCCACAGATAAAATATAGCAAAGAAAAATGCAAGGTCCTGGCTGGGTGCAGTGGCTCATGCCTATAATCCCAGCACTTTGTGAGGCCGAGGTGGGTGGATCATCTGAGGTCAGGAGTTCGAGACCAGCCTGACCAACATGGTGAAACCCCGTCTCTACTAAAAATACAAAAAAATTAGCCAGGCATGGTGGCGCATGCCTGTAATCTCAGCTACTCAGGAGGCTGAGGCAGAAGAATCTGTTGAACCTGGGAGGCAGAGGTTGCAGTGAGCCGAGATCGCACCACTGCACTCCAGCCTGAGTGACAGAGTGAAACTCAGTCTCAAAAAAAAAAAAAAAAAAAGAAAAGAAAGAAAAATGCAAGGTCCTAAACAAAGAATTACCATAGGATCCAATGGAGTCTGGACACTAGTATTCTTTTTTTTTTTTTGAGATGGAGTTTCATTCTTGTTGCCCAGGCTGGAGTGCAGTGGTGCGATCTCAGCTCACTGCAACCTCCACCTCCCGGGTTCAAGTGATTCTCCTGCCTCAGGCCTCCCGAGTAGCTGGGATTACAGGCGCCCACCACCATGGCCGGCTAATTTTTTGTATTTTTAGTAGAGACAGGGTTTCATCATGTTGGCCAGGTGGGTCTCGAACTCCTGACCTCAGGTGATCCGCCTGCCTCGGTCTCCCAAAATGCAGGGATTACAGGCGTGAGCCACCATGCCTGGCTGACACTAGTATTCTTAGCAGCATTATTCACAGTCACCAAAAGGTAGAAACAACTCAAATGCCCATTGACAAAATGTGATCTATACAAACAATGGAATTTCATTCAGCAATGAAAGGGAAGTGAACTCTGACCCATGCTCACAGGCTACAACATGGGTGAACCTTGAAGACATTGTGCCAAGTGAAATAAGCCAGTCGCAAAAAGGGCACCTCATTGTATGAATTCACTTATCAGGTCCCTAGAGTAGTCAAAATCATCGAGACAGAAGTAGAATGGTGACTGTCAAGGGCTGGGGAGGTGAATGGGGAGTTAGTGTTGAATGGGGACAGAGTTTCAGTTTAGGAGGGTGAAGACATTCTGGAAATGGATGACAGTGATGGTTGCATAATAATGTCAATGTTGTTGCCACTGAACTCTATACTTAAAAATGGTTAAAAATGGTGAATTTTGCTGGGTGCAGTCAGGCTTGCCTGTTATCCCAGCACTCTGGCAGGCCCAGGCAGGAGAATCACTTGAGCCTAGGAGTTTCAGACCAGCCTGGGCAACAAAACAAGACCCCATCTCTACAAAAAAATTAAGAAAGTACCTGAATGTGGTGGCCCACATCTGCGGTCCCAGCTACTCGGGAGGCTGAAGGGGGAGGATCACTTGAGCACAAGAGTTTGAGGCTACAGTGAGCTGTGATCACTCCAGCCTAGGTGACAGCATGCGACCCTGTCTCAAACAAAACAAAACTGCTAAATTTCACATTATGTATATCTCACCACAATTTTTAAAAAATGCAAGGTACTGGCTGGGAGCAGTGGTGCATGCCTCCAATCCCAGCACTTTGGGAGGCTGAGGTGGGAGGACTGTTTGAGCCCAGGAGTTCAAGACAAGCCTGGGCAACATAGTGAGACCCTGTCTCTTCAAAAATATAAAAAAATTAGCAAGGCATAGTGGCATGTGCCTGTGGTTCCAGCTCCTCAGAAGGCTGAGGCAGGGGGATCATTTCAAGCCTGGGAGGTCGAGGCTGCAATGAGCTGTGCTCATACAACTGCACTCCAGCCTGGGTGACAGAGTGAGACTCTGTCCCAAAACAATTAAAAAAAAAAAAAAAAAGCAAGGTCCTAAAACTAAGACCCCCACAGACTGACTTTCCCAGCACAGGTTTTGAGAGAAATGGCGCTCACTTGCAACTGTGACCACACCTTCAGGGGACTGGGACCCTACAGTGAGTCAGGGAGGCTGCCAGAAAACTCATGGGCGAAATAAATCATAGTGGCAAGTACAAAAAGTCCTGAATCCTGAATGCAAGGGCCACAGTCCTACCCACCTCATCATGGTCTGCCCCACTCCACACAGACCTCACACTTCAGGGAGGCCATGGGCCTGGTCAGTGGGAAGCAGCCAAGAAGACGAATGGACTTAAGACCCCACACAGGCCGGGCACGGTGGCTCACGCCTGTAATCCCAGCACTTTGGGAGGCCGAGGTGGGTGGATCACGCGGTCAGGAGATCAAGACCATCCTGGCTAACACAGTGAAACCCCATCTCTACTAAAAATACAAAAAAAGAGCCGGGCATGGTGGCAGGCGCCTGTAGTCCCAGCTACTCGGGAAGCTGAGGCAGGAGAATGGCGTGAACCCAGGAGGCGGAGCTTGCAGTAAGCCGAGGTCGTGCCACTGCACTCCAGCCTGGGTGACAGAGCAAGATTCCGACTCAAAAAAAAAAAAAAAAAAAAAAGACCCCACACAAGGACAGGACAGGGGTGGAAGGAACAAGTGGGATCTGGCAAAGAGCTGCCTTCAGATGTTGCCCAGGGGCCCAAAGGCTGCCAGAACTGGGCTCTGTGCATGGAAATGGGTGAGACAGACTTTAGCTAAGTGCAAGGAAGTGCCTTCTGGCAAAACGGCCAACTGGAACTAGACCTGAGAAGTAAAGAGAGCTTGCACAAACCGGCTGGGAGGGACAGTCTCTGTTACACGGAGTCCCAGTCAAAGTTAACAGGTTCAGTGTGGAACTTTCCAGAGCCTTCCGTATGTGTCCAAAACTTACAAGAGGGAAACAGAGCACACAGACTCATCTGACCACACAGTCCTCTGCATTTGGGGATTTTCTGTTGAGAAGACGTACCTTGGCAATGCGGTTTTTCAAGGAAACCCTCTGAGAAGCACTTCTCTGGTCAAGTCAGCCTTAGAAGGGGTGGCCCAGTTAAATGACCACTAAGGGCAGGTACAGTGGCTTGAACCTGTAATCCTAGCTACTCCAGAGGCTGAGGCAGGAGGACTGCTTGAGCCCAGCAGGTCAAGTCCAGCCTGGGCAACACAGTGAGATCTATCTCTTAAAAAAGAAAAACATGACCACTAAGGTGCCTTCAGTGCCAAGAGTCTGGATAAATGTCTTCTGCCCACCGCTCACTGCCCAGCACACATAGCGTGTTCCAACAGAATTCGCAGAACAGGCTGAAGTGATCAATGTGGTGCATATGACACGCCAATCATTTGGGACATGAACAAAGAGTGAGCAGAAAGGAAGGAGAGTGAAGCGAGTAAGGGAGGAACTGAAAAGCCTGGGTGTAAGGAGACAGCAGCGCCCAGGAACAGGAGACAAACTGACTAGGCAGATGGGAGGATAAGTAAAGGTCAGGGAATAGGCAGGAATCTGTCCTCAGCTGGGAGAGGAAGCACCAGGGAGACGGCTTCCCAGCCCACATAAGCCGGAGCTAGCGCAGCCTCCCGCAGACACAGAGGGGCTGTCACATGTGAGGGACAAGAGGCTCTCCCCAACACAGGGAGGGGGATGAGAAAAGCCATCCTCTGGCAGGGCACGGTGGCTCACGCCTGTAATCCCAGCACTTTGGGAGGCTGAGATGGGAGGGTCAACTGAGGTCAGGAGCTCAAGACCAGCCTGGCCAACATGGCGAAACCCTGTCTCTACTAAAAATACAAAAAACTAGCCTGGTGGGGTGGCGGATACCCACACCTGTAATCCCAGCTACTCAGGAGGCTGAGGCAGGAGAATTGCTTGAACCCAGAAGGTGGAGGTAGCAGTGAGCCAAGATTGTGCCACTGCACTCCACCCTGGGTGACAGAGTGAGACTCTGTCTCAAAAAAAAAAAAAAAAAAAAAAGAAAGAAAGAAAAGAAAAGTCATCCTTTTACCTCTGGGGTTCGAACTGAGAGGAGTCTAGAAGACTTGGGAAACCTTCCTTTCAGGCCCCAAAGCCTGCAACGTTCTCCAGGCCTAACAAAAAAGGTCAAATATGTCAGAAAAGACCTTGGCAAGCTTAGGAAATATTGAAGGAATTCCAACTTCTTTCTTTTCTTTTTTTTTTTTTTTTGAGATGGAGTCTCGCTCTGTCGCCCAGGCTGGAGTGCAGTGGTGCGATCTCAGCTCACTGCAACTTCTGCCTCCCGGGTTCAAGTGATTCTCATGCATCAGCCTCCCGAGTAGCTGGGATTACAGGTGCCCACCACCACACCCACCTAATTTCTGTATTTTTAGTAGAGACAGGGTTTCTCCATGTTGGTCAGGCTGGTCTCGAACTCCTGACCTCAGGTGATCTGCCTGCCTCGGTCTCCCAAAGTGCTGGGATTACAGGCCTGAGCCACCGGGCCTGGCCCCAACTTCTTTAAATGGGCAAGAAAATTTGGTTCAATTCCTTTGGAGAGAATGTGCTGGGAAACAGAAGCCCACTAGCCCAGTGGGCAAGTCCCATAGAAGGAAAAGGGCCATTGGTGTTCTGCTGAGAGCCACCAGCTGGGTACAGGAATAAAGTGAGTGTGGAGATATGACCATGTAATGTGGAGGGGAGAAGGGCAGGAGAGAAAGGAATCCTGAGCCAACCACCCCCTTCAATCCCAGCTGCTCAGTCAGGGCTGCTTTCTTTTGTTCCTGCTGGAAGCATCAGCCAAGTTCCCTTTATTTAAGTCCTGGCAGGACTCTAAAGCTACCACAGGCCGGGAGCGGTGGCTCATGCCCGTAATCCCAGCACTTTGGGAGGCCGAGGTGGGCGGATCACTTGAGGTCAGGAGTTGAAGACCACCTGGCCAACGTGGTGAATCCCCATCTCTACGAAAAATACAAAAATTAGCTGGACCTGGTGGCGCGTGCCTGTAATCCCAGCTACTTGAGAGGCTGAGGCAGCAGAATTGCTTGAACCTGGGAGGTGGAGGTTGTGGTGAGCCAAGATCATGCCACTGCACTCCAGCCTGGGCGACAGAGTGAGACTCCATCTTGAAAAAAGAAAAAACCAGCTGGGCACAGTGGCTCATGCCTGTAATCCTAGCATTTTGGGAGGCCTAGGCGGGTGGATCACCTGAGGTCAGGAGTTTGAGACCAGCTGGCCAACATGGCAAAACCCTGTCTCTAATAAAAATACAAAAATTAGCCGGGCGTGGTGGTGGGTGGCTATAATCCTAGCTACTCAGGAGGCTGAGGCAGAAGAAACTCTTGAACCCAGGGGACAGAGGTTGCAGTGAGCCGAGATTACACCACTTCACTCTAGCCTGGGCAAAGTGTGAAACTCCGTCTCAAAAAAAGAAAAAACCAACCACCCCACCAAACAAAAAGTATAATAAAAAGAAAAAAAATAATAAAGCTACAACATCAGTGGCACCCCCTCTCCTATGGAGCCAGGATATATACACCAGAAACCTATCTTTCTCTCTTCAAAGTGACCCTTGGAGGGTTTGTCTAGTCACTTCCTTTAGGGCCTGGATTTGCAAGACAGGCAGGAAAAACCTCACATCTTCATCATCTCACTATTCTATCTGCTTCTCTCAAAATGCCTGATGTCTACCTAGGGAACTGCACACAGCAGGGTTCCAAACATGTAGTAACTAAAACTGGTCGGCTTTGCAGTTCACGAGGCATTGTCTCATGTACTGATCCTTTTGATCTTCACAACAGTCCTGTGAAGAATTAATCACAGCCGCCTGCCTTTATGGTTGCCTGAGAGCTTAGAAGTGCCAGGCACTGTCCTAAATTACCTCACTGAACACAGCAGTACTGTGAAGTGGTTATTAGTAGCCCCGCTTCAGAGATGGTGAAAACTGAAGTAAGTGAATTCCTGGGGATCAGAATGAACCCGGGGTTTCAAGCAGACGCTAAGCTTTCGAGTACAGTAGGAACGATGTACCCGTGAACTTGGAAGGGGCTAGAGAAGGCACAGTGTGTGCTCAGTGTCCCCATGTCCAGGTCACTGTTGTAACTGTGAGAGTTAGACATTTGGCAATTATCTCTCCAGATGTAGACAGAAATGATAGGAGTCACGTTTCTGAATATTTGTGGATTCTGATTTTGGCCTCAAAGCATGGTCCCATGGCTACCGACATATGCAAAGGAATTCATTGTTCGCCAAGAGGAATGCTGATGTTGCCGCCTTGCAGACATTCAGAGAAACAGTCTCACCAGCCATACCCTTCAAATGAATGTCATCTGATGTAATCCTTCAAGGCTCCTCTGAGGGGTGTGGTGCTGTTTGGCTGATGGAGAAACAGGCCCACCAAGGTGGATCAGCCCAAGATCATCAGGCCCAAGGAGGACCCCCAGCCTGACCCCCTAACCCGCAGCTCTGCCCCAGGCTGGGTGATATGGCCAGGAGTTGGGTTTTAGGGAAGTGAGACTTGATTTTCAGGTCAGTCCTCATAATGCCAAGGTTGCCCCTCCAAAATAGTTCACAAAGACAGAAACTGGAGTTAGGTATTTGTTTTGTTTGTTTTTTGAGATGGAATCTCCCTCTGTTGCCCAGGCTGGAGTGCAGTGGCGCAATCTCGGCTCACTACAACATCCGCCTTCGGGGTTCAAGAGATTCTCTTGCCTCAGCCTCCTGAGTAGGTGGGACTACAGGACCCTGCCACCACGCCTAGCTAATTTTTTGTATTGGAGTTAGGTATTTGAAAAGATAAAGGAAAATAGACAAGATAAAGAATCCTCAATGTGCTCATCACACAGGCAGGTGTGGCTGAAGGAAACTGGGAGTGAGGGGCTCAGCCTCCCAGGTAGGGTCCAGGGCCAAACACACCGGGGGAAGGGGGAACACTTATCTTTAACCTGCTAGAAGGTTCTCCAAGCAACTGCAGTGTGAAAGCCCCTTAAGACAAGGCTACCTGCAAACAGATGATCTTATATCAAACTTCTGAGCCTCTGGGAAAGGCAAATGCAGGTGGATTTGTTTTCTTCATTCTTGAAAGGTCTGTTGCTCCCTCTCCTTCCATGAAAATGCTATCACATTCCTTGCAATTTGGAATCCAGCCATGTAGAAAGGGAACCCCACAGAATAGCACGCCTGGCACCCCTCCCCTGGGCAGAGATGCCCTTCCCAGCCCCAGAGCTCCTGAAAGTGGGAGGCCTGGGGAGGGAGGATGAACCTCAATCCAGGAGGGAGGCCCTGGCCCCAGTGAGACCCCACAGAGCCCCAGCCCTGGGCCCAACTGACCGGGGCCTGCTTTCTCCCCACATGCTTGGCCTAACCCTGGATCCCTCCCTCCTTATTTCAAATGATCACCGTCTTTCCTTTTTCTCCCTACAGCCTACATCTTTCAAATGCTGTCAGGCTTATTGGAGTTCCCTGAGCTCCCAGCTCCTTCTCTGCCAACATCTTAGCTCTTTTTTTCCCTATAATTTAAACGTTAATCCATATACATATATATTTTTAATTAAAGGCAATCCAGAATAGACCAGGTGTGGTGGCTCACACTTGTAATCCCAGCACTTTGGGAGGCTGAGGCGAGCAGATTGCCTGAGGTCAGGAGTTCAAGATCAGCCTGGCCAACATGGTAAAACCCCATCTCCACTAAAAATGCAAAAATTAGCCAGGCATAGTGGTGAGCACCTGTAATCCCAGCTACTTGGGAGGCTGAGGCACAAGAATTGCTTGAACCCGGGAGGCAGAGGTTGCAATGAGCCAAGATCGCACCACTGCACTCCAGCCTGGGCAATAGAGTGAAACTCAGTCTCAAAAAAAAAAAAAAAAAAAAAAAAAAGCACTTTGGGAGGCCGAGGCGGGTGGATCACCTGAGGTCAGGAGTTCGAGACCAGCCTGGCCAACATGGTGAAACCCTGTCTCTACTAAAAATACAAAATTAGCCGTGTGTGGTGGCGCATGCCTGTAATCCCAGCTACTCAGGAGGCTGAGACAGGAGAATCGCTTGGACCTGGGAGGCGGAGATTGCAGTGAGCCAAGATTGCACCACTGCACTCCAGCCTGGACAATGAGAATGAAACACCTTCTTAAAAAAAAAAAAAAAAAAAAGGCAACCCAGAACAGTAAAGAAAAACTACCCGTAAAAAGACCCTGCACCCCTGTTTGCATCCTAGAGCTTCCTTGTGGACTTGTGGCCTTTTCCCATATTTTCCATTTTCTCAGTTCCTTTCATCTTTGCTATTGTTACTTTTTAGAGATAGGGCCTCGCTATGTTGCCCAGGCTGGAGTGCAGTGGCTATTCACAGGAGCAATCCCACTGCTGACCAGCACGGGAGTTTTGACCTGCTGCTTCTGACCCGGGCCAGTTCACCCCTCTTTAGGCAGCCTGGTGATCCCCCCTAACCCCACCTCCCCTCTTGGGAAGTCACCGTATTGATGCTGAGCTCAGTGTGGGCACCCGATGGGCACAGACCCCAGAAAGCCCAGAACTCTTGGGCTCAGGAGATCCTCCTAAGTGGCTGGAACTCCAGGCATGTATCACCACGCTCAGTCCCTTTCATCTTTATAGTCTCCAGACTCTGTTAGGGGGAGACTCTGGTTCCACTGGCAGTTGGAAAGATTCTAAACCAGCCCCACCACCCTCTTGGGAGAGACTTGGCCCCATCTGTAACTTGAGACTGCCATGAGCCTTGTGTGCCTTGCAGAGTGGTCGAGGGGCCCAAAGGAAATCATCCCCTTGCACAGGACACAGGCCCAGGTAAGCTATCGGTGAGGAGGCTATTTTTTTAAAGTAGCACTTGTCTGCGGTCATGAGGAAGCAGACAGTTCCCAGGGCTTCCACTCTAACAAGCTGCCCACACCCAACTTGTCCCAGACAGCCTCATCTTTAGCTTTCTGGGGAAAACCCAAATCCGCCACCTGCCATGGTCACTGTGCTACCGCTCCACAAAGCCATTCCTGAGTGACTGTTAGGGCCCAGTCCTATCAGAGGATAAGGCCCGCCTCCCCAGGTCTCCTGGAAAAGGCTTCTCAACTCATCTACTAGTTGAGGCCACCACTGAGCGGTAGAGTGAGGCGTGACTGTGTGGGCCGCTTGACCATCTGCTGCTGTGCGTGCCCACTGCCTGGGAAAGCCCCCAGATCCGCCAAAGGGCCCGAGGTGACTCCGACCCCAACCCCACCCAGGGCCAGCTAGCAAGAGGACAGCAGCAAGGGACAATGGCTGGTCTCCGGCGTCCTCCCGGTTTCAGGTCCATGAGTCAGTCACTTATTCTCTTGGCTTCCACTGTGCAGAGAGCCCCAGGCTTTCTTGGTTTTCTAACTTCCCTCCCAGGAATTATCCTGCCATTCATGGAAAAAGAAGCTGGCCAGCCTTTGTCCACCAGAGGTTCAGCTGTTGGAAACTCCCCAGGGATCTCTCAGATAGGGTGTTCTCAGGAGGGTAGCAGTGCCCCAGAACACGCCTTAGTGATGGGAGGGGGTTGCCTGCATCTCAGGGACACCAGGACACAAGAGTACCTTCTTCTCTTCACACAGAAAGGCTTGGAATAGAAATCACGCATTGCCTTTTTCAACAGCCAGGCGCTGGCCCCACAAAGTGAGGTCCCCAGACCAGAGCATCACGGTCACCCAGGAGTGTTACAAATGCAGTCTCAAGTTCTACCGAGACCCCTAGACCTGCTGAATCAGAGCCTGCATGTTCACAAGCCCCCCACACCACAGCCCCTGGGCACGTTCAAGGCAGAGAAGGGCAGCACAGACTACACCCACCGGCAGGTGGTCTTCCCAGGGGCCCTCCTGGGGTTACCCTATGGGTGTCCCCAGCTGTGCCTATCTAGATGAGCCTCGGAGACTCCCTAAGGTCACAGGACTGTAGTCCCTCTCCCTACATCCCTGCCTGCAAGGTTCTCTGAGTTTCTAGTTTTCTCTGGTTGGGTGGGTCCTCCCCAGCTGTCAAATCACCTGCTCCTCCTTCCTGCCCAACCAGCTGCGGGCTGGGAAACAGTCACTCCCAATGCTCTAGCTGCATGCAGACTGAGGGTGGGCAGGCTCTGAAAAAGGGCCAGGGGACTCAGAGATACAAAAGCTTTGACCCAAAGTTTTCATCATCCAATCAAACCACTCATAGCCACTTTTGTCCGATAAACTCCCAGCTCTCCTTGTGCCCCAAACACTCGGCTTATTCACTCACTGCAGTGAGTGTGATACTAGCTCACTGCAGCCTCCAACTCCCAGGTTCAAGCAATCCTCACGCCTCAGCCTCCTGCCTAGCTGGGACCACAGGTACGTACCTCCTATGCCCAACTAGTTTTTCATATTTTTTGTAAAGACAGAGTTTCGCCATGTTGCTCAGGCTGGTCTTGAACTCCTGTACTCAAGCAATCCTCTTGCCTCGGCCTCCCAAAGTGCCGGGACTACAGGAGTGAGCCACCTTGCCAGGTCTGCATAAAAGTTCTGAAAGGAGGCCGGGTGCAGTGGCTCATGCCTGTAATCCCAGCACTTAGGGAGGCCGAGGTGGGTGGATCACCTGAGGTCAGGAGTTTGAGACCAGCCTGGCCAACCTGGTGAAACCCCGTTTCTACTAAAAATACAAAAATTAGCCGGGTGTGGTGGTGGGTGCCTGTAATCCCAGCTACTTGGGAGGCTAAGGTAGGAGAATCACTTGAACCTGGGAGGCAGAGGTTTCAGTGAGCCGAGATCATGCCATTGCACTCCAGCCTGGGCGACAAGAGCAAAACTCCGTCTCAAAAAAAAAAGTTCTAACAGGAGAGTCCTGAGGGGCCAGGAAACTGGGTTGGAAGGGCCCCTGGAAACCTAATTCTTCTGGAATTCCCAGGAGCCCTGTGGATATCAGGGAACAGATGTTCCCAAACAACACAGGGTTTCCACACTAGACTCCATTTGGGCTGTGCCTGGTGCAGTTCCAGCAGTGCCAAGGTCAGGGAAGGAAACGGCCAGAGGGAGGCCCCGACGAGGGGGTGTGCAGTGGCCCAGGGGGCACAGGTCTCAGAGCAGGCCAGGGCAGCCAGCCCAACGCAAGCGGACTACAGGGCGCCAGGCCATCACCCCAAGTGGGAGATGAGGACACCCTGGGCTGCCACCCATGCAGCTCTCGACATTTCCTCTCCACCCACTGCTGCCAGCAGGACCTTTTCCTGCTTTCTCCACTCCAGGCCCACACCACCTTAAACCCAGCAGCCCTCAGTGGAAAGAACACTGGGCTGGAACATAAGTGCCCTAATTAAGGCCATGACTGCACACCGAGTGGTCATGAGGTCTTGTGCACAACCTGAGAAGGTGGTCACTTACCTTTTTCCAGGTCTCACTTACAGGTGTGTGCCCGTGTGGGTCAGTGGCTCTGCTGGAGGGAACCGCATGACCCCACTGAAGGCTCACATTACCTCCCATGGCCGCAGGGAGCTGTGAAGCTCCTCTCAGCAGTCATCAGGGCCTCAGTGCAGCTACAGCTGGCAGAGCTCAGAAGCCTCCACAGAGGTCAAGGTGCCCACTCTGCCATGGCCTTGGGCCAAGCCCTGGGCTGGGCGTGGGGACTGCAGGAAGAGGTTAGCCACTTTCAGCCATGAACATTCTGTCTCTGCTTTCCCAGGGAAACTCTGGAAGGTGGGGGAGCATCATAAGAATCAGCAATAACCGGCCGGGCACAGTGGTTCATGCCTGTAATCCCAGCACTTTCTGGGACCGAGGTGGGTGGGGATCACCTGAGGTCAAGAGTTCAAGACCAGCCTGGCCAACATGGTGAAACCCCATCTCTACTAAAAATACAAAAATTAGCTGGGCATGGTGGCGCATGCCTGTAATCTCAGCTACTCAGGAGGCTGAGGCAGGAGAATAGCTTGAACCCAGGAGGCGGAGGCTGCAGTGAGCGGAGATCATGCCACTGTACTCCAGCCTGGGTGACAGAGTGAAACACTGTCTCAAAAAAAAAAAAAAAAAAAAAAAAAAGAAGAGAAGAGAAGAGAAAAGAGAGAATCAGCAATAACAGACAACGGACAGACCTAAGTGTAATCAACTGGGAATTGCAGGGTTACAGGAGAGAGGCTGTGGGGGCCATTCAGCTCAGTGAGAGCAAGGCCTGGGTGGGGGGAACCAGAGAGAGAGAAGACTGTGACAGCCAACTGGAGTGGGCCTTAAGGGTCCACATGAGGAGTCTAGACTTTTTTCCTTGGGCAATAGGGAGCTACCGAATGTTGTATATTGCCCCACCCCAACCCAAAATAACTTGTGAAGAGGGAAGCAAGGTAATGACATCTTGGGCTCTGGTGAGCCCGGCTAAAACATGTTGGACGGATGGGGGAGGCCAGGTCTGAGGCAGCTACTACAGGCTCAGGGCAGGTGGTCCAATAGGGCCTGGAGGTCAGGCTGCCTGCAGAGACTGTGCCAGCCAAGGCCCTGCCTGGCTATGCAGGGGATGGTGTCGAGGATGGCTGAGATTTGGAGGCTGGAAAGCTGGGAGGTGGGAAGAACATTAGTGAGACGGGCATGTGACACTGGACAAGAGTGCAGGCCACTTGGGTTCAAATCCCAGCTCTACCGCTTACAAGGTGTGTGACTTTAGGCGAGTTCCCTGGCTTCTCTGTGCCTCAGTTTCCTCATCTGTGAAATGGGGTCTGATATCGTACCTCCTTTGGAGTGTCGTGAAGCATGAGTTCCCATGTGGAAATCGCTAAGCACAGCCCTGCACACAGTCAGTGGGGCTGTTAGGTGGCATTAGGGATACCCAATGATCCATGAAGTCAGCCATTATAGGGTGGAGAGGCACGACGCATTTAGAGAGGAGGCAGAGACCTTGTCACCACCAAAGCCAAACAGGACAGCATCGGAGGCCAGCATTTCTCCAAGGCTGCAACAGAGTTCACTAGGTCCTCGTGGGCAAAGAGTGAGGGCTGTCAGCAGCCAGATTTTTTTGATCAGGGCTGTCCCAAGGCACAGTGGGTGCTCAGTGAGGGGTGCTGGGGAAACCTGGGGGTGGAGATGTCAAACCCTAGAGCTGGGATCAGCTACGGCCCTGTGGGGTGGGGGTCTCTGCTGTTTCACCACCCAGAAGGGGCAGAGTGGCCAGCCGTGGGCACGAGGCAGGGGGCCATCCTCCTACTTCCTGCAAACCTGACCCGTGGCAGGGGGCTGAGGCGTGTCTGCCTTGGATGTGGCCCGCTCCAGGGCTCTGCCTGGCCTGGAAGGATGCTGCCACTGTCACTGCCAACCCAGGTCTGAGCTCCAAAACCAAAGAATTTCCCTTCATTCAGCAACATGACTGGGAGTAAGGTGTGCTAGGCTAAGATTAAAAAATAAAATAACAGGAGGCCAGCATGGTGGCTCACACCTCTAATGCCAGCATTTTAGGAGGCTGAGGCAGGAGGATCACTTGAACCCAGGAGTTCAAGACCATCCAGGGCAACATAGTAAGACCTATCTCTCAAAAAAAAAAAAAAAAAAAAATTGCCAGGCATGGTGGCTCACGCCTGTAATCCCAGCACTTTGGGAGGTCGAGGTGGGCGGATCACCTGAGGTCCGGAGATTGAGACCAGCCTGACCAACATGGAGAAACCCCGTCTCCACTAAAAATTAAAAAAAAAAAAAAAAAAAATTAGGCCAGGTGCAGTGGCTCTCGCCTGTAATCCCAGCACTTTGGGAGGCCAAGACAGGTGGATCACGACAGCCTGGCCAAGATGGTGAAACCCCATCTCTACTAAAAATACAAAAAATTAGCCGGGCATGGTGGCAGGTGCCTGTAATCCCAGCTACTCGGGAGGCTGAGACAGAATTGCTTGAACCCGGGAGGCGGAGGTTGCAGTGAGCCGAGATCGCACCACTGCACTCCAGCCTGGGCGACAGAGTGAGACTCTGTCTCAAAAATAAAAAAAAAAATTGAAAAAAAAGAAAAGAAAACCAGCCCTGAACACCCCCCAACACACACTCACACCTGACTTATACAAAGGCCTCCAAGCCAACAGAGGTGCCCTTAGCCACAGAAGCCCAGGAGCCACTAAAGGAATGAGGACCATCAAGGCATGGCAACTCCTGGCCAAAGATAGCAGCTGGAGCCCCTTCTAAGAGGAGACGAAATCAGGGGCATGGCACCCCCGATGAGAAAAAGAATAAAAGAGGTTTGGGGAGGGGGTCTGGGGAGACACAGGGTAGCAGCCAAACGTTTTCTAAGACAGTGAGCAGTCAGGAGGGTGAGGCAGAATGATCAAGCCCTCCAAACCCAGGGGGCGGGCCCACCATGCCAGGCTCTTTGGAGGGAGGAAGGGCAACATGAGATGGAAGGAGGGGTTCCCTGAAAGCTGGCCTGGGAGCGGTCGACACAGACAGCCCACTCAGCACCAACTGCACACACAGCACTCCTAGCTGTGGGTCCACCCCCACAGGCAAGAGAAAAATCACAGGGAATCCCAGTGAAAATGATGTTCCACAGGAAAGACCTATGCATTTGGCCTTCAGGAGCCCCCAGGAATGGGCTGCTCCCTGCCTGGCCTCCAGAAACCAAGCCTGACATCAAAAGTCCCTCCCATGTACACAAAAGTACAGATGAGCTGGGCGTGGTAGCACGCCCTATAATCCCAGCTACTCAGGAGGCTGAGGCAGGGGGGTCACTTGAACCCAGGAGGTGGAGGTTGCAGTGAGCCAGGATCTTGCCACTGCACTCCAGCCTGGGTGACAGAGCAAGACTGCCTCAAACAACAACAACAAAAACAAACAAACAAACAACAACAAAAAAACACAGATGGACATTGGGAGGCCAAGGTGGGCAGACTGCTTGAGCCCAGGAGTTTGAGACCAGCCTCAGCAACATGGTGAAACTCCGTCTCTACTAAAAAAAAAAAAAATTAGCCAGGTGTTGGGGTGCGGGGACTCGGGCAGAAGGATGGCTTGAGCCCAGGAGGTCGAGGCTGCAGTGAGCCATGATCGTACCACTTCACTCCAGCCTGGGTGACAGAGCAAGACCCTGTCTCAAAAAACAAAAAAAATACAAACGAAAACAAAGCACACAGATGGACAGAAAAGAGCCCTGGAACGTTATTCAGTAAAAACCCACCTCTCCTTCCTCACTAACAGAACCCAGTTTTGGCTCCATCCCTCAGGGAATGGAAACTACCCCGGATGGGCTGGTGATGGGATGCCAGAGGCCAGCTTGGGGCACACATAGAGGAAGATTTCCTCATTGTTTATTTTTTCTTTTTTTTTTTCACTTCTAGCTGGTTACATGTTAATTTCCTCATTGTTTAGAAGAACTCTAGGTCTTTCCTGCCTCTGGATTTTGTCGCAGCTGATGTGACTCGGGGAAACTCACACCTTGCCACCTTGACGCCAGCACAGAGGGTGGCAGAGGGCAGAGGACGGAACCCAAGTCCTGGATGACAGCAGCAACCAACCACTGCCCCAGGGCCACCCTTGTCCTCTGGACGCCCTCATCCATGAGATGATCCATTTCTTTATTCATTAGTGAGTTTGGGGCAGAGTTTTCCATCATTTGAGCCAAAGGCCTCCCAAGTAATACAGGCAGAACAGCATAGATCGTCTCTCACAATCTTGTGTAAGAACATGCACCCAACCAGCTGGAGGTGACCCTCGGGAACAGCTGGAGGTGACTCTCGGGAACAGCTGGAGGTGACCCTCGGGAACAGCTGCAGGTGACCCTCGGGAACAGAACAGCATCGGCTTCCACTCTCTACTTCCTAAAGATCTTTACAGTTTTAAAGGAAATTTTCAATGGGGAACACTATAATTTGATAACAAAAAATAAGTTTTCCTTAAGTCATAAGATTCTTATCTCCCATTTCCCTCCAAACCAGTAGATCTCAAATTTTTCTGGGGTGAGGAGCTGTACACCCCCTTGAAAAGCAAGGTCTCCCAGCAGGTGTGAGAGTGCAATTCCACACACTATTGGCGAGAGTTCCAAGACCGGA
Source organism: Homo sapiens (assembly GCF_000001405.40). NCBI lineage: Eukaryota > Metazoa > Chordata > Mammalia > Primates > Hominidae > Homo > Homo sapiens. The sequence continues at coordinate 232,642,471 of NC_000002.12, read as the reverse complement.
AGTCAAGAGCTCCTGCTCCAACCACGGGGCTAAGCAGACACCCAAGGCTAATTAGCTTTTGTTTCTCATTTGTCTTTTTTTTTTTTTTTTTTTTTTTTGAGACAGAGTCTCACTCTGTCGCCCAGGCTGGAGTGCAGTGGTGCAATCTTGGCTCACTGCTTTGCAGGTTCAAGTGATTCTCCTGCCTCAGCCTCCCAAGTAGCTGGGATTACAGGCACCCACCACCACACCCTGCTAATTTTTGTATTTTTAGTAGAGACGGGGTTTCACCATATTGGCCAGGCTGGTCCCAAGCTCCTGACCTTGTGATCCACCCACCTCGGCCTCCCAAAGTGCTGGGATTACAGGCGTGAGCCACCACTCCCGGCCTCATTTGTCTTTTTCATTGGGAGTTTTTAAGCTCAAACACACCATGGACCACCTCTTAGGGGAAGCCATAGGAAGGCAAGCCTTCCTAGGGTGGGGAGTGTTACCCCGGGGCTCCAGCTGTGAGCGCCAGCTGCGAGGCTTCCTCAGCCCGCAGAAGAAGCAGATGCAGGTCCTGCTCCTTCTCCAGTGCTAATCTTCCAAAAGCAACTCTGGGGTCCTGGAACTCAGGCCTCACTATGCTGCCTACCCAACTGGGGGGACACCAGGCTTCCACCGTGTCCCCTCTGGACCTGAGGCCACTGATGGGAGGAAAGGCCGAGAAGTGAGAAAGGGGACAAATGAGATCAGGCTCTGGATTCAAGATTCTAAAGCGACTGCCTAGCATGGGGGCTGGCTAACTTGGGCCTGCAGGCCAAATCATGCTCACCAAGTGTTACAGGAACACAGCCATGCCATGCCATTTGCATATTGCCTGTGGCTGCTTTCATATCACAATGGCAGGCTGCAGAGGGACAACAGAAACCTTAGGGCCCAAAGCCAAACAGATGGATTATCTGACCCTTAACAGAACAACTTTGCCCACCCATGGCCTAGAAAGAATCTTGGAAGTCACACAGCCCATCTCCTAGCCTCCATAAGCTTTCGGCCCTTCCTAACTGCAAGCCTCTCACGCCAGGGAGTCAGAGTACCTCCCTTCCAGTGAAACTCCAGAGAAAGCAGCTCACCACCTTGCAAGACCTTTCGTTCCATTTCTCAGTAACTCCGATTGTGGCCAGGTGCGGTGGCTCATGCCTGTAACCAACACTTTTGGGAGGCAGAGATGGGAGGATCACTTGAGCCCAGGACCAGGCTGGGCAACATGTCAAAACCCCGTCTCTACAAAAAATACAAAAATTAGCTGGGCATGGTGGTCGTGCCTGTAGTCCCAGTTACTCAGGAGGCTAAGGCGGGAGGATCACTTGAGCCCGG